>NC_000005.10:94958291-95261322 GCF_000001405.40 Homo sapiens | reverse complement strand
CCACTGCATACTATTCATATATGTACTGCTTCATTGCAAGGATCAGGAAATGGTCTTCAGCTGTGAAGACCATTTGGTGTTTATTATGGATCAGAGTACAAGGTCTCAAAGTGGTTAAATGGCTTTCCAACAGTTTATTTGTCTGATGGATAGCAGTTACTCAGATATTTATTGAATGGATGCAGAAATCAATGAATAGGGCTGGGAACAAATTTCGGATATTTTCCTTACTATCTAGAGGAATAGAATCTACCTCGGAAAAGTTTCACAGTCTAATGGGACTTCAGCTTCTTTGGGTTAGCTACTGTGCATAATATGTGTTATTTTAACTTTTTAAAAAGGTAGAATGAACTTCCAGCAATCTATTGCAAGGTTGTAATCAAAGAATTGAACCAAAAATATATTTAGAATTGTTTATCACTCCATTACTTTTAATAGAAAAATTGGAAATTGCTCACATTTCCAATAATAGAGGAATGCTTAAGTAATTACAGTAAACCCTCTGGGTTATTACCTGGTCATTTGTTCTGTGCTGGAAACGTGCGAGGGGAGAAGAAAAGACACACACACAGCACCTTTAAGGGTAGACAGCCTTTATCCCAAGTATATGGCAATATAGATATAATAAGCAAATGATATAATAAGCAAATGATATAAGCAAAAGCAAATTGCAATGGGAAGGGGAGAAGGGAAAAGATATATATATACACACACATATACATATATGTGTATACATATATATATTTACACTCACCAGACTATGGAGGATTCACCATCAGACCAGGAATCAATAGCCTGGGCTCCAGAGTCGGCCACTCATCCATGCACAGACGAGGAGAGGTCTCACGATGCTTTTGCGCAGTCTGGAACCCTAACTCTTTTTGTAATGAGTTGTTTGGCATGATTTCCAGTCACGAGAACCCTTTGTGACTGGGCTCAAGGAACACAAAAAGGTCAACTTGTTTTTGCAATTGTCTATTTTTTTAAATAACTAACATATAGGAATAGACTGAAATAGAGATTTCTCCGAATCAGCACTGGATGAGCGCCTCAAGGGGCTCACACAACCTGTTCTGGGACTTGGTGACCATCGTTTGTGTCATGTTCAATTGAGTTCAAATTTAATATTTAACTTTTCCTCCACACTCAGCCTCAATTTGATACTCAATTGTAGAAAAATACCCTTACAGATACATGGGGAAGGCATAGTTGATACAGATTACAGATACAGGATAAGCACAGGAGAATTAAAAGCACAATTAATAAAAACCACACCCACCATGGCTTTTCAAGGAGAGTGATATTGTGAGAATTATCAGGGATATACACATAACATTCAGTATGCAGTCAGGCACAAACCCCTCCTTGGGCTGCGGTAAGCATATCTAATGCCATTCGATTTTGTAACACAACAGTACACAGCTGAGCAAATTCATTTGATAGCAACATAAGTCCAATGCTACTATCATTAAGAGCTTCTTCTACATGTAAGCTTAATATTTTAATTTTTTGCTGAAGCAGGATTGTACCGGTGGCAGGGGAGAATACTGTGATAGGGTACCACCACCAGGGAGTCCAGATTACTGGGGAGGGGAATATTATCCTGGATGGTGAATGGAATTAATGGCCACCTCTAAGTGCATCTCCCCATCCAATGTGGGGGCAGGTATTGCCACTCGTAGGATCTGCATACCCACAGGGCCCCCACCAGGGTACAGCAATGGTTTTTTTGTAATTATAGTGTATTAAGGTGTTATTAAAGCAGGAAAGAGATTGTGTTTCACTGGGGACAATGTTGTTGATTTCGAGTATGTGTTGACAGTTGTCTGGCAGGAGAAACCCCAGAGTAACATTAGAGGAGCCATTTAAGGCCTCCAGACAAAGTGGGGGGCTATATGGAATCTGGCCACCAGCACAGCAGTTTCCCAATATATACTGTTCCAGGCATATTGGGCAGGATACCAAAGCTTTTGACACAAGGCAAGGGTGGTGTTCACCTTTCGTCTGACATGGGCAAAGATAGATTTCTTCCTTTGGTCAAAGGAAGTCCAGGTTGGGTTGCAAGTGTTGTTGTTGTGGCCCCATTGGTAGTGACATAGCCATTCAGAAATGTTGGCAGGGATGATTCTCCAAGGTAGTCCATTTCCTGTGGCCTCTGGCAACTTGACGCGTAGTCAACATTGACTGTGGTTGGCTTCTTCTGCTGTAGTGGCTACCCAGTTGATGAATTTATTCTTGGCCTCAGACACAAAGACACAGGTGCTGATCATTAGTAGATAGGTTATTCCCTGTAATAACAAAAATGGAGGAGAACATGATATTGTTTTTAATCTTTAGGAAATTGTACTATGCCTTCATTTTCTGCTCCCATAGCTACAAGGTCACCAGCCTTAGGGGCGGGATCTGATGGACACTCTACCCATATTTTGGCTCCAGGATTTAAGCTACCTGTACCAGTGGATCTGAATCCCCCAGTTCTGTATGTAGCCTCTGTTGGGACAGAGATTTCCTCAGGGGTTAATTGTTGACAAGGTATCACTACCAATTGAGCATCATTTAAAAATGTTTTCAAAATATTTTGATAAGCATTTTTAATGAACTTTTATTTAGAACAGTTTTATATTTAAAGAAAAATCGCAAATATAGGGCAGAGAGTTCCCATGTACTTTGTACCTAGTTTCCCCTGTTATTAGTAGCTTACATGACTGTAGTACATTTGTTACAATTAACGAACCAACATGGATTCATTATTATTAACTTAAAGTCCATACTTTATTAAGGTCTCGTTAGTTTTTACCTAATGTTTCAGTATCCTATCTAAGATACTATATTACATTTAGTTATGTCTCCTTAAGCTCCTGTTGGCTGTGACAGTTTCTCAAACTTTTCTTGTTTTTGATGACCTTGATAGGTTTGAGGAGTACTGGTCAGATATTTTGTAGAATGTTTCTCAGTTGGGATTTATCTGATGTTTTTCTCACGATTAGACTGGAGTCATGGGTTTTTGGGAGGAAACCCCAAAGGGAAAGTGCCATTCTCATCACATCACATTGAGGGTACGTACTATCAACATGACTTATCACTGTTAATGTTGACCTTGATTGCTTGGCTGAGGTAGCATTTGTCAGGTTTCTCCACTGTAAAGTTATTCAGCACTTTACCTGCCCTCACCCCACCCCATTTTCCATACTGTAGTCTTTGGAGGGAAGTCACTGTGCACAGCTTATCCTTAAAAGGTGAAAAGTTAAGTCCCACCTCTTTGAAGGTTGAGTATTTACATAAATTATTTGGAATTCAGCACAGAGTTGTCTATTCTCTCCCATTATTTATTCAATCATATATTTATATCAGTGTGGACTAATGGATATTTATTTTATACTTTGGATTATAACCCAATATTACTGTATTTATTTCTTTGCTCAGATTGTTCTGGCACAGGCCATTGGGAACGCTTTCATTTCGACCCAGTGCCCCTTTGATATACTCCCGTCTGTGTGTGTGTGTGTGTGTGTGTGTGTGTGTGTGTATGTTTTCTGGAGCACTTCCTTCCTTCTTTACGGTCCCATTAGACTGTCCAGGCTCTTCTTATATATTTCCTGCTCTAGTCTTAGAAATAGCCATGTTTTCAAGGATTCCTGTTTTCTTTTACTTGAGAATAGTATTAGATGACAAGATCTGGGCACTAAGTGTGCTCATTGCTATTGGGAAGCATTTTTAATGGCATAGAACAATGTTCATTATAATCTGAGGTTTTAAAAACACAAAATTGGACAAACTGTGATATGAATTGTATGTGTATATAATCTATGAATATAAGTTCATTGAAAGATTAAAAAAACAATGTAGGCATTCATTTATCAAAGAGTTGTGGGATTTTTTAAAAATAGTTTTCTGTTGTCTTCAAATTCTAGATCATGAATTATATACCTTATAATTAGAAAAAATAGCAAGTGGTTTTTTTAACATTAAAATTATTTTTTAAAAAGTAAAATGAGACAGATCTTGTTAATTTTACTCATCTCCTCAGACTATATTTTTAGTACTCATGAAGTGCCTGTATCCCACAAGCTCTCATCATATACACAAGGAATTGAGCCAGAAACTGTTGTCAACATCTGTTTTGAGGAGAGTTTGAGGACAGTAATGTAATGATGGAAATTTCCTGGCAAACCACAATATTGTTAAATGTCCTTACCAGTATTGAAATTATGTAAGAACATTATTATTTCTTATGCCAGAGTTTCCTAAATTCCAGCCATTCATAGTTTTGGCCACATGTGTCCAACACCTGCACAAGATTTATTTAATAGTTTCTCTAATTTGATTTAAAAAAAGTTAAATATGTATTTCAGAAAAACTCTGTCACTACTCTAAGTAAAAATCCCATGTCATGAATAGAATGTAAACATAAAATACATTGGAACAAGACAGTGTCATTAAAGTTAAAACAATAAAGTGAAGGGCATCCTGATGAAAAGTCAACATGTAAATGTGCCCTAAAATGTCCTACTTGGTTTTGGATCCTGCTTTACCACCTCGTCTTGCTTTCTCTTACTCCCTGCAACTAAGCCAGGTCTCTTTCCTCTCTCTCTTTTTTTTAGCTGCATTTCTGAAAAGTTTATTAGGCAGAGTCTAGTCAGAAAAACATAATTCTGAATATTTAAAACAGAGAGAATATAATATAGGGAATTGGTTACACAGCTGTGGAAGAGCTAAGAAGCCAAAAAGGGACTTCTAGGCAACCCAGGGTTTGGCAACAGCAGGACGTCACTATTACCCCTAGGCTGGAGGAACAGAGGATGCAATGTAGTTAGGAGTCCAGCTGTCAGGGTCACCCAATGAAGTAGGTACCAAGTACTCTGACTTTTCCCTTCCAGCTCTCCTCCCATGGCTGAGCCCAGTTGGATGCTTGCTGACAGAGAGCCAGCAGTCTGAGATGGGTAAGGAGAGGACAAGGATTGGGTTTGCCAGCAGACATCTGCCAAGCAGCACAGGGAGTGGGCCATGCCCCGCTTCCAGGTAGGGGAAAACTTTCTTCCAGCACCTCCTCAGGATACTTTCTTAATACCTGCCAGAAAAGAAACCTCCATTTATTTTCCTTCCTTATTCTTTTTTTCATTTTCTCCCTTCTTTGCTCCTTTGCTCTCATTCTTCTTTTCTTTCTTTTCTGAGAAATACCAAAGAGTAAATCAAGGAAGAAAGCAAAGGAGGAAATAATGTAAGATGCATCAAGCTAGGGTTCTCCCCGTTTAAATTCCACATGGCAGAACTTGGTGTGGATTTTTACCAACGGTTTCATGAAGTATGATATTTAGCCCTTTATTTGAGAGCATTCGATGCTTCTGTTTAGGCATGAATGCCTCGAGCTACAGACGAACACTTCCGTTGTGCTTGTTTATGACCGAACTTCTGCCTGGTGCAGTGCTGGGATGCACTGATTGCTTAGGTAGGGCAGTGACTTACTGATTTCTCTGGAAGAATCCCTGAGAAGTTCTGGGGCCCAATCCTTAAAGGCAGGATGCAGTTAGATGCTTGATTGGGGATTAGCTTATGTCTTTAATTCCTGGTTCTCTGACACTCTGCTTCTCAAGTAATATCTGACTTTTGTTCTCTATATTCCTGTTTAAAATAAGAAATATGAATCACCATCTTCTGATTTTATATTTTCTAAGAAAAGGGTTAACATCAGCCCTTCTCAGTTGTTCTCAGTGTATCTTTCCAGCTTCAGGCTTCAGTACCTGTAACCTTCGCCTATTCATAGGGGTAGGTGTGGGATCAGTGCACCAGGGGTACCATCCTGGCTTTGCAGTGCCACTCAGTTTATTCTCTTCTTGTTCTAAGTAGAAAGCTTTTTGTTTGGTTTCCTTCCCTGCTGTAGTATATGATTGGGAAATGAAAGAATGAATTCTAAAAATGCCTGCTACTCTCTTCTTTAAAGTATCCAAATTCTATCAATTCTTTAAAATGTAGGTAAATTCTAATTTCTTAAACTGTCTATTTCCATTTATCCATCATTTATTGAAAACAGGCTGTGTGTCAGGCACTGTGCTAGTGCTGGGTATACAAATATTAGTAAGACAGGGTTGCTTCTCTTGAGGAGTTTGCATATAGAGAAAGATGTTTGTTCATCTTTGGAAAGATCTTTACAGAAACAAGAGCTTCTAACCCATAAACTCCTGCAACCCTTATCAATTTGGAATAGAACAGTGGCTTTCAGATTTTTATGACCATACTCAAATGAAGGCATACATTTTATATCAGATTCTGTACACACATATACATACACACATGTACAAGAAAACCCTGAAAGTTTTGAGAAATTTACTAATGATGCATATTTTCCATTCCATTTAAAAAAATTAAGTTGCTGGTTTTGACTCATTTTATTGATTTCATGACTCACTAATGGGTTGTATCCCACAATTTGAAAAGAGTGATATCAATAGAATTTGTAATTGTTATACAAATTAGTATAACAATGCTTCCAGAATCTAATTGTCTTGGCCAAATCACAGAACTGGTGAGTGGAAGTGTCAGAACAGGTTTTTACATCCGGAAGTTCTCTCTTCTGCCTCTAGTATATCTATATAGTACATAGAGAGGATTAACTTGGCAATTAATATGTGTAGTAGTTTTTGAAATATTTATTTTATTGTCTTAACCTTTTATTTTGAGCATCTTAACATAGTATCCATGTCTACATTTCATTATAGCTCCCATATGGCTCAACATAATGACATATAGAAGAGGGTCAATGTTAATTTTGAGATTAAGTACTGAAAGGCATCATATGTAGATCATTAGAAAAGACGGAATGCCTTATTAACTGTTAAGCTTGTGGGTAAGATGTAGGTTCTGGAGCCAGGCTGCCTGGGCTAGAATTTTGCTTCATCACATTATTGCTGTGTGACCTTAGTTAGATAGGGTATTTATTCACGGTGTTCCTGAGTTTTCTCATCTGGAAATTGGGATAATTACACTAATTGTCTCATAGGGGTACTGTGAAAATTAAATGCATGTAAAACCCTTAGAACCAGTGGTTGGTACGTAGGGAGCCCTCAAATGTTAGCCGTAACAAATGTTAGCTGTTTTAATTATCCCTATCAATATAATCATTGTTTCTGGCTGACTTTATAGATAGCTTATAGAAGAAAACATTGTCAGTGAAAAATTCCAGATCTTAAGTATAAGTTTGAGAGAAATACAAGAGGGAAGGGAAGTATTTGAAGCTCTGTTAGTTCATTATGAATGAATGCTTCTGTAGTTTGTGGTTTGGAAGACTAAGATATTGACATTTTTATTGACTAAATTTTTAGCAGTGATAAAAGTTGCTTGACTTGAGTTTTTAAAATCTAGGAATTTATTGCTGGCTGAATAAAAAGTTAATATGATAATAGGTATTTTGTGACCCAGGCTACAGTATATTTACCAATCCTGAAAATTGCAAATATACAAGAGCAGTATACTGTCTGCTACTAGAATACTGGATTATGCTTTCAAAAATAGCAAACTTGCAATCTCCTTTCCTCCCACACTCGTTCCCACCACTAGGATTCATATGTAATGAAATGAAACATCTTATCAGAAACTTTAATAATCTTGTCTTTTTATATTAGTTTGGATTTGCATATTTATTGTTTTCTTACTTACATATGTACCTATACATTTATTTTATTCTAAAGATGTGTTCTTTAGTTATAAATGGTTGTAAGTCAATTTGGGTCTCTCTTTAGTCACTCTTTTCATACATTTTCATCGGGAAAGAGCAAAGACAAAGATTCACTGTGGAAGGTTAATATAAGGGGGTACATAATATAGCTGTGTGTACTGTGTTTGCAGTACATTGTTTAATTGTGTCTTAATTAATTTTCTATTAAATGTAAACTAGTGTATGTCATGTGTTATATACCTTCTTCTTGTTTTGAATGGAATTATTAAACTTCTTGTAATCAGAGATCAAATTATACCAGGTAGATGGTTGTCCCACCCCCTGGCAGTGTTCTTACAGAGTATGTGGGTAAAAATTCTTGTACGGTTATGAATAAAAGGGATATTTTAGAAATGAAGTTTTGTTTCTAAAAAGGATGGTAATTTTCATGCACATAAAACTAAGAAAATCCACCTTATGTGTTCTCACCTCCATTTTATCCTCTTGCATATTCTGCTAGTGGCCATGTAAACTGCTGTACTTATTGTATTAGTTGCTGATTTTCATTTTCCAACATACCAAGTACTCTTTCCTTGAATGATTTATGTTAGACAGCATTGGCTCATGGCAACAGACAGTTTTAGAAAATCATCATCTGGAATGTATATAAAATGATCTTGTTTGTCAGTCTACCTAGGTTGTTAATGTCAAATTAGATGGGCAAATTGCCAAATTATTGTTAGAATTGAGCTATATTTGCTACAGTGCTTAATCCTTGGGAATTAAATCAGTTCCATTGACAGTATGGGGCCAAATATATATGATTTTAGCTTGCTCTGCCCTATCTAGATACTTTTTTTGTCAAAGCAAAGACAGAAAAAATGAGAATTAAGAATATGACTCTACACATTCTTAATAGGAAAATTAGGGAAAATAGGAATGAGTGCCTAAGAAATAAAAAAATAGGGAAAAATAGGAATGGAGCGCCTAAGAAATAGAAATGTTAAAGTGTGAAAGTAGATCCTAGACCCAGACTGTGTAGGTTCAGATCTCAGCTCTGCTACTTATTTAAGGGCAAATACAAATTAAAAATTGGAGGCTTAATTCTTCTTCTTAAAAATAAGGGAAAAGATTTCTACCCCTTCCCTTTTCTTAGAGCATTTACTTTAGAAAACTTGTAATTGCACATTCTTTATCTCTTTGAAATCTATATACATCTTTTTAAAAACTAAATAAGGCTCTGGTGAGTTCTGTGACCCAGGAATGTCTTTCTCAAGGATCAGAGAACAGAGAACCATCTTTTTGAAATGCAATCAAGGAAGATAGTGCCCCTATCTTCCAGTTTTTGTGGGAGGGTAGCAGCCTAACTTCAGTGGGGGATTCTTAGTTCCTAAATTACCTTCTGTCATAGAGATAGGAGAAGTTAATTTTTCCTTTGGGTAAAGCCAATTAGTAACACACATGGTCACCCCAATACCAGGCTAATTTAGGATGAACTGTGCATGACAAATGGTGCTGTCAAGTCCCCTTCCTTGAGGACTAGTCATTGTTTATCTTGAGAACATGTATGTATGGGTTGTATCTGCTTGGCTATATAAATATAAAAAGGGTACGATTTCTTTCTGTCTTTGTAATCTCTTAGCAGATTGCCTGTGATGTATGATATTCTGCTTTGATGCTTATTCAATAATAAAATTGTATTCTTTCTCTTCTACCTTTGTGGAGAAGTTTTCTGGGTTGGGAAAAGATTTTGTTTTTAATTATATGCACTCAACACTTACTAGATATGTGATTTGGGGTAAGTTTCTGAATCTCTTTGCACCTCAGTTTCCTTATCTATTAATTGTGGATAATAGTATCTATTATTACTGTTGTTTATAGAATTATTGTGAGGATTGGATGACTAAATATACATAAACTGCTTAGAACAGAGCCAGGTACTATAATAGTAAGCACCATATATTACTTATTATTACTATAAGAGAAATTTTGCTTGTTTTAAATTCTGGTTCCTTCTCAACTACAGTGTATTCCCAGGGATATTTCAAGAGCAAACATAAATAATATTAATATAGGGAATCCCCTAGCAAGATAAGAAATCTCAACTTAAACTCCACCATCCACATGTATTTATGGAGTTACTTTCCCTAAATTTGAGAAACGTGTTTAAAAAAATTACTCTTCTAGTGAGTAATTCTTTCTTAATTTCTTTCATTCTTTCATAATGACTCATGAAATCCAAATCTGTACCATGCTATGAGTACCTGCATGATCTGGCCTCTGCCTCCTTCTTCAACCTGAACCTCTTGACTATTCTCGTCCCTCCCACCTTCTATGAGAAGTAGGCATACTGACATTCTTTAGGTTCCTCTAATGGTCAAGCTTGTTCTCACTTCAGGGTCTTTGCGCTTGCTTTCCCTTCTGCTTGCAAAGTGCTTATTTCAGATATTTGATTGCTGGCCCCTTTCTATTGCCAGGTGGGAGATAAAGTAACCCCTTCTCATAGAAGCTTCTCCTAAACCTCACCAGCCGCCCATGCTCTTTCTTGCTTCTGCTGTTTTATAGCACTTGTCTCTGTCCGAAATTCTCGTCTGTGTTTGCTAAATCTGTGTTTACCAAAAGTAAGTTTCATGAGAGCATGGGCTTTCTTTGCTAAATCTCTGCTTCCTAGTTCAGTGCCTGGAGCATAATAACATCTCAATAAGGATGCATGAATTAGTGAGTGAATAAAATAAGCTATTCTTATCAACTAGTCCTTGACTGATTTAACAGATATTTGTTGAGTAGCTCATATACTACATACTGAGGAGATTCAGCATTTTCCATGTAAGCCTACCTATTAGTAGTGTTAAGACATATTTATGCACTTTAAAAATATAATAATAAAGCTATAAGGAAAAAGTAGAAAATGAAAATATCATTAAAGAGGAAAGCATTTTTGTGCTAAGTATTGTTCTAGGCATTTCACATAAGTTATTCTGTTTAAATTGTACTCAAGAACGCTTCCATTTTTATATCATTGTATTCATTTTTATAGAGGAGAAAAAGAAATCCAAAAGTTAAATAACTGGCTTACAGTTGCCCAGCTAGGATGTGGATGGACCAAAATTCAAACTTATATCAGCCTGACTCTAAATCTTATTTTCTTTGCATTATACTAAACATAAAAACCGTCTCCTCTCCTCTGTCAAAAACTGTGAAGGGTCTGAAATGTTATTATACTTGCAAGCTAACCAGTTAGCCACCACAGTTTCATGTATACTGACACACAACACGAAGTTCCTGGATTAGAAACAAAGGACTTTATGATTCCTGACATAACAATAATATGAGCTTCACATTCATGTTCATTCCCTCAGCCCCCAAGTCCCATGGGGCGATGCAGAGTGGCTCAGGTAGTTGCTGTACATCTGAATCACACAGAAAACTTGAGCTTAGGGAACTCAACATTTCGTAACAGGCTACAAATAAATGTGCCCTTTGCTTATCTTCATTATTTTTATTTTATTATTTTTTTATTATACTTTTAAGTTCTAGGGTACATGTGCACAACGTGCAGGTTTGTTACTTAGGTAAACATGTGCCATGTTGGTTTGCTGTACCCATCAACTCGTCATTTACATTAGGTATTTCTCTTAATGCTATCCCTCTCCCAGGCCCCCACTCTCCCACAGGCCCTGGTGTGTGATGTTCCCCGCCCTGTGTCCATGTGTTCTTGTTGTTCAACTCCCACGTATGAGTGAGAGCATGCGGTGCTTGCTTTTCTGTCCTTGTGATAGTTTGCTTAGATTGATGGTTTCTAGCTTCATCCATGTCCCTGCAAAGGATATGAACTCATCCTTTTTTATGGCTGCATAGTATCCCATGATGTATATGTGCCACATTTTCTTAATCCAGTCTATCACTGATGGACATATGGGATCATTCCGAGTCTTTGCTATTGTGAATAGTGTCACAGTAAACATACGTGTGCAAGAGTCTTTATAGTAGCATGAGTTATAATCCTTTGGGTATATACCCAGTAATGTGATCGCTGGGTCAAATGGTATTTCCAGTTCTAGATCCTTGAGGAATTGCCACACTGTCTTCCACAATGGTTGAACTAATTTACACTCCCACCGACAGTGAAAAGCGTTCCTATTTCTCCACATCCTCTCCATCATCTGTTGCTTCCTGAATTTTTAATGATCGCCATTCTAACTGGCGTGAGATGGTATCTCATTTTGGTTTTGATTTGCATTTCTCTGATGACCAGTGATGATGAGCATTTTTTCATATGTTTTTTGGCCACATAAATGTCTTCTTTTGAGAAGTATCTGTTCATATCTTTCACCCACTTTCTGATGGGGTTTTTTTTAATTGTAAATTTGTTTAAGTTCTTTGTAGATTCTGAATATTAGCCCTTTGTCAGATGGGTAGATTGCAAAGATTTTCTCCCATTCTGTAGGTTGCCTGTTCACTCTGATGATAGTTTCTTTTGCTGTTCAGAAGCTCTTTAGTTTAATTAGATCCCATTTGTCTATTTTGGCTTTTGTTGCCATTGCTTTTGGTATTTTAGTCATGAAGTCTTTACTCATGCCTATGTCCTGAATGGTATTGCCTAGGTTTTCTTCTAGGGTTTTTATGGTGTTAGGTCTTACATTTAAGTCTTTAATCCATCTTGAGTTAATTTTTGTATACGGTGTAAGGAAGGGGTCCAGTTTCAGCTTTCTACCTATGGTTAGCCAGTTTTCCCAGCACCATTTATTAAACAGGGAATCCTTCCTCCATTGCTTGTTTTTGTCAGATTTGTCAAAGCTTAGATGGTTGTAGATGTTATTTCTGAGGCCTCTGTTCTGTTCCATTGGTCTATATATCTGTTTTGGTACCATACCATCCTGTTTTGGTTACTGTAGCCTTGTAGTATAGTTTGAAGTCAGGTAGCGTGATGCCTCCAGCTTTGTTCTTTTTGCTTAGGATTGTCTTGGTTATGTGGGCTCTTTTTTGGTTCCATCTGAATTTTAAAGTAGTTTTTTCCAATTCTGTGAAGAAAGTCAGAGGTAGCTTGTTGGGGATAGCATTGAATCTATAAATTACCTTGGGCATTCTGGCCATTTTTACGATATTGATTCTTCCTATCCATGAGCATGGAATGTTCCTCCATTTGCTTGTGTCCTCTTTTATTTCATTGAGCAGTGGTTTGTAGTTCTCCTTAAAGAGATCCTTCACATCCTGTGTAACTTGGATTCCTAGGTATTTTATTCTCTTTGTAGTAATTGTGAATAGGAGTTCACTCATGATTTGGCTCTCTGTCTATTATTGGTGTATAGGAATGCTTGTGATTTTTGCACATTGATTTTGTATCCTGAGACTTTGCTGAAGTTGCTTATCAGCTTAAGGAGATTTTGGGCTGAGACGATGGGGTTTTCTAAATATATGATTATGTCATCTGCAAACAGAGACAATTTGACTTCCTCTTTTCCTAGTCGAATACCCTTTATTTCTTTCTCTTGCCTGATTGCCCTGGCCAGAACTTCCAATACTATGTTGAATAGGAGTGGTGAGAAAGGGCATCCTTGTCTTGTGCCAGTTTTCAAAGGGAATGCTTCCAGCTTTTGCCCATTCAGTATAATATTGGCTGTAGTTTTGTCATAAATAGCTCTTATTATTTTGAGATATGTTCCATCAAAACCTAGTTTATTGAGAGTTTTTAGCTGTTGAATTTTGTTGAACGAGACAGAAGGTTAACAAGGATATCCAGGACTTGAACTCAGCTCTGCACCAAGCATACCTAATAGATATCTACAGAACTCTATACCCCAAATCAACAGATCATACATTCTTCTCAGTACCACATCACACTTATTCTAAAATTGACCACATAATTGGAAGTAAAACACTCCTCAGCAAATGTAAAAGAATAGAAATCACAACAAACTGTCTCTCACACCACAGTGCAATCAAATTAGAACTCAGGATTAAGAGACTCACTCAAAATCGCACAACTACATGGAAACTGAACAACCTGCTCCTGAATGACTACTGGGTAAATAACAAAATGAAGGCAGAAATAAAGATGTTCTTTGAAACCAATGAGAACAAAGACACAATGTACCAGAATCTCTGGGACCCATTTAAAGCAGCATGTAGAGGAGAATTTATAGCACTAAATGCCCACAAGAGAAAGCAGGAAAGATCTAAAATCGACACCCTAACATCACAATTAAAAGAACTAGAGAAGCAAAAGAAACAAATTCAAAAGCTAGCAGAAGCAAGGAATAACTAAGATCAGAGCAGAACTGAAGGAGACAGAGACACAAAAAAACCCTTCGAAAAATCAATGAATCCAGGAGCTGGTTTTTTGAAAAGATAAACAAAATAGGTAGACCACTAGCAAGACTAATAAAGAAGAAAAGAGAGAAGAATCAAATAGATGCAATAAAAAATGATACAGGGGACATCACCACCGATCCCACAGAAATACAATCTACCATCAGAGAATACTATAAACACCTCTATGCAAATAAACTAGAAAATCTAGAAGAAAGGAATAAATTCCGGGACACATAACACCCTCCCAAGACTGAACCAGGAAGAAGTTGAATCTCTTAATAGACCAATAACAGATCTGAAATTGAGGCAATAATTAATAGCTTACCAACCAAAAAAAGTCTAGGACCAAATGGATTCACAGCTGAATTCTACCAGAGGTACAAAGAGGAGCTGGTACCATTTCTTCTGAAACTATTTCAATCAATAGAAAAAGAGGGAATCCTCCCTAACTCATTTTATGAGGCTGTCATCACCCTGATACCAAAGCCTGGTAGAGACACAACAAAAAAAGAGAATCTTAGGCCAATATCCCTGATGAACATTGATGCAAAAATCCTCAATAAAATACTGGCAAATTGAATCCAGCAGCACTTCAAAAAGCTTATCCACCATGATCTGTCTAATATTGACAGTGGGGTGTTAAAGTCTGCCATTATTATTGTGTGGGAGTCTAAGTCTCTTTGTAGGTCTCTAAGGACTTGCTTTATGAATCTGGGTGCTCCTGTATTGGGTGCATATATATTTAGGATAGTTAGCTCTTCTTGTTGAATTGATCTCTTTACCATTATGTAGTGGCCTTCTTTGTCTCTTTTGATCTTTGTTCATTTAAAGTCAGTTTTATCAGAGATTAGGATTGCAACCCCTGCTTTTTATTTTTTTTTTGCTTTCCATTTGCTTGGTATATCTTCCTCCATCCCTTTATTTTGAGCCTATGTGTGCCTTTGCATGTGAGATGGGTCTCCTGACTCTTTATCCTATTTACCAGTTTATGTCTTTTAATTGGGGCATTTCGTCCATTTACATTTAAGGTTAACATTGTTATGTTTGAATTTGATCCTGTCATTATGATGTTAGCTGGTTATTTTGCCTGTTAATTGATGGAGTTTCTTCATAGCGTCAATGGTCTTTACAATTTGGCATGTTTTTGCAGTGGCTGGTACTAGTTATTCCTTTCCATATTTAGTGTTTCCTTCAGGAGCTCTTGTAATGCAGGCCTGGTGTTGACAAAATCTCTCAGCATTTCTTGTCTGTAAAGGATTTTATTTCTCCTTCACTTAGGAAGCTTAGTTTGGCTGGTTATGAGATTCTGGGTTGAAAATTCTTTTCTTTAAGAATGTTGCATATTGGCTCCCACTCTTCTGGCTTGTAGGGTTTCTGCCGAGAGATCCGCTGTTAGTCTGATGGGCTTCCCTTTGTGGGTAACCCGACTTTTCTCTCTGGCTGCGCTTAACATTTTTTCCTTCATTTCAACCTTGGTGAATTTGACAATTATGTGTCTTGGGGTTGCTCTTCTCCAGGAGTATCTTTGTGGTGTTTTCTGTATTTCCTGAATTTGAATGTTGGCCTGCCTTGCTAGGTTAGGGAAGTTCTCCTGGATAGTATCCTGAAGAGCGTTTTCTAGCTTGGTTCCATTCTCCCTGTCACTTTCCGGTACACCAATCAAATGTAGATTTGGTCTTTTCACATAGTCTCATATTTCTTGGAGGCTTTGTTCATTTCTTTTCACTCTTTTTTTTTTTCTAATCTTGTCTTCATGCTTTATTTCATTAATTTGATCTTCAGTCACTGATATCCTTTCTTCCACTTGATCAAATTGGCTATTGAAACTTGTGCATGCATCACAAAGTTCTCGTGCTGTGGTTTTCAGCTCCATCAGGTCATTTAAGGTCTTCTCTACACTGTTTATTCTAGTTAGCCATTTGTCTAACTTTTTTCAAGGTTTTTAGTTTCCTTGCGATGGGTTAGAACATGCGCCTTTAGCTCGGAGAAGTTTCTTAGTATGGACCTTCTGAAGCCTACTTCTGTCAACTTGTCAAAGTCATTCTCCATCCAGCTTTGTTCCCTTGCTGGCGAGGAGCTGTGATCCTTTGGAGGAGAAGAGGTGCTCTGTTTTTTGGAATGTTCAGCTTTTCTGGTCTGGTTTCTCTCCATCTTTGTGGTTTTATCTACCTTTGGTCTTTGATGTTGATGTTGGTGACCTACAGATGGGGTTTTGGTGTGGATGTCCTTTTTGTTGATGCTATTCCTTTCTGTTTGTTAGTTTTCCTTCTAACAGACCCCTCAGCTGTAGGTCTATTGGAGTTTGCTGGAGGTCCACTCCAGACCCTGTTTGCCTGGGTATCACAGGTGGAGGCTGCAGAACAGCTAATATTGCTGCCTGATCCTTCCTCTGGAAGCTTCATCCCAGAGGGGCACCTGCCTGTTTGAGGTGTCTGTCAGCCCCTACTGGGAGGGGTTTCCCAGTCAGGCGACACTTGAGGAGGCAGTCTGACCGTTCTTGGAGCTCAAACGCCATGCTGAGAGAACCTCTGCTCTCTTCAGAGCTGTCAGATGGGGACGTTTACATCTGCAGAAGCTGTCTGCTGCCTTTTGTTCTGCTATGCCCTGCCCCCAGAGGTGGAATCTATAGAGCCAGTAGGCCTTGCTGAGCTGCGGTGTGCTCCACCCAGTTCATGCTTCCCAGCAGCTTGGTTTACACTGTGAGCTACTTAAGCCTCAGCAATGGCAGATGTCCCTCCTCCCGTCAAGCTGCAGTGTCACAGATTGATCGCAGACTGTTGCGCTAGCAGTGAGCAAAGCTCTGTGGGCATAGGACCTGCCAAGCCAGGCATAGGAGGGTATCTCCTGGTCTGCCGGTTGCTAAGACCATGGGAAAAGAGCAGTATTTGGTCAGTAGTGTACCATTTCTCCAGGTACAGTCTGTCACGGCTTCCCTTGGCTAGGAAAGGGAAATCCCCCCACCCCTTGTGCTTCCCGGGTGAGGTGATGCCCCGCCCTGCTTTGGCTCATCCTCCGTGGGCTGCACCCACTGTCCAACCAGTCCCAATGAGATGAACCAGGTACCTCAGTTGGAAATGCAGAAATCACCTGTCATCTGCGTCGATCTTGCTGGGAGCTATAGACCGATATACAGATGTACATTTATACTTCAGTTTGTTCATGCATTCACCTGTTAATGGACCTTTGAGCTGTTTCTACTTTTGTATTCCTATTCAGCCATCTTGGAAGCAACCTATTACATTTAATAAAGGGAGGCATTATCCTTAGGAGACTGTACGTTAAAAATATCTTCTCTCTACTCTGTAGGGAGATACTCTCTCTGTCTTTTAAGGTTGCACTGTATAAACATCCTAGAGATGATTTTCTAGAACACCGGCATCCAGTTAGTGTCAATATGTGAAAGGCGAGGCACCAGTGGAGAATCGTCTTCGAATACTCTCTGTGTTTCCTCTTACAGTAAATGGTATCACCATTGTCTTGGTTGCCCAAGACAGAAAGCTGGCCATCTTGTTTAGTTCTCATTCTTTATTCATTCATCTCTTTATTTAACTTAGTCTTAACTTTCCCTGCTTGCCACTTCCAATCCATCACCAAATTCTTCCCATCTTACCTTTTTAATATCTCTTGGACTCGTTCACCTTTTTATTCAGAAGCAACCTTGGTTTTCAGTCCCTGTCATCTCGAGTGGATTACTAAAATGGTGTCTCTCTCTCCAGTTTTGTCTTATCTAACGTGTTCTCCAACTAGAGCCAGAATTTTCTTTTCTCCTGCTTTCTTAAAATGTCACTGATTCCTCATTGCTCTCAGGACAAAGTCTAACATCCCTGTAATGACATATTAGACCCTTTGTGGTCTGGCTCCTACCTATCTTATTTCTCAACACTACTTCCTCAGACTCTATGCTCCATTCATGCTGTGGTTCCCCAGGTTCCGTGATGACTCTTTTCAGAGTGCTGAACGTCCCTCTTTTTCCTCACATGTCTACCTCTTTCTCCTCTTTAAGTCTCAGCCCAAATATCACTTCTTCTAACTGGACTCACCTCATTTGTTCTCCTTCTTTCTAAAACCACAGATGTATGCCATCTATTGTTCTGGGTCTGAAAACTTATATTTTTCCAATTTTATATTTCCCTCTTTTTTTCTATTTTAAATCAGTCTCATCTTTTCTTATCATTGGGAATTTTCTGTGAATTCTACTTATCCGTTACTTTCGTAGTTTGTCCTGATCACATCATCAGAGACAGATGTCTAACAAAGCCAAATTTCCCTTGTATCACAGTCTTAAGAGGAAGTCAGGGTCCTCATGTCATGTCTCTGTGTCCCTCCTAGTGCTGGGATTCATCTTGCTTATGGATTCACATGTCCTAAATAGTGGAAGTTCTAATTTTCACAGGACCTTTAGTGACTTTTTATGGGGGTGGCATTTTATGAGCAGATAGTTTTTAAAAACAGGTTTATTGCAGCATAATTATCAGACAATTTCACATGTTAAAAGTACACAGCTTAATGAATTGTGACGTGTACATCCATGTAAAATCATCACCACATCAAGATAACAAACATTTTGATGGCTCTAGAAAATTTCCTTGTGCTCCCCTTTAATCTCTCTCTGCCTTCATCCCTTTCCCTAGGCTACCACTGATCTGACTTATGTCACCTAGATTTAATTTTCAATTCCTAGAATTTTATATAAGTGAGATGAAAAAGTATACGTCCTTTTTATTAGGAAGTTTGGATTTTTATCACTCAGTGTAATAATTTTAAGATTTATTCATGGCATTTAATAGTTCATTCTTTTTTCTTGCTGAGTAGTATTCCAACGTACAGATATACTTCAATTTGTTTATGCATTCACCTGTTAATGGACCTTTGGGCTGTTTCTACTTTTATGTTATTACAAATAAGGCCAGAAATATAAAATTTATTATTACTTCCAATAGAATATTCTCTTATTGCATCTCACAATTTTGTATTTGAGGGCTCTTGTTCAAAAAGTGACCTTTAAAAAGATGCCAACCATTAGAAAATTTTCAGAATCTCAAATTTCCAAATGACTGAGTTTGGATAATAGTTTTCCACTTTGTATTTTTATTTCTCTCTTTTTAGTAATCCCTCGCCAGAAATAAGTAGGAAACACAAAAGGGAAAAAAGGTAAAGAAAAATGTAACAAACTAGATAAATCAATCTAGTTTTTGTTGGTTAGAAGATAAATCTATTCATTTCTTAGTTAAAAATAGCTACAAGGTTGTTAGTTTTAAATGAATAAGGAGGACCACTTCATTTGAATGAAATGATGATAAGCATTTCTCTGAGGACTTTTTTTCTCACTAAGCCTTTGCATAGGCGTTTTGATTCATAAAGGTGTTGACGTTCATTAAACTTTATACTCATTTTATATTTTTATTTTCTTTGCCTATTTTCACTCAGTGAGAGACTGTGGTTCAGTGTTTCCTTTTTTGGAAAGCATGTAACTTTCTAGCTTTTCAGACTATTTTGCTTTGCGGAATTGTGCTTTAAATCTCCCCCAGAAGGGGAAGTGACTCATTTCTATACAGTAGCATGTAGGTGTTTGATGAATGTTGCTGCCAGGTAGAAATAGACTGTAATGCCAGTGTAAATGGAGTTTTACAGCTACTAAAATTTGAAGGATTTCAATTTTCTTAGGAATTTAATTGGGGAAAATTACTTCAGAAGTTTGCAGGAGCACTATGTTCTGAGGGAGAACTTTGAGCAAATAGAAATATGGTATAAATGTTATGAAATTGCTAACAGCCTAATGTAAGAATAATGTGGTCTTTGAGATGCTTTCCCCCACTAAAATATTGGCTAAGCTTTAGCAGGATGAGGCTCTAGGTGTAGTTTAAAACTTCTGGCTCTTGTGAATTCAGAGGAATCTCCAAGTCTATGTGTTTTTCAAGCTGCTATGGTTTAAAGGAAATGAGTTGTACAGTTATCTTCCTATGCAGACTTCTTAATGTTCTAAAAATAATGGCATTATCCTCATTTTAGAGACCATAAGTTGAGTTACAAATATGACATTGTCCTGCAAAGCAGCTGCCATACTGAGATGTGAGAAAGATCTTGACTTGTGTGGAAAGACTGATGTCAATGTTTTGGATGCACATTTCCCACATGGATAGGGTTTACTGAATATGAAGGATAATAATAGAGAAGATATTTGGCTAATTAAAAGTTTCTTTTCCTAATAAAGCTAGATTTCAATAGTTATAACTGTACCTAGAGCAATACCTTATTATATAGTATGTGCTCAATAAGGTTTCATAAAAATAAATGAATTTAAAACAAAGTACCCCCCAAAATTAGAATCTCTGGTTGGTTTAGAATAAAAGATGGTAAATAATTTTATAGTATAAAATATCCTACTAGGATATTTTCTAATATGTAGTCTCTCTCAATTAAAATGAAGAAAAGAGGTGGGTGGAGAGAGAGAGGGAGAGAGAGAGAGAAGACAACAAAAAAGGAAATACGAGGATTTAACTAGTCAGAATTTAAGCTGTAAGTATGAAAAGAATGTGGATAATAAAAGGAAGATAAGAGATTCTAAAGGTAGAGGAATGTTTAGATTAAACCTAAAATGGCACACTGCTAAGACTTCAGTGTACATGACCAAGTTTTAAACCTGCCAGCCTATACACACCTAACAAAGATCTCACAAAAATAAGCCTGCACTGATTTGATAGATATGTTTGCTGAATATTTTTAAAAGTCTGTTGAATATTCACTATTTGTCAAACACTATCCTAGACAAATAAGGTAAAGCATCTACCCTCAAAAGGTCCATAGTGCAGTGAGGGGAACAGAAGCAGACCAGAAATTACTGTCAAGGGCTTAGGGATGGATTGAAGTTCAGCCTTGGCCTCACTGCTCCACCCAAACCTTGAGAAGTTCTCAGCCTTTGAAAGCTCAAGAGCAAATGCCCACCTTCACTTTGTTTCTGCCATCCCTGAACTTGCGTGTGAACACCAGGTTAGCATCATATCTAATCTATACTACTACATCTCTTATGTGTGCAAGGCATGATTCTCAAACTTAAGGTCAGTATCTGAATATCAGCTTTTAAATGCAGGTAAGCATTGTAGATATAACCTAAAATGAAAATAGCCTTATGTTATTTTTATGTCAAATGTTGAATTCCAAAAAATTAAATAGAAATAGGCAAATTGTACAAACATTAAGAGATACTGATTTCGCTAGTTAACTATATGAAGAACATTATATGTTTTCAATACATATACAGTTATAAAAATTATGAAATTTGTATGTAAATAAATATATATTATAAAAGTTTAAATGCCAATGCAAAGAATAATAATACAGATGAGATCATAGTATATTTCCAACCTTTGTAGAATCGTTAACCCATATAGAAAACTTTATGACTCAAAATTTCATGAGGAGGAAAAATTGGATAAAAATGTGTAATAACATATGTAAGAAATCTTCAATTTGACATAATAAAAAAATTAAAAATGTGAAGAAGAAAATGTTAGAAAAAGTGTGAGGAGAGAGATACAGTGGTATAATAAAATGAAGAGCCTCATAGGAAGAGAGATCATCTGTCCTAATCAACTATCAAAAGCAAGTGACCCTCACCTCTTTCCACCCTCTCAGTCCTTTAGAAATTAGAAAAGCAAAGAAGAGAGTAGTAAACATGTACCCAGGAGTTTCTGTAACTTAATACTGGAAAATACCTATATCAAGAGAAAATAATTAGCAAAGTCATTGAACATCTTTAACCCAAGCCAGGTAGCCTCTGAATTAAGACATTTAGTCTTCAATTACAGACCTCTAGGAATGACTCCTGTTTCTGTTTTGTTTGATTTTCACAAGTCTTATAATTCATCCCCAGAACTAGACTCATCAGATATGTCTGGTGGCAACATCTTTAATTAAACTCTTTATTAAAATCTACAGCTGTCAAAATAAATAAACCTTAAAGCACAGAAATAAATTTGAGAGGGCTTTTCCATTAAGGCATTACCTGGAAGAGATTTTTCCAGAAAATTGAGTGCTCGGACAATGATCACTGTCATAATTTGGGCTAATTGTGGTCATAGAAAGTTTAGGAACTTGAAAACCCCCAAAGCCTAAACTGATTTAAGACTGCCTATTCTGTTTCTGCGCGTCTTCAGGAGATTTCTCCAGGGTGCTTAGATGTGCATCATAACATTTTCAGAATTTTGCCACTGGAGGGCTCAATGGCCTTTTTAATGTTTCTTCTACGAGACCAAATGTTACGTTTGTGTAACAGTGAGATGTGAGACCAAGTTTTTTCTCCCCTTTTTGAGAAAATCTGTTTTGGGTGGTACAGTTAGATGCATGATAGCCAAAAAGCTTTTGTAAATTCCCTGAAAGATGGAAATTTGTCATAGCTACATGTATACTGAAATCAAAAAGGATGCCATTCATCTCTCCCCAGAGAATACAAGGGAATTGAGATTATACCGAGCAAGGCTTGTGCTGAGTTAGATGTGCTGCATATACGCGGTGTGCTTGTGTATGTATGCTGGTGGCAGTGTGGAAGGTGGTGGAATAGTGAGGGCTTAGGGGTCTGTAGTCATCCAGGAATTGTATGATTAATGTAGTTGGTATGAGAATGAGAATAATTTTAAGGACTAATTGGAAGAATATGAGGCTTGGTATCAGGCGACTAGTGATCATGCATTGTTCCAGGATTCCTGCTGCATGTTCGGTTATAAAGGTTGTGACGGCAGTTCTGCTTTTCCTGAATGAGCTATGTGTGCCTGTGGTCCAACCTCTCTGAGGCTGGTCCTGGATCCTGGACTGAGCAAGTGAACTCTGATATGAGTGACACATTGATTTGGCATCTGCGTAATTTTTTGTGATGTTTAGGAGTAACAATGAGGTGTTATGAAAAAAGTTGGAAACAGTGTTAGCCCCCATGCAAAAGTATAAAATCAACATAAAGCAGAGAGATAGAAATATCAGAATGCCTCTCCCAGAATGTAGCAAAAACGCAATTCTATTACATTTGGTATATGATTAAGAGTTAACTATAAACTAACTGAAAGATTCACGTATTTAATGATTAATAATAATATACCAATCCAAAGACAGATGGCTGCTCAGACTGAAACCTCCTTGCAGGTAGCGGAGAGTCAGAGAAAGAAACTGTGGAGAGGCTGGCCTAAGAACTGCCCAAGGAGACCGGCATGGGAACGTCAATTCTTGTGACTTTCTCACATGGCGATGGATGTTTGTTTCTTCTAAAATTTTGAATCACTAACAAATTTCCCTTGTTCCGATTTCATGCTGCTTCTGCTACATTTGGTTTATGAGTTGGCCTTTCATAGATTTGCTACTGCAGAGAATGTACTGGTCATATCAATGTGAATATTCAGATCCATATGTCAGTTATGGTTTGCAGATTGGCCCAGCATCTCGTGTGGCATGCTGAAGGAATCAGGCTCTGTCTTAGCAGAGTCAAAAACAAGGCTCTGGATCATGGTGAATTACCCAAGGTAAATGCTATTTCTTAGGCTACTTGCAGCTTGCCAATTGCCCATTCCAATCTCTACAAGTCCCACTAGATGTTTCACAGAATAAAGCAAAAAAAGAGGCTGGGATCACGAAAATGAATTTTCGAAGAGAAATATCAAGAATTATAATTATACATTTTCTCATCATGTTTTATTAATGAATCAAAGGAGTTAGTGAGCATTTATTTTCCTCTCTTGTGTTCCACTGCAATTTGCCAGGGAAATAACATGGACTCTTTCTCTCCCTTTCAACTCTGGTTTTCTTGCTGTGAAAGAGCAGCCATAACTTCTAGCAAAGGTTCCTGAGGGAGGCAGCAAGTAGCCACCCAGGAGCTTTAGGATGGGGCTTCCTATCTCAGTCGTGCCTAGAGGAACTGAAGCAGTTCTTAATGTACTGGTTTGAGGTCCGTCTTACCAGAGTTCCAACCCACCGCATGTCCCTAGTGGTCTATTACTTACTCCGTTATTTTTAATGGCAAAAACCGTTACTTTTAATGGTTACTTTTGCACCAACCTAATATTTCACAGCCACTCTCCTGGATGTTTCTGGGGAGCTTCAGTCTAGGCTCAGACATGGTGCCTGCTGGTTCTGGGAAAAGGTTAAGGGGCTGAGTAGTAGCACACACTACATCCTCCAGACTGTCTATGCCATGGCTATGTTTGGAAACCCTGCAAATGGCCTGGCAGAGTCTCACCTTGCCAATCCAGAGAGGATGTGGGGGATTTCTGGCTTAAGAATAGGCTGAAAAGAGGGACTGGAGGTTACTGCCACATAGCCAAGCATTCCTGGGAACTTTCTGGGAATGTGAACTGATATGAAAATGGCTTAGACTACAAGAATTATAGGGAAATATCAGAATACCCACCTAAAAATGGCTTAAATAAGAAGGCCATTTTAAAGCTTACTTCATGAGGAATTTTGAAATAGGCAGTTCCAGGGTCAGTTTGGCTGCTCAACAGAGTCTTCAAGGACGGAGGCACTCTTCATAATTCTCTTCTGCCATCATCAGGATTCAGTGAAATCTCCCTCTATGGTCACAGGATGACTCCAGCAGTTCTGATTATCCTGGGTTCCTGGATGTGTTATGTGCATTTTTATAAATGTTTTTGTGATTTTTCGGAGGGAGACAAATAGTAGACAACTCAGCCCATATCTACTATTTGTGGGATGTTCCCATTATCACCCAACAGGCTTCATCTTAGGTATTTTTGGTCAGAACTAAATTGCATATTGACTTTTTATACCGTAATCAGCAAAGACTATATATAACCTCTATCTGGACCAATCACAATTGACCTCCTGGGGATAAGCATATGGCTACTAGACAGTCCTCACGGGAAGTAAGGGAGAAGACATAAAGGAAGATGGCCAGCTATTAACTATTTTTTCCAGGATCTGAAAAGAAAACTGGGTTAAATTACACTAAAGAGAATTTAGAATGGCGTTTAGGAAGAAAGTGCAGACAAGAAAGTGGTATTGTACAATGGATCACATTATTGAACTTGTGCATATATATTCCCTATCTTCTAAAAACAGAATGAATAGATTTTGACTAGGACATAATTCATCCTTGCTTGGAGCTTGGAAGATGCAGTAAATTACCTTAAAGCATTTTCTTCATCATGTTGTTAAGAGAATATCATCAGCAAGGAATTAGTTAAGAATTGTATTAAAATTGTAAAAATGGGCATGGCCTCCTCTGCTTTGAAAGATCTATAAGTTCAGAAGTCCCAATCTGTTCCATTTTTGTGACCGTGTTCTTCCAGTTGAGTTAGTCTTAAACTTTACTGTGTTTAGAATTAATTGGGAGCTTGTTAAACATACAGATCCTTGGGCACCACTTTCCATAAATGTTGCTTCAGTAGGTTTATTAGTTTTCTGTATCTCCATAATTAATTATTAAACTTAGTGACATAAACAATAGATATGTATTATTTCACAGTACTGTAGTCAGAAGTAGCTCAGGGAGGCTCAACTAGGTTCTCTACTCCAGCTCTTACAAGGTTGACATCAAGGCATGAGCTGCACTGACCTAGTAGCATTTTTGTAGAATCATCAGATTTTCCACAAAGATGATTATGTCATCTGTGAATAAAGACAGTTTTACTTCTTCCTTTTTTGGTGAATAAGCAATAGGTATTTATTAAATGAGCAGATGGAATAATTATCACAATGTGATACAGTTACATTTTCATTATTATTGCACAATACACTTTTTAAAAAAAATTTCTAACTTTTATTTTAAGTTCAGGCGTATACATTCATGATGTGCATTTTTCTGGAAGTTTAAGCCAGCATAGTAAGGAAAGAAAGAAAGAAAGTGTTTCTACTTCTTCCTTTTTAATCTAGAGGCCTTTTATTTCTTTTTCTTTCCTTACTGTGCTGGCTTAAACTTCCAGAAAAATATTGAATAGAAGTGATAAGAATGCACGTCCTTTTCTTTTGCTAATCTTAGGAAAAAAGCATTTAGTCTCTCTTCATTATGATGTTAGCTGCTGGTTTTTATAATGTCTTTTATTAAATTGAGGGAGTTTCTTTTTATTATTTGTTTGGTGAGAGTTTTTATCAGGAATAAATGCTGATTTTTTGTCAAGTGCTTTTTCTGCATCTATTGAAATTATTATGTGGATTTTATTTTTGTGTTTGTTGATATAGTGAATTACATTGATTTTTGAAATTAA
Organism: Homo sapiens; assembly: GCF_000001405.40. Taxonomy (NCBI): domain Eukaryota; kingdom Metazoa; phylum Chordata; class Mammalia; order Primates; family Hominidae; genus Homo; species Homo sapiens. The sequence continues at coordinate 95,235,159 of NC_000005.10, read as the reverse complement.
TGTTAAATGAACCTGGCATTTCTGAGGAAAACACTGCCTGATAATAATATTAATTTTATATATTGTTTATATATTGCTAAAATTTTGTTTTAAATTTTGAATCTATGCTCATGAGCTATATTGGTCTATAGTTTTCTTATAATGTCTTTGTTTATCAGGGAAATAATGGCTTCATAGAATTAGTTGGGATGTATTTCTTCTTCCTCAAATTTTTTGGAAGAGTTTGTGTAGAAATAATATTTTTCATCTTTAATGTTGGTAGAGTTTACTAGTGAAGCTATTTGGGCCTTGAATTTTTTTGTGTGGGACAGTTTTTTTGCAAATTCAATTTATTTGCTAGCTATAAGGCTATTCAGTTTATCCATTTATTTTTGAAGTCAGCTTTGGGAGTTTGCATCTTTTAAGGAATTTGTCTATATCTTCTAAGTTGTCAATTTTGATTGAGAATGTCATTTTTATTCCATTATTCTCCTTTTAATATTTATAGAATGTGTAATAATGTCACGGATAAGTTTTAAATATCTATGTTTATTCATGTTATCACAGAAGTAGACATGAGGTTTCAGGAGTAGGAATAGACTATTATTACTCACAGCAATAACTGCGTTGGTTCTCGTTTCCTCAGTCTTTCCCTCTTCTTGGAGGATGAGAGCCAGAAGTCACCCAACTTGTACTGGTATCTGAACTATATAGGTGAGGAAGGATAAAAATTCGAATCTAGGGATTTATGTAAATCTTGACTCTTCTACTCCTGAAAGACAGAAATTTAAGCTTCTCAATGTAAACAAATTCACCCTGGGAGGAAAGGGAAAGATTACTGGGTTATTACCCTTTGGAATATAAAGAAATATCTCCAGGTGGAAGATAAGTCTTTGTGTTTACAACCTCTGAAATATCTCTATGGCTCTGTGTCTCAGCCCTCTTTGAAATGTAGGCACATGCCTTTGAAGAGGTAAATCTTTCTGGATGGTCTCTCGTTATTGAATCACCCTTTAACTCCCAAGATTTGTTTGTTGACAAAAGTTTCAAGTGTATTTGCTCAGAAAACCCTAACTGCAAAAATATAAAAATATTCTTTCCTTGGAAGTCACCTCTCTTACTCTGACATTAGAAATTTGTGTCTTCTCTCTTTTTTTTTTTTTCTTCTCTGATCTGCCTGGTCTGGCTCAAGGTTTATCAGTTTTATTGATAGTCTCAAAAACCTAGCTTTTGGTTTCATTGACTTTCCCCACTGTTTTTCAGTTTTCTGTGTTATTAATTTCCCATCTTCTCTTTGCTGTTTCCTTTTTTCTGCTTACGTTGGATTTAAGTTGCTCTTCTTTTTTAAATTTACAAATGTGATAGCTGAGGGGATTTGAGAACCTTTTGCTTTTCTATTATAGACATTTAATGCTATAAATTTCCCTCTAAACACTACTTGAGTGGCATCCCTCAAATTTTTATGTTTTCATTTTTATTCAGTTTAAAATCCTTTCTAATGCTGATTGTTTTATTCTTTGACTTATGATTTATTTAGAAGTATGTCATTTAGGGCCAGGTGCGGTGGCTCACGCCTGTAATCCCAGCACTTTGGGAGGCCGAGGCGGGCGGATCACGAGGTCAGGAGGTTGAGACCATCCTGGCTAACACAGTGAAACCCCGTCTCTACTAAAAATACAAAAAAATTAGCTGGGCCTGGTGGCGGGCACCTGTAGTCCCAGCTACTTGGGAGGCTGAGGCAGAAGAATGGCATGAACCCAGGAGGCAGAGTTTGCAGTGAGCTGAGATCGTGCCACTGCACTCCAGCCTAGGTGACAGAGCAAGACTCCGTCTCGAGAAAAAAAAAAAAAAAGAAGTATGCCATTTAGTTTCTAAATATTCAGGAGTTTCAAGAGATCTTTTTGTTCTTAATTTCTAATTTAGTTCCATTGTGATTAGACAGTATCTTTTGTACAATATGGATCCCTTTAAATATATTGACGTTTGTTTTATGGCTCAGGGTATTGTCTGTTTTGGTAAATATTGTGCGTGCACTTGAAAAGAAGTGTTGGATATAATGTTCAACAAATGTCAGGTCAGGTTGTGTTGTTCAAGCCTTCTATACTTTTACTGGATTTCTGTCTATTTATTCTACCAATTATTGGAAAAGAGTTGTTGAAATCTCTGGCTATAATTGTGGTTTCTGTATTTCTCCTTACAATTCTATGAGGTTTTGCTTCATGTCTGTTGAAGCTCTGTTGTTAGACTCATAAATATTTAGGATTATAATGTCCTTTAGGTACACTGGCCACATTATTATTTTGAAATAACTTTCATTTTCCCTCATACTATTCACTATTCTGCAGTCTACTTTGTCTAATATTAATATAGGCACTTCAGCTTTCTTTTGATTAGTATTAGCATGATACATCTTTTTTTCATAATTTTATTTTAACACATTATGTCTTTAAATTTAAATTTCTTGGGAGGCTGAGGTGGCTGGATCACAAGGTCAGGAGTTTGAGACCATCCTGGCCAACATGGTGAAACCCCATCTCTACTAAAATACAAAAAAATTAGCTGGGTGTGGTGGCAAGCGCCTATAGTCCCAGCTACTCTGGAGGCTGAGGCAGGAGAACGGCATGAACCTGGGAGGCGGAGCTTGCAGTGAGCCAAGATGGGGCCACTGCATTCCAGCCTGGGCGACAGAGGGAGACTCCGTCTCAAAAAAAAAAAAAAAAAAATTAAATTTCATTTCTTGTGGGCAACATATAATTGGGACCTTTTATTTTACCCAATCTGACAATTTCTACCTTTTAATTGAGAGTATTTAGGCCATTTATATTTAATATTATTATTGATATGATTCAGTTAAAGTCTATTATCATCATTATCCTATTTGTTTTATTATGTTAGTCCTGTGTCTTCTTCCTTTCCCTTTTCCTTTGTATCTGTCTTCTTTTGAATTAATTTAGTATTTTTTGATGGTATAATTATTTCATCTTTGTTTATTAGCTATGACTGTTTTTTTTTTTTTTTTTTTAGTGATCACTTTAGTTATTCTTATCTGGCAGTGGTTTTATCCTCCAGGGATCATTTGGCAATGTCTGAGAACATTTTTAATTTTTGCAACTGGGGAGATGCTGCTGGCATCTAGTGAGTAGAGTCTGGGGATGCTACTAAAACTCCTACAATGCACCTAACAGCTCTCCATGACAAAGAATTGTCTGGCTCAAAATGACAAAAGAACTAAGGTTGAAAACACTGCTTTAGGTTTTATACTCTACAGCTATCCCATCAAAGTCTACTTTCAAGTACTATATCCCTTCATGTGTAATATAAGAACCTTACAATAGTATACTTCCAATTTTCCCTTCTTGACATTTATAATACTGTTGTTATACATTTTATTTATGTCTCTGTTGAAAATTCCACAATATATTTTTATTTTTGCTTAGACAACTATCTTTGAAAGATATATAAATAATAAGAACATGATCTTATCTATTTACCAGTATAGTTATCATTTCTGGTACTCTTCATTCCTTTATGTAGATCTGTACTTCCATCTGATATTACCACTGGCTCTGCTACAGCTACTCAGCATTGTGCTGTGGTATAGAATCACTCATGGCAGTAAATTGAGTCAAATGTAGGGCCTACTTTGTATATTTCTTATTTTTTGGATATTACTGTCTTTTGTTGCCTGATGTCATTGTCTTAAAAACTATAGATTCACATCATAGATTTGGTCTGTTTTTGTTTTTGTGGCTGTTGTTGTTTCAAGTGGGAAGGTAAATCTGATTCCTGTTACCCCAGTTTGTTGAGAAGCAAAAGTCTATATATGTGTATATATATATATATCCTTATCCATCAGTTTTCTTATGAGTGGATTTGGCTTCAAATTGCTATTAGTTACTTAGGTGTTATACATAATATTCATGATCATTAAAATCATCTTTATTACCATAAATGTGTGAAGATATTCTAAGTGTATAGAGCTGTTTATGCACTAAATGGCCCTACATTACTCCACTTTTTGAATTATTTTTATTTAAAAATTTTCAGTCTTTCAGTGACATTTAGGAAATGTCCCAGTGTTCACTGTATGCAAAAAGCAATAAAATGATTACTGAAAACAATATTGTCCCTTGCTATTGGTAAAACTTCTCTAACAGCAATGTCAATAGCCATTTCCATCCTCTACCTCTATTTGCATTCTCCATGAACTGTTTGAAATGTTCCTTCTATTAAGAGCAACATTTCCACATAAGATTAAAAATCTAAACGATGGGAAGTTTTTTTCAGCATGTGCTAATGGGAAATTATGAACGAACTAAGTATAGAATTTCAGTTTAAAAAAAAGGTGTGTGGGGATGTTCTTACAGCTGTCAGTGTCAATTCACGTCAAATTCACTTCATTGAAGTTTAAGTTTTTCAGAAAATGTATTTCTTGTGGATATACCGATTAAAACCCATATATGCCTAGTGTTCCATTATCAGAACGCTAAACATGTGGGAGTTATTTATATCCTGCTGCTCAAGGTCATTGCCAAGGTCTGACTGCAAAAATTCAAAAAATTGCAGCCTCAGGCAAACTGGGTTAAGAGTGAGATTTTGCTAGTCCTATGGCCAGGGAGCCTGAGAGTCCCATATTGTGTCCTTTCCATCTCCATTCCTTCCAACCCTCCCACAGGGCTCACTAGAAGTCATGTTTTAAGGACCAAAAGCAGAATGAGAATAAAGATGGAGCACAAGGCAGTGGTTAAAAGTGGGAATTCTGGGATAGGTTGCCTGGTTTCATATCAGCCCCGAAACTTACATACCTTACGCAAGTCACTTAACTTTGTATTGCCCCAGTTTCCTCATCTGTAAAACGGGGTTAATAGTAAGACCTATTTCATTGGATTGTTATGAGGGTTAAATTATATATATATTTTGTGTGCGTGTGTGTATATATATACACACACACATATATGTATGTGTATATGTGTGTGTATATATATACACACACACATATATGTATGTGTATATGTGTGTGTATTTGTGAGTGTATGTTTCATTACCTGTCACATGGAAAATGGTTTATAAGAGTTTGTTAACTAAAGAAAGGTACCTTCCTCTTTATTATATTCTGCAAGCCTCCAAGATCTTCTCTGTTAAGAGGAGCATGTGCCTTAGTTCTGGAGGCCTCCTTTTCTTCTCCATTATGCTGGGGGCATGGTGACTAGTAAAGGGGTAGACAGAAATGAATAAAGGTGTGGGAAGAGAGCAGGAAGAAGATATGTGGGAGATCACTTTTCCAGTCCCCTCTTGAGAAAGAAAATCTTTTCCCAGGGACTTTTCCCACTAAGCTAAGAAGTATGTAGACACAGGCTCTCAAACACTCTGACACATAATCTCTCTTAAGCATCAGTGGTCATCTCCCTCTTACTGTGTAACCAATCTTTTTTTTTTTTTTGAGATGGAGTCTCATTCTGTCACCCAGGCTGGAGTGCAGTGGTGCAATCTCAGCTCACTGCAACCTCCGCCTCCCAGGTTGAAGCGATTCTCCTGCCTCAGCCTCTTGAGTAGCTGAGATTACAGGCGCCCGCCACCACACCTGTGGTGTATTTTTAGTAGAGATGGGGTTTCACCATGTTGGCCAGGCTGGTCTCAAACTCCTGACCTTGTGATCTGCCGGCCTCCCAAAGTGCTGGGATTACAGGCGTGAGTAACCAAACTTTTCTCTCATCAATAAGGCAGAATAAGACCCAAGGAAAGGAATGGTGGCAGTACTTGCAAATGCTTTGGGGTATCTTAGAGGAGAAATTGTAGATATACTGTCCAAGATTTTAGTAGAAAACTAATCGAGTTGGGGTCACTATCTGGGATATAGTTCATTAGTGTTTTAGGTCAGCAGTTAGCCTGAAATTCTGTCAAGTCACCTCATTGCTGAAAAATTTTCAGTGGCTCCACATTGCCTTTTGGATAAAACCTAGACTCCTTAGTAAGAATCACAGATCTCTGCACCTCATCCAAATTGTATCCTTGTAAATATCTCTTGCCAGTGTTAGGTAAAATTGCTTGTTCTGGCTTCGGTCAGCTATTGGTGTCCTCCAAGCTTCCTGTGTTTTTTGGCTTTCATTTATTAAAGCATATCAAGTGCTCATCTATGACACCCTCTGTTTTCTTCTCTACTATATTAGTTCATTCTTGCATTGCTACAAAGAAATACCTGAGACTGGGTAATTTATAAACAAAAGAGGCTTAATTGGCTCACAGTTCTTCACGCTGTACAGGAAGCATGAGGCTGGCATCTGCTCGGCTTCTGGGGAGGCCTCAGGAAACATAATCATAGCAGAAGGCGAAGAGGGAGCAGGCACTTCACATGGTGAAAGCAGGAACAAGAGAGAGAGTTGCGGGGAGGTGCTACACACTTTTAACCAACCAGATCTCACAAGGACTTGTTCACTATCGGGACGACGGTACCAAGGAGGATGGTGCTAAACCACTTATGAGAAATCTGCCCCATGATTTAATCACCTCCCACCAGGCCCTACCTCCAACATTGGGGATTACAATCATGAGATTTGGTGGAGAAAGACACAGATCCAAACCATATTATCTACTAATTTGGGTTCTCCTCACTCCTTAAGACTCAGCTAAAATTTTATATATTTTGACAAACCTTCCCTGGTGACCCCATGGAACTGTCTCATTTGTCTCGCTCTCTCTCTCTCTCTCTCTCTTTTGGCTGCATGGAAGTTTTTCTAAGTTTTTGGCCCAAACTCTCTTATCTTTCCCCTTGGATAACTTTTACGTTTCTCTCTTTCTTCCTCTATAAGATTGATTCTTAAATTACATCTCTACTCCCATCTGGTATTGGCAGTATGTCCAGAACCTCATTTCAGAGTGTATAAAATTTAGCTTGTTACAAATGCCCTGTGCTGGACAAACTGAACTAGTTAATTCCTAAATATTCATTGTTTTTTGTTGTTGTTGTTCTTGTTCTTTTGGATGTGCCATTTCTTCAACTAAGGGCATCTTCTCTTTGAATTCTCTTAAATCTTGCCTTTTCTTCAAAGTCTCAAACATCATTTTATTCCTGAGGTTATCTCTGATCAACTTATTGGAAATCTCTCCATTTTTTGGTGCCTTTTGTTTGAACTACTATAATAGCATTTTTTATAAGCAAAAGTGCTTATCCTAGTGTCTGATATATAGTATAATTTAAGTATTTTAATGTATAAAAACATGATCCTGACTTCTGAGCTCTTCAAGCTTGCATTTTCTGAGCTATTTTAGTTTATGCACACTAAACTTTCCACCCAACTAGATAATAAGCTTTTAGAGGGCAGAGACATACTTTATATTTCTTTGTATTTTTTACAGTTTGATAAATGCTTTGCATCCTTTTTTTTAAGCAACAATTTGTTAATTCATAATGTTAATATAAGGTAATGACCTAGTGATAAAAAAGTAGTATGACATGTATTGTAAAACATCTTTCCATTAAGCTCCCCCATCTTCAGAAAGCTATGTAGACACAGCCTGTCACTAGAAAGGAAATAATATTACTCTGAGACAATTGTACATGTGCCCTGATTCTAGAAGATGTTATAAACTATTTGTTATGATTCCTATGATTCCTATAAAGTTGCCTTTTAGCTAATACCAAGTCTGTCTCAGATGGAAATCTGATCTCTCTTTGACTGCTCTCATTTCTCCCGTTTATCTTTTCTGAATTCTGAAGGCTGTTTAGGTTCTGAGCTTTGTCTTGGGTTTCATCGTGAAATGGGTGATGATTGATTCTATTAGGGCTAGAAAAATAGTTTAAGCTTTCCATTTATACTGGAGCAGAACAACTACACACATCCCAAGCTTTTCTTTCACTAATGTTAACCATGATCTTTCAGGACATAACTATAAGGTGTTGTGATTAAACAGTCACGATGTCTGTTCTGCTTTAATTTCGGGGGGATTGGGAATAAGGCAGAAAAAAAGAGCTGAGAAGACACATGAGACATAGCCTAATCACATCTTCTGAGCTTGAATTTACCAGTTGTAGCAGGATTTAAAGTGTCAGGTTCTTATTTTTTCTTAAAACTAAATAAATAAATCAAATTCTGCCTCGGTGGCCTCCAAGGCTTAATGGGCCTGAGTCTATTTGTCTAAGAGGCTGACAGAGGCTGGGAGAGGGGTCTGGATGAGAGCTTTTCATCCAGCATCTCCTCTCTGTATGGAATGTAATCTTTTCTTTTTGAGGGGCCTAAAATCCCGTTGTATTTTGTAGTCTCCCCTTTATCTGATATTGCATAGCTGTTTTGTTAATTGCTTCAGGAAATGAAGGGTTCTTTCTTGACCTCATGTGGAAAGTAACCTCAAATAAATTTTTTTTTTTGCTTCACCTCTATCTTGATATCAACATAGTTTAAAATGGGACTGTTCTTTTAATGCCAGTTAGGTTTTGGTGAACATTTGGATTTTCTTCCTTTAAAAAGTTGCATTTTTACTTAACAGTAAATATTTTCAAAAAGAGAAAAATCCCACATCTGTGAACTTAAACAAAATATTCTCATGGAAAATAGAGAAAGGAGCCCTCCATAGTTGGCAAGTTAAAAAAAAAAAGGTGTTCTGAGAGAGCAGTAAATTGTGACAGAGAGCTTAGTTGACTGGGAGAAGAATTACAGAAAGCATTGGCAGTGGATGTGTGGCCACTTACCAAGATTTACTCCGAAAATGAAAAATCCTGCACCTGTCACACAGAGATTCTTCATACTATTTTTGCTCACTTAGTTTTGCTCATTTAAGTATTCTTTGGTATTGCTTAGTGGACTAAAATACATGTTCAAGGCAGAGGGAGGCGAACTCAGAAGAGGAGGTTCTCTTTCAATTAAATAATTAAAAAAATTAACGTAGCCACAATACTCTATTTAAATATATACAACATGCTTTCCCCCAAAAAACAAGAACAAACACATTAACAATAAATATCCTTGGGTCCAGATTATGGCGAGGTCAGAGAGGTGGGGTAAAGAGGGAGGGAAAATGGACTTTGGGGACTTGGGAGGAAATGGTGGGAAGGGGGTGAGGGATAATAAAAGGCTACAAATTGGGTTCAGTGGTGATGGGTGCACCAAAATCTCACAAGTCACCGCGAAAGAACTTATGTAACCAAATACCACTTGTTCCCCCAACACCTGTGGAAATTTAAAAAATAAAATTAGAGATGATATACTTTCATCCATCTCTTAGGGAATAGGGTCACAAAACAGGTCATGCATCAGAAAAAAATTAAGAGCAAATTATCTAATGATTCTGGAATCTCTCTCCCCTCATTTTAATGAAATACATATTTACATTAAAATATCTTCTAAAGTCAAACAAAAGGGAGGGAGGAAGGGAGATGGAGAGAAGAGGGTATGGGGACAGACTAGGTGGGAGGGAATGGAGAGGGAAATGTCCTTAGACACAAAGGAAAACCCAGAACGGAGCAAGAAGATGTAAAGGAGAGAGATGAAACCCTGAGGAAAGACGGGAAGGCAGCAGCAAGCACTGTAACCTCTCAGTGGAATGTAAAGTGGAAGGGGAAGAGTAAAATGTTCTTTCCCACTTGAACTTGGGACATTGACCATTCTTGGAATCTTAAGGCCTACATAATAGTATAGGACAATGGATATATATTCTTTATTTTCATTATTCATTTGCTCCTGGTTTGGGAAGGGTATGCATATTTGTTAGCATCTAATCTCTTTTGGAGCTGGTATTGTAAAGTTCCTTGTATGTTCCTATAGCCTGGGTCAGAAGCCATTACTGTCTGGAGTTGGGAGATGTCCAATTTATTATGAAAATGTTAAGAGGGAAATCAGCTGAATTATTCTAACATCTCTGAGGCCTATACTGCTGACACCTGTGTCAGGTCATGAATAAATGATTTTTTAACTGCCATGCTTTTAGAAGATTCTTTTAAAATGGTAGCCAGTAAGTGGGCTGTCAGGTATTATTAATAGTAGGCTGAGTCCATGGAGAATCCAGAGGAAACATTAACATGTAAGAGCTCATTATTCTACTGGTATGAGACACCTATGAGCTATTTTTGCATGCTTATCTGAGAAATGATGAGAAATTTATTTTTGTAAGCTAAAAGAAAAAAAATCTCTGTGGTTGATTGGTTTAATCTTTAGGTTTTACTTTATATTCTATTTCCAGCAAAAGCCTCTTAATATGTTCTTTATTACCCTTCAGGAACATGTTCTGGTGCATGTTGTCATTTATACATGGCAGAGAGGCTGAAAAAAGTAATTTCTCAATTGATAAGTTAAAGACTTGTACTTTGCTCTTTGAACACTTGAATTGAGTAGCTGTTCAGGAAGAAAACAAATGATTGGGGGTGTTAAAGAGGCAGCCTAGGCTGGGTGTGGTGGCTCATGCTTGTAATCCCCAGCACTTTGGGAGACTGAAGCAGGAAGATTGCTTTAGCCCATGAGTTCAAGACCAGCCTGGGCAACATAGTGAAACCACATTTCTATGAAAAATAAAATAAAATTAGCTGAATGTGGTGGTGCATTCCTATACTTCCAGCTACTCAGGGGGCTGAGGTAGGAGGATCATTTGAGCCCTGCAGGTCAAGGCTGCAGTGAGCTGTGATCATGCCACTGCATTCCAGCCTGGGGGACACAGTGAAACCCTGTCTCAAAAAAAAAAAAAAAAAAAGACAGTCTGTGTGCACCTAAAATATTGTTGACTATCTTAGTCAGTTTCATGACAGTTGTTTAAATGCAGAGAAATTGGATGGTGGACTGATTCTTTGGGATGTGTTAGAGTACTATGCAATATTTGCTAACATTAAATGTAAATATCCCCTTAGATATTGACAAGGCACGAATGAATCTTGGAATTTCTTTTGGTTTTATCAGGCCCAACAGATGAAGGTGTGTAGAAGACTAATTCCCATCTCTGTGGGTATATAAGAAGCTGCTGCATATCCTAGAAACCTTATTCCAGGCAGTGATGGCTACCTCCCTTCAGGCCTGCCCAGTACTCAGTTATTCCAGGGCCCACTGTGATTGTGGAGTGAAATTCCGTAACATGCCCTTTATGGCAGTTGACACCACCAGAGCCATTGCATTTCCATTGTTGCTAGGGATTGGAGTTTCCCCTATTTGTACTGTATTTCCCAAAGTTGGCATGGGGTTTCCTGTTATTTAAGTACATTTCTTAGAAATGTTTTTCAAATAGCCTCATTGTTTACTATGAAAATAGTCTAGAAAAACAGAAAATGTTTCTATTTGAGCTGATCATAAATGTTTGGTATGACCTTCTTAAAAAACACACAGATAAACAGTTGTAGGGACAATTCAGGTCACAGCTTAAAGACTTCAGAAGTAACTTTTAGACTGAGGCTCAAGTTAACATTGAAGAGGGAACTGTAATCCTCTCTGTTAGACCCAAGGAAAATCCCTTCTGAATGTTGCAGTGTTTGGTGTTCCTTCCCTTTGAGTCCGCTAGTTATTTTTTTCCAAATTTAGATTTTCTATTATTGCCATAATTTTTCCAGTTTCAAGAAATATACAAAAGAGACTTGTGGAGTTATTGTTAGTAATTAAATAATAATGATTAACACAATTAATTAATGTTCCTGGTTAACAATTATAATGACCATGAGCCATTTGTTAAGCAAAATGTACCTGGTCCACTCCCCCTTAAAGAGGGGTGTGACGATGATTTTATTTTGTTTTATTTTATTTTATTTTATTTATTTATGTTTTTGAGACAGAATCTCACTCTGATGCCCACGCTAGAGTGCAGTGGTGAGATCGTGGCTCACTGCAGCCTCGACTTCCCGGTTCAGGTGATTCTCCCTACTCAGCCTCCTGAGTAGCTGGGACTACAGGCATGCACCACCATGCCTGGCTAATTTTTGTATTTTTTGTAGAGATGGGGTTTTGCCATGTTGCTCAGGCTGGTCTCAAACTCCTGGGCTCAAGTGATCCACTCACCATGGCCTCCCAAAATGTTGGGATTATAGACGTGAGCCACCACACCCAGCCATAATTAATTTTATATGTCAACTTGGAGGGTGTTTTGGGTTTTTGGATGAGATGAACATTTAAGCTGATGAGTAAATAAGTAAGTAAGTGGATTCTCCTCCATAATGAGGGTGGGCCTCATCCAATCAGTTGAAGGACTGAATAGAATGAAAAGATGCCCTCAGCAAGGGAGAAATCTCCAAAGGACTGCCTTCAGACTTCATCCACACCATCGTCTCTCATGGGTTTCCAGCCTGCTGGCTCACACTGCAGACTCTGGACTTGCCAGCCTCTATGGTCAAGTGATCCAATTCTTTACAATAAATTTCTTTCAATATATATGAAGCACAGTCTATGTATATTAATTATGTGCTTTTAAAATGTGAACAGATATACATAAAACTGTTTATGTGACTAAAATGTTTAAAATATTCCTTACTAAAGTGATAATTTTAACTGGTCCTAAAATTCTATCTTTAAAAAAGTAAGGCCTGCATAGAAAAAGGGAAAGTCTTAAAGTTTACTTTTTATAATTTCATAAATGTTTTACATTTTGTGATAGCAGAAATGACATCCTTACAGGAAACAAACTGTAAAACCATGAAGCAGAATTCTTTAAAAGTTGAAGGAAAAATTAGGAAATTTTGTTCAGATATCAAACTCAAGTAAACTGTGTTGAATAAACAATTAGGTATCAATGTGTATTTTGTTAACCAAGGATAAATGCTGAAAGAATCTTTAAAATTAGCAAGCTTTGACTATTAAAATATGATTCTTAATTGAAGCAGAGACTGCTAATTGTCCTCCAGTATCTAGTCTCTCTTTTTTAATTCAGTATAGATATAACAGAATCCCTAATTTTTACCTGGGCACATGGATTCCTGGAATAAAGACTTTGTTTTCTAGTTGGCTTGCAGCTAGGCATAGCCATGTGACTAGGTTCTAGCCAATGGACTGCAGTGTGGAGAGAAGAAGGCAGGCAGCCATCAGGGACTGCTAGGTGGAAGCTGCGTGCTGAGGATGGCAAAGCAACCAGGTAGATGGAACCTGGGTGCCTGACCTCATGGGGTGCCATCCCAGACCTGGGCTGATTACCTCCAGTCTTTTTATTTGTTTGAAAGAGAAATAAATGATAGTATTTAATCAGTTTATTTTCAGTTACTCCATCTAGACCCATTTTTAGGGTCTAGGGTTACTCTGACAGATACATAAAAGTGTTTTTCTTTTTGATCACTTGTAAAACAATTTTCTGTGTAAATAAATTCCTCAGGATAATAAAGTTTGACGGTATGTTCTCAGGTCCACAACAGCATTGAAAGACTGTTTTCCAGTAAGATTTCATGTGTTGGACTTCAGTGATTAGAGAATTTGGTTGGGTAAGAACGGGTGAATGAGCCTGGCTCCTGAAAAAAGAGAAAACCCATGCTGGATTCATCAAGACCTTACATTCAGCAACTATTGTCTGTCACCTCAACAGATGAAACAACCAACAGGTATAGTGGGAGCCAAGAGAGAATACATACGTTTTGACATTAAAATGTTTTGATATTAAACATGAGGCTAAATTTTGCAAAAGGTACAGGTTAGAGCATAAAAGAGAGAAGCATGGTAGTGGTGATGTCAGTCTGCTTTATTCTGTCACTACCATTACAGACTGTATTTATAACCACATATCTCATGTGCCCCATTTGTCACCATGGGAAGTAGAGGACAAACTCAAAGCCACCTGCAACCCCAAGCACAAGCCCCTATAAGATGCCTTCTTTCTGTTTCGGTCCCTGTGCAAAACCTGCCCAGACAGATGGCTCTGCCCAAGTGGGAGGCAAATTTAGGCTTATGAAAATGCTTAGGATGAAACAGGTTTACTTGGAATACTCTTCCTAAATGGAACTCTGTGTTCTTTCGAAGTTACAGACATACCAAACTGAACTTTTCATTGGCACTTTTTAATGAAATCACAGTGGTTTTTCTTTACTGTTTATTGTAAGTATTATATTTATGTGACTACCAATCCCTATTCAGAGCACATTGGCATGTTAGTTTGTTTCAAAGAAATGAAAACAATTCTGGCTGGCATGTTTTTTACCTGTTGGTTGTAGCATCTATGCTGGACAGCATATTTCGGACACTCTTTAAAAAAGTCATTTTCTTTTTCCCATAATGTTAGAAATGTTTTGGTCTTATTTTAAGCACTTTAGGTCCTTTTTGCGTAATTTTTTCTGCCTTTACTGATGTTTGCAACACGTCTCAATTTAGTACCATCTGTGATTCCATCAGCTTGCTATTTACTGCCTTTTCTAAATCATTAAGGGAGATGTTATGGCAATAATGCTTTATTTACATGTCACTTTACAGGAAGCTCAAAGTATATTTGTAGGAGTTACTGTATTAAACAATGGCACCCATGTGAGGTAAAGAATTTCACAGTTAGCATTTCAACATTAGCATGACTTATTTAAAATAGAAAAAAATATTGCCATGACTCTGGATTTGAAGCATGTATGTTATTAGGTATTCTTGTTGTTCTGAGCTATTAAGGAAGTTGTTGCAGTAGCTTCTGGTGGCTATGTCATAATATGAGAGGTGAGAATTACTGAGTTACATTGATGAATGAGTTTTACTTTTTGCCAGTTCCCTCTTGGCCTCAACATCAAAGTCTTAATTATTGTGAATTGGCTAAAAGCCAACAAAATTAGAGGAAGAAGGAGAAACAAAAGATTCAGGTAAAATGAATTATTAAGAATGAAAAAAATTCTGATAGTGTCTCTCTTCCTTTTAGATTATGATTCCGTCAGTGTTTGTACATGCTTGTAGAGGCCAGCGGACTAAGGAATTCTTTGTAAAAAAAAAAAAAAGGAAGAAGAAAATGAGGATCCAGGTTGATGACTTAATGTACAGATTTTATTTTGTTATTTTATTTTTAAATATTGTACTATGAAAATCAAGTTGTGCTTGGTTAAACACACACAAAAAAATCTCTCATGTACTTAATCAGTATTTTTAGTAACTCTTCAATGACATAGGCTATTAGCAGCCGCTTAAGGAACCTCAGCTCTAATTTAGCCCTTATTTTAATCTTGAGTTCTGAAAGTCAGAAATTAAATGTCATCTATTAGCAACTAATACTACCTTTGCAAGTTAGTTCAAGAACTTTGGGCTCCTAATTTACATATTGCAAGCTGTTGCTGAATTTAGTGTGAGAGCTACCATTTGCCTGTAACAGAATTAAAATTATGATCATCCAAAAGAATTTGTAGGACCTAACAGAACTTCTCATTGATTTTTGGCTTTTAAATTTATCATTTCTCTTTCTTCTTACCATGAATTCATTACCTTAGTAGCTTAGTATTTATTTCTAAATGAGCTTAATAGTGGGGAGTCAAATGAAGGGACAGTTACAGGCATCTTTCTCTATAAGAATATAAAATTGATGGCAGATTTTGGGAAATGGAGTTTTTGCATTTGCATTTAAGTTGCTCACCAGGACACTGAAGATTATGTTTACATTTGTTTGACTGACTGTTGTCTCAGGTTGCTGTGTCTCCTGGGGATGGCTCTGTGTGGTCCACCCAAAGCTGAACAGCTGCTTTAGATCTTTATTGTTGTCGTAGCAGTGGAGACCTAAAGACCGTAGGGAGTCCAGGGCGATTAGAATGCAGCTTGCCAAATTTAATTCATTTGAGTATCATCATCTGATTAGCCTCATAGATACACATGACTTTATTATTTACCTAATGTTTTTCTTTTAAGTCAACTAAATTTTGTGTTTTAAATAAATTATTTTAAAAGGATTTTTTTTTTTTTTTTTTGAGATGGAGTCTCACTCTGTCGCCCAGGCTGGAGTGCAGTGACGCGATCTTGGCTCACTGCAAGCTCCGCCTCCCAGGTTCACGCCATTCTCCTGCCTCAGCCTCCTGAGTAGCTGGGACTACAGGTGCCCACCACCATGCCCGGCTAATTTTTTGTATTTTTTAGTAGAGACGGGGTTTCACCGTATTAGCCAGGATGGTCTCGATCTCCTGACCGCATGATCCACCCGCCTTGGCCTCCTAAAGTGCTGGGATTACAGGCGTGAGCCACTGCGCCTGGCCTTTAAAAGGAAATTTTTACATTACTAGCCCAAATTAGAAAAATCATTTTTTCCCAAAATAGATGGTAACTATAAAAATGAATAGGATGAAAAACCAGATGAAGTACAGTCATGCATTGCATAATGACATTCTGGTCAGTGATGAAATGCATATACAATAGTGGTTCCAGAAGATTATAATACTATATTTTACAGAACCTTTTCTATGTTTAGATATGTTTAGATACACAAATGGTTACCATTGTGTTAAATTTGCCTATAGTATTCAGTACGGTAACTTACTGTGTAGGTTGGTAGCCTCAGAGCAACAGGCTATACCATCCAGCCTAGGCGTATAGTAGGCTATTCCATCTCAATTTGTGTAAGTACATTCCATGATGTTCATAAAACAACAAAATCACCCACAATGCATTTCTCAGAATGTATCCTTATTGTTAAGTGACAAATGACTGTATATAGTTTTAACTAAATAAAGTTACCTGGAGCTCAGTCCCTGAGAACATGTCTCCTGTTTAAACAAGAATAGAAAGATGTTAAAGGCCTACTAGTACCAAACTGAAATTTTTCTCCTTGATACTAGGAAATTAAAAGGGGAAACACTTTGTCTCTACCTGATTTAGAGTGTTTAATGTACCATTACCACCTAAAATGATGTCCCAGATTACTAGTTGAAGCATTCCATACATTGGGAAATACTAGATTAAAGAAACAAAGAGAAAGGATCAAATAGCCTCACTCACTCTCCCATTCATTCATTTCTCTTGTTATGGGCCTGAAACTGGGTATGTAGTGTTGAACAACAAAAACCAAATTCCTGCCCCCATTGACTTAACCATTGAACACGGATCTTTTCTTCCTTGTAACCTATTGTATCATGCATCTACTCTTGCTCTGTCAAATTCTTTTCATCCCAGCTCTTATCTCATTGCTGTCCCAATATAGTGTAACTCATTTGGAGGACTAGAAATTCCTTGAAGTTCTTGTTCTCCTCTGACATCAGACCAGTCCCTATGTGTAAGGCCAAGCCTTGGAATGTGCCTGGAAGGCTCTGTCTCTGGTTCACAGGCTAGATCTCCAAGCCTCTAGCAAATTTGGACAATACGTCATATCTCTCATGTCTTTCCTGAAATTCCTGCATGATCAGAGAAGTTGGGGAGGCAGGGGGGTATATCTAATAATAAGAGGTCCAGGATCATGATTATTCTTTCTTTTGTGCTACTATTTAGTGACAAGTTAGGTTTTAATCCAAAAGTGTGCTCTGGGGCCTCAAGTACAAAATCAGGCTGCCTCAATTGTCTTAACATTGCCTGGTAGAATCCCTTAAATGAGGGGTGGTTAATGCAAAATATATGTATTTTATTAATATATTATTTGGTATATTAGTAAGTGCTTTTTTAGGTTTCCATATAAAATCTTTCCTCCAATGTTATTACCAAGCCTCAGAACTTCTTCAGAGTTAATGCCTGTGAACTCCTCATTTAATGCCCCATTGTTCTCACAGAAATTAATTACAGCGAATGTTGTCTGACTTCATGGGAGTTTAATGACAGAGATTATGACCTCACATTCCCTTTGCAGAAGGAAAGCAGGTGTGGCCAAGACCGGCTTTACTAAAAGCCTCCCACTACATCTTTATTCGAAGAAATATAGTTATCTATAGTTAGAACTTGGAACTTCCAAATTGTATTTGTTGTTCTGACTGAACTTTTGTCAAATTATATAAGTGCTTCGATAAGGAGTTGTATCTCTCCCATTACCCTTCTAAATTTAGAAATGATAATTTTTGACATCCTCTAGGGGAAGAAAATTCTTGAAAGCTCTGATAAAAGCAAATTTGTTAACAAATTTAAAAGGTAATGTTAATGTTAAATTCCAGGAAAGAAAAACTATTTACAGTATATGCTAGGAATATTTGGAAACAATACTAGGAAATATGAATGTGCATGATTAATAAGTATTTTTTAAAGTTTTCAAAGAGTATCAGTAATCATACATCTGTAATCTTACTGAGAAGTGAGTCTGTCTTGTTGCTTTCTGAAATCTTTACTGTGCATTTTCAGTTGTGGATTCCACTAGGGCTGTATATACGCATCTGCTAGTGATATACCCTTTGGATGGTCAATAAAAATGCCAAGTGAAAAACATTTAAATCTTCTTTTTATTTAGCAGTTTTCTTCCAGAGGTAGCCTCAGGAGAAATGATACTGGCTGCTCTCTTGTACTTTACTAATAATAGTAATTTAAAGATGAAGTATTTGAAAAGATTGGCATGTAAGTCAGGAAGGGACAGTTGCACAGTTTAGATTGAAGAGAAAATAAGTATCTGTTTGCTTGTTGCCAGATTATCCATCAGCTTAATGCAACTGCAATTTCTCACTTCGTATGACAGTGTGTTTATAACAAGAATTTATAATTTTGCCATTTCACTTCTCAGTTTGTGTGACCTTATGTCTCTTGCCATAGCTACTTCTTAGAGTGCTGTGATATCGGACACCTTTGACATCTGGTGGGATTTCCTCTGAATGCCTAAGGAGAAACTCATACAATTTGTGTAGAGCCATCCCAGCAGGTACCTTTCAGGCTTGGGAGCTTGGAAAAATGCTGATAGAACACAGTGTAGAGGAATAAATGCCAAGAGAATATTCTTGCTACGGGTAGCTGTGGAAAATGGACAACCTACAGGATAGAGTAGTTTCTTAGTAATTCTCTGGAAAGGTAGGGGATGACTTTTCCAGCTGTAGTTTCTTGGACCAAAGCCCAAGCTTCCTATGGATGTATCATAGCAAGAATTCCTGGCAACATAACAGTGTCTCCAATTCTGCCAGCACAAGCTTGCTTACTGAGTTATCTGTAAATAACATGACACAAAGGCATTTCCAAAGTCAAGACTGTTTTTAGGTAAGATTTAGTGTATATTTTTATTCACTGGAAAACGAAATGCTATTTATTATAGTCCCTCTTAGAGTACCATGAAGAATGGATATAACAAATGCCAAAGATAAGAGTTAATTTATTTATAATATGTTTAACAAATATTTCAACATCAAAGAAAGTAAATTTTAGTTTTTCAAATAAAGAAATATCTTAATTTCTGTTCATAGACATTAAGCAAATATTGAATTGTTTCAAAATGTTATCCCTTTAGATAGAATAAAGGTTTTCTTGTTTGTATATTTTTGTTTTGAATTCTTTAGGTATTAAAAGTGTGTAGAGGCTAATGTTAGTCAAAGTGTCTGTGTTTAGAACTCCCTCCCACAAACTAGATATTTTATAAGTTTTGTTTACCTCCCTTAACTAGAGTTTGAGAGGTAGGTGGTTGCTGGCTCAAAGATTTCAGAGTTTAGTTCTTCAAATTTTTTTTACCCTATTCTTTGTGGCCTTCTTATGGTTACAAGATAGGTGCTCCATCTCTAACATTATATCCATATTTCAGGCAGAAAAAAGGAGAGAAAAAAAGCAGAAAGGCTAAAAAGAAAAAAATAACAAGGCTAAAAAAGCAAAAAATAGCAACAAGGCTAACAAAGAAAAAAAAGGAGGAAAATAAAGCTGAGTTTGCTCCGTTTTTGAGTAATTGCTCAATCCAATTAAATGTCATTGGCCAGAATTGTATTGTATGGCCTCTCCTCTCTGCCAGACAGCTGATTATTGTTTTTTACATGATAACATGATGATCTCCCAGCCCCTAAAATGACATTCTCTTATGAAAGAAGACAGAAAGGGAAGGAAATCAGTCTATCACAAAAATCCATCTTTATTGCTACCTCTTAAATAATTTTCAAATCTATTCATATTTCTGTATTTCCATTTATATCATGTTTTAACAGACAAGGAATAAGAAATCAGTTAATTGAATTGATCAGGGAGGGTCTCAGGGAGGAGATGAGACTTGAAAATGGGTTTTGAGGTTTAGCTATTGCTTGGAGAAGAGAGGAAGGTAGGAATTCCAAGCAAAAGGGAAGAAAGGATAAAAGCTCCAAGATGGACGTGATCATGGTACATACATATGAGTGTGATTATGGTTATGGGCAAAGAGACAATTAGGAGATAAGACTTTCTTGATCTGAGATGTTTGAGACAATCTTTTTTTTTTATACTTTAAGTTTTAGGGTACGTGTGCACAACGTGCAGGTTTGTTACATATGTATACATGTGCCATGTTGGTGTGCTGCATCCATTAACTCGTCATTTACATTAGGTATATCTCCTAATGCTATCCCTCCCCCCTCCCCCCACCCCACAACAGTCCCCGGTGTGTGATGCTCCCCTTCCTGTGTCCATGTGTTCTCATTGTTCAGTTCCCACCTACGAGTGAGAACATGCAGTGTTTGGTTTTTTGTCCTTGCCATAGTTTGCTGAGAATGATGGTTTCCAGCTTCATCCATGTCCCTACAAAGGACAAGAACTCATCATTTTCTATGGCTGCATAGTATTCCATGGTGTATATGTGCCACATTTTCTTAATCCAGTCTATTGTTGTTGGACATTTGGAGTGGTTCCAAGTCTTTGCTATTGTGAATAGTGCCGCAATAAACATATATGTGCATGTGTCTTTATAGCAGCATGATTTATAATCCTTTGGGTATATACCCAGTAATGGGATGGCTAGGTCAAATGGTATTTCTAGTTCTAGATCCCTGAGGAATCGCCACCCTGACTTCCACAATGGTTGAACTAGTTTACAGTCCCACCAACAGTGTAAAAGTGTTCCTATTTCTCCACATCCTCTCCAGCACCTGTTGTTTCCTGACTTCTTAATGATCGCCATTCTAACTGGTGTGAGATGGTATCTCATTGTGGTTTTGATTTGCATTTCTCTGATGGCCAGAGATGATGAGCATTTTTTC
The DNA here is from genome assembly GCF_000001405.40 of Homo sapiens. NCBI lineage: Eukaryota > Metazoa > Chordata > Mammalia > Primates > Hominidae > Homo > Homo sapiens. Next base: position 95,214,257 of record NC_000005.10, on the reverse strand, counting down.
ATGTGTCTTTTGGCTGCATAAATGTCTTCTTTTGAGAAGTGTCTGTTCATATCCTTCACCTACTTGTAGATGGGGTTGTTTGTTTTTTTCTTGTAAATTTGTTTGAGTTCTTTGTAGATTCTGGATATTAGCCCTTTGTCAAATGAGTAGGTTGCCAAAATTTTCTCCCATTCTGTAGGTTGCCTGTTCACTCTGATGGTGGTTTCTTTTGCTGTGCAGAAGCTCTTTAGTTTAATTAGATCCCATTTGTCAATTTTGGCTTTTGTTGCCATTGCTTTTGGTGTTTTAGACATGAAGTCCTTGCCCATGCCTATGTCCTGAATGGTAATGCCTAGGTTTTCTTCTAGGGTTTTTATGATTTTAGGTCTAACGTTTAAGTCTTTAATCCACCTTGAAGTAATTTTTGTATAAGGTGTAAGGAAGGGATCCAGTTTCAGCTTTCTACATATGGCTAGCCCATTTTCCCAGCACCATTTATTAAATAGGGAATCCTTTCCCCATTGCTTGTTTTTCTCAGGTTTGTCAAAGATCAGATAGTTGTAGATATGTGGCATTATTTCTGAGGGCTCTGTTCTGTTCCATTGATCTATATCTCTGTTTTGGTACCAGTACCATGCTGTTTTGGTTACTGTAGCCTTGTAGTATAGTTTGAAGTCAGGTAGTGTGATGCCTCCAGCTTTGTTCTTTTGGCTTAGGATTGACTTGGCGATGCAGGCTCTTTTTTGTTTCCATATGAACTTTCAAGTAGTTTTTTCCAATTCTGTGAAGAAAGTCATTGGTAGCTTGATGGGGATGGCATTGAATCTACAACTTACCTTGGGCAGTATGGCCATTTTCACGATATTGATTCTTCCTACCCATGAGCATGGAATGTTCTTCCATTTGTTTGTATCCTCTTCTATTTCATTGAGCAGTGGTTTGTAGTTCTCCTTGAAGAGGTCTTTCACGTCCTTTGTAAGTTGGATTCCTAGGTATTTTATTCTCTTTGAAGCAATTGTGAATGGGAGTTCACTCATGATTTGGCTCTCTGTTTGTCTGTTACTGGTGTATAACAATGCTTGTGATTTTGTGCACTGATTTTGTATCCTGAGACTTTGCTGAAGTTGCTTATCAGCTTAAGGAGATTTTGGGCTGAGACGATGGGGTTTTCTAGATATACAATCATGTCATCTGCAAACAGGGACAATTTGACTTCCTCTTTTCCTAACTGAATACCCTTTATTTCCTTCTCCTGCCTAATTGACCTGACCAGAATTTCCAACACTATGTTGAATAGGAGTGGTGAGAGAGGGCATCCCTGTCTTGTGCCGGTTTTCAAAGGGAATGCTTCCAGTTTTTGCCCATTCAGTATGATATTGGCTGTGGGTTTGTCATAGATAGCTCTTATTATTTTGAGATACGTCCCGTGAATACCTAATTTATTGAGAGTTTTTAACATGAAGGGTTGTTGAATTTTTTCAAAGGCCTTTTCTGCATCTATTGAGATAATCATGTGGTTTTTGTCTTTGGTTCTGTTTATATGCTGGATTACATTTATTGATTTGTGTATATTGAACCAGCCTTGCATCCCAGGGATGAAGCCCACTTGATCATGGTGGATAAGCTTTTTGATGTGCTGCTGGATTCGGTTTGCCAGTATTTTATTGAGGATTTTTGCATCAATGTTCATCAAGGATATTGGTCTAAAATTCTCTTTTTTGGTTGTGTCTGTGCGCGGCTTTGGTATCAGTATGATGCTGGCCTCATAAAATGAGTTAGGGAGGATTCCCTCTTTTTCTATTGATTGGAATAGTTTCAGAAGGAATGGTACCAGTTCCTCCTTGTACCTCTGGTAGAATTCGGCTGTGAATCCATCTGGTCCTGGACTCTTTTTGGTTGGTAAGCTGTTGATTATTGCCACAATTTCAGATCCTGTTATTGGTCTATTCAGAGATTCAATTTCCTCCTGGTTTAGTCTTGGGAGAGGGTATGTGTGGAGGAATTTATCCATTCTAGATTTTCTAGTTTATTTGCATACAGGTGTTTGTAGTATTCGCTGATGGTAGTTTGTGTTTCTGTGGGATTGGTGGTGATGTCCCCTTTATCATCTTTTATTGCGTCTATTTGATTTTTCTCTCTTTTATTCTTTATTAGTCTTGCTAGCAGTCTGTCAATTTTGTTGATCCTTTCAAAAAACCAACTCCTGGATTCATTAATTTTTTGAAGGGTTTTTTGTGTCTCTATCTCCTTCAGTTCTCCTCTGATTTTGGTTATTTCTTGCCTTCTGCTAGCTTTTGAATGTGTTTGCTCTTGCTTTTCTAGTTCTTTTAATTGTGATATTAACCTCTAGCAAACTCCAACAGACCTGCAGCTGAGGGTCCTGTCTGTCAGAAGGAAAACTAACAAACAGAAAGGACATCCACACCAAAAATCCATCTGTACATCACCATCATCAAAGACCAAAAGTAGATAAAACCACAAAGATGGGGAAAAACAGAGCAGAAAAAACTGGAAACTCTAAAAAGCAGAGCACCTCTCCTCCTCCAAAGGAACGCAGTTCCTCACCAGCAATGGGACAAAGCTGGACGGAGAATGACTTTGACAAGTTGAGTGAAGAAGGCTTCAGATGATCAAACTACTCTGAGCTACAGGAGGAAATTCAAACCAAAGGCAAAGAGGTTGAAAACTTTGAAAAGAATTTAGACGAATGTATAACTAGAATAACCAATACAGAGAAGTGCTTAAAGGAGCTGATGGAGCTGAAAGCCAAGGCTCGAGAACTATGTGAAGAATGCAGAAGCCTCAGGAGCCGATGTGATCAACTGGAAGAAAGGGTATCAGTGATGGAAGATGAAATGAATTAAATGAAGCGAGAAGGGAAGTTTAGAGAAAAAAGAGTAAAAAGAAACGAACAAAGCCTCCAAGAATTATGGGACTATGTGAAAAGACCAAATCTACGTCTGATTGGTGTACCTGAAAGTGACAGGGAGAATGGAACCAAGTTGGAAAACACTCTGCAGGATATTATCCAGGAGAACTTCCCCAATCTAGCAAGGCAGGCCAACATTCAGATTCAGGAAATACAGAGAGTGCCACAAAGATACTCCTCGAGAAGAGCAACTCCAAGACACATAATTGTCAGATTCACCAAAGTTGAAATGAAGGAAAAAATGTTAAGGGCAGCCAGAGAGAAAGGTCGGGTTACCCACAAAGGGAAGCCCATCAGACTAACAGTGGATCTCTCGGCAGAAACTCTACAAGCCAGAAGAGAGTGGGGGCCAATATTCAACATTCTTAAAGAAAAGAATTTTCAACCCAGAATTTCATATCCAGCCAAACTAAGCTTCATAAGTGAAGGAGAAATAAAATCCTTTACACACAAGCAAATGCTGAGAGATTTTGTCACCACTAGGCCTGCCCTAAAAGAGCTCCTGAAGGAAGCACTAAACATGGAAAGGAACAACCGGTACCAGCCGCTGCAAAATCATGCCAAAATGTAGAGACCATCGAGACTAGGAAGAAACTGCGTGAACTAACGAGCAAAATAACCAGCTAACATCATAATGACAGGATCAAATTCACACATAGCAATATTAACTTTAAATGTAAATGGACTAAATGCTCCAATTAAAAGACACAGACTGGCAAATTGGATAAAGAGTCAAGACCCATCAGTGTGCTGTATTCAGGAAACCCATCTCACATGCAGAGACACACATAGGCTCAAAATAAAAGGATGGAGGAAGATCTACCAAGCAAATGGAAAACAAAAAAAGGCAGGGGTTGCAATCCTAGTCTCTGATAAAACAGACTTTAAACCAACAAAGATCAAAAGAGACAAAGAAGGCCACTACATAATGGTAAAGGGATCAATTCAACAAGAAGAGCTAACTATCCTAAATATATATGCACCCAATACAGGAGCACCCAGATTCATAAAGCAAGTCCTCAGTGACCTACAAAGAGACTTAGACTCCCACACAATAATAATGGGAGACCTTAACACCCCACTGTCAACATTAGACAGATGAACAAGACAGAAAGTTAAAAGGATACCCAGGAATTTTACTCAGCTCTGCACCAAGTGGACCTAATAGACATCTACAGAACTCTCCACCCCAAATCAACAGAATATACATTTTTTTCAGCACCACACCACACCTATTCCAAAATTGACCACATACTTGGAAGTAAAGCTCTCCTCCTCAGCAAATGTAAAAGAACAGAAATTATAACAAACTATCTCTCAGACCACAGTGCAATCAAACTAGAACTCAGGATTAAGAAACTCACTCAAAACCGCTCAACTACATGGAAACTGAACAACCTGATCCTCAATGACTGCTGGGTACATAACGAAATGAAGGCAGAAATAAAGTTGTTCTTTGAAACCAACAAGAACAAAGACACAACATACCAGAATCTCTGGGACACATTCATAGCAGTGTGTAGAGGGAAATTTATAGCACTAAATGCCCACAAGAGAAAGCAGGAAAGATCCAAAATCAAAAGAGCTTCTTAATGTTCAGACAAAACCTTGAAAGATAATTGGGACCGGTGTGGGAACATTCCAGGGACAGGTATGTGATGAAGTGGCCTAACATGAGTTAAAGTTTAGCCACTGGTGAACCCCAGATATATTCAGAAGCATAGAATAATCCAGTTTTATGGCAAATAGACTTTTAGGGGAAATTACTCTTTACTAAAAGAGTAAATTGAGACTGGATCATGGATGGCATTGAAAGTTGTGCTATGGAATCTTGACTTAATTCTGTGGATTATAGGGATTCTCTGAAAGTTTTTGAGTATAGGAATAATCTTTAAGAGCAATAACTCTGCTAACAGTAGAAAAACTGTAGGTGTGACAGAAGGAGAGAGGGAGGAAAAGAGAGGGGCCAGGCAAAGGGAAATATTTCTTAGGAAAACACAAATAGTTCAGAGACCATGGACTAAGTTGAGACTATTGATAAGAAAGAATTTCTGAGTAATGTAACTGGTGTTTCATGGCTGATTGGCCAGGGAAGAGGAAAAGAGGACAAGAGGAGGCGGCAAAACTTTCTCCCCTCAATGTTTTGACTTAGTTACTGGAAGAATAGTGATGCTATTAGCCAAAGTCAAGAATGTTGGAAGACAATTGGGGATGATACAATTCCCTTTTGGTCATGCTATATGGGATTAGTGGGATGTTCTTGTGGGGAAATCAAGCTCAAGAATTGTGGTGGAAGTAAGAGTGATAAAGGTCTGTTTATGTTGTGTCTTCATACATTTGAAGGAAACAGATATGTGGAGCAATTGCAGGAGAAGAAAGGCAAAGAGATGACAGAACAGGGTCATGAGAAGAAACAGATTAAAGAAGGAAGGAATGGTAAATAGTGTTGGATGGTATAGATTAGAAAAGTGGATTGAAAATTGAGAGTTCTTTGGCTTTGCTGATTAATGGATCATTGGTGACTTTCAAGAAGGTGATTTCTAGATAAGCAAGAATAGTCCATTGAAATAGCATCAAAACTAAGGATAATACATATGTTCTAGAACTTTTTTTTTTTTTTTCTGAAAGGGTTGAAGATGAACAGGTTTGGTATCTCTTTTTTGTCCTACACTGTGGTTCTTGATTCCTAACACCCATTATAGAGGCATGGGTTGAGGGCTGGTTGAAGTTCCAGCTCCTCTGCTTGTATGTTCCTGCTCATGTTATTTAAACCCTCAAAACCAAAGTTTCTTCATCTGCTAAATAAAAATAATATATTTACCTCTTAGATTGTCAGGAATGAGCTAAAACATGGGAAAATATTTCATAAACTATAAAATACTTCTGTACAGTGTTGCTGTTACAATATCTGTATTGACTTTTGATGAAGTGGTAAATACAGAATTAAAAAATGGCAGTTGGCTGGGTGTGGTGGCTCACGCCTGTAATCCCAGCTCTTTGGGTGGCTGAGGTGGGTGGATTGCCTGAGATCAGGAGTTCAAGACCAGCCTTGCCAACATAGTGAAACCCTGCCTCTACTAAAAATAGAAAAAATTAGCTGGACATGGTTGCAGGCACCTGTAATCCCAGCTACTAGGGAGGCTGAGGCAGGAGAATTGCTTGAACCCCGGAGGTGGAGGTTGCAGTGAGCCGAGATCATGCCATTGCACTCCAGCCTGGGCAACAGGAGCAAAACTTCCTCTCAAACAACAACAACAACAACAGGGTAATCTGTTTCTTGTTATTGCTTGCTGAGTGACTCTCTCTCTTGCTCTCTCTTTCTCTCTCTCTCCCTCTCTCTCCCTCTCTCTCCCTCTCTTTCTCTCTCTCTCCCTCTCTCTCCCTCTCTCTCCCTCTCTCTCCCTCTCTCTCTCTCTCTCTCGCCCGCTCATTCTTTTTTTCATTTTGGATTTGTTACAAAGTGACTGCTGCAGTTGTGCTTTCTGTCCCTTCTTTCTCCCTAGGTCTCCTCGTTGTTAATTTCTCTCCTTCATCTTTTAAACTTTCATTCCTGTTTTCTCCTTCAGCTTCTCTCTCTTTCTCAATCACATTTTTATTCTTGTATTCAGTAAATATTTATTGAGAACCTACTATGTGCTAGGAACTCTTGGGATGTGGGGATATGCTAGTCTGTAGCCTTTGTATTTATGTGTGTTTACCAAGACAATTTTATGAGAACTTGCACTTACCTCTCTGGATTAATGTGTCTCACTCTGATAACACTCATTATTCATATTCTGGTCATCAGTGTAATTCAGATTTACTCTCCTCTGACCCACTTCATTTTGTCCAAACTCTGATCAATTTAATCAGATTTAGCAGAGATATTTAAAAAGCATTTTGAAGAGTATGCAGAAACTGTTGAATATTGTTTGCATAGTGATTTTCACTAGATTGGGGTAAACACAGCTCCCTATATGTGTTCTTCAGGATTTGAGGGGAGAAAATTTTTCCAAAATATATATATTTCAACTTGCAGGTTATCAAACACTCATGTCCCTCCTCTGTCCCAGAGATAAGCCCCCTATTCACCACCCCTGCTGCTCTATTGAAAGATGTTCTATATTTAAGATCATATCTTGATGGGAACTTGCCAGATTCTTCTATTAACATGTCATCTTCATTTCACTGGACTAGATAACTCATAGTCTCTTCTTTCTTGCCAGGATAGTCAATATTTATGATTTAATTCTGGTCATGTTCACAAAACATTTTTTCCTGACACACCCTTAAGTGTGTTAGGATTAGTAAAAACAACAACAATAACAAAATCCCTGAAAATCATTGATCTATTGGATGGATATAAAAAGACATATGTATGTCAGTGGGTATAAATATATAATTTGACTTCTATAATGAACAAATTTCCTGAAATCATATATATCAACATTTAATAAATGTTAAATTATAAGTGTAGTCTTCAAATTTTGTGACCTAATGCAAAACCAAGTGCCTTTAAAAAATATCTATAAAATGGACAGGCATGGTGGCTCACGCCTTTAATCCCAGCACTTTGGGAGGCCGAGGGGGGTGGATCACGAGTTCAAGAGATGGAGACCATCCTGGCCAACATGGTGAAACCCTGTCTCTACTAAAAATACAAAAATTGGCTGGGTGTGGTGGTGGCACACGCCTGAAGTCCCAGCTACTCAGGAGGCTGAGGCAGGAAAATTGCTTGAATCCGAGAGGCGGAAGTTGTAGTGAGCCGAGATCATGCCACTGCACTCCAGCCTGGTGACAGAGTGAGACTCCGTCTCAAAAAAACAAACAAAATCTATAAAATGAGAGATAGAAATGTCCTGTCTCTAAAATGTCATGATTCTCAGTCTCCAGAGATTCTTAATTTTTTTTCTTATAACAGCTTCATTGAGATATAATTCACATACTATACAATTCACTCATAACCCCCAAAAGAAACCCTGTACCCATTACCATTCAGTCTCTATTACCTCCAGTCCCCTGAACCCTAGGCAACCACTAATCTGTGTTCTGTCACTATTGTTTTTCTGAGCATTTAATATAAATGGAATTACAGTATGTAATCTTATGTGTCTGACTTAGCATGATGTTTTCAGGGTTCATCTATGTTATAACATGTATTAGTACTTCATTAATTTTTATTGCCAAATAATATTCCTTATATGAATATACCATGTTTTATTTATTCACTCATTGATTTATGAGCATTTGAATTGTTGCCACTTTTATGAATTATAGTGTTACTATGAACAATTGTGTTCATTTGTACATGTGTTTTTATTTCTCTTGGGCATATAACCAGGAGTGGAATTGCTAGATCATATGGAAGCTCTATGTTTAGCTTTTCAAGGAACTTCCAGACTATTTTCCAAAGTGGATATACTATTTTATATTCCCACCAGCAGTGTATGAATATCCTAGTTTTTCCACATCCTTGTCAACACTTGTTATTTTCCATTTTCTTGATTGTAGTTATGTTAGTGAGTGTGAAATATTATTTCATTGTGGTCTTGATTTGCATTTCCCTAATGGATAATGATGTTGATCTTCTTTTCATGTGCTTATTGGCCATGTGTTTATCTTCTTTGGAGAAATGTCTGTTCATATCCTTTGCCCATTTTTAAATTGGCTCATTAGTTTTTACATTATTTAGCTTTTATTATTGTGCTAAATATTGTGTGTAAATATTGTGTGTATTGTGTGTAAAAGTTCTTTATATATTCTAGATACAAGTCCCTTATCAAACATGATTTGCAAATAGCTTTTCCTGTTCTGTGGGGTGCCTGTTCACTTTCTTGTTGGTATCCTTTGAAACGCAAATTATTTCACATTAATTTTGATGAAGTACCGTTATTTTTTCTTTTCTTGCTGTGCTTTTTGTGTCAGACACCATTGTCTAATTCAAGTTCCTGGAGAATCATACCTGTGTTTTCTTCTAAGAGTTTTATAGCTTTAGCTTTTACCTTTAGTTCTTTGATGTATTTTGAGTTAATTTTTTATATAATATGTGGTAGGAGTCCAACTTTAATTTTTTCTATGAAGATATACAATTTTCCCAGTTGTCCCAACCATATGTTGAAAGACTATTTTTTCCCCATTTTATTTTCTTGGCACCTTTGTCAAAAATTAATTGACCATAAGTGTTAGGCTTTACTCATGGACTCTCAGTTCTATTCCATTTATCTGTATTTCTGTTCTCATGACAATACTACATTATCTTGTTTACTTAGCATTGTAGCAAGTTTTTATTAATAAATTATGAAGTGTGAGTACTTCAATTTTGTTCTTTCTCAAAATTGTTTTGGCTATTCTGGTTCCTTTGAATTTCCATATGAATTTTAGGAATAGCTTGTGCATTTTTACAAAGAAGCTAACTGGGATTCTGATAGAGTGTTAAATCTGGGGAGCATTGCCATCTTAATGATATTAAATCCTCTGATCCATGAATATGGGATGTCTTTCTATTTATCTTCATAATTTCTTTCAAAATGTTATATAGTTTTCAGAGTATAAATTTTGCTTATTTTTAAAAATTTATTTACGAGTATTTTATTGTTTTTCAAGCTATTGTAAATGAATTATTTTTTTCGTTTGTTTTAAATTTCCTTATTGGTTACAAATAGAAATTAATTTATATATTAATCTTGTCCTGCAATCTTGTAGAACTTGTTTATTAGTTTTAGTAGTTTTGTAGTGGATTCCTTAGGGTTTTCTATATTCAAGACCATGTCATTTGCAAGTAGAGATAACTTTATTTCTTCCTTTCCAATCTGGATGACTTTCATATTATTCTCTTGGTAATTGTCCTGGCAAGAATCTCTAGTGCAGTGTTGAATAGATGTGAAGAGAGCAAACATCCTTGCTTGTTCCTGATCTTAGGGTCAGGGGGAAGTATTCATCCTTCACCATTAAGTATGATGCTGGGTAGCTATGAGTTTTTTTGGATGCCCTTTACCATGTTGAGGATGCTCCCTTTTAATCTTAATTTGTTGGATGCTTCTTTGCTTCCTCTGCCTAGAATGCCCTTTGTCCTTTCTTCTACCTGGTGGATTCCCTCTTATTCTCTAAGACCAGCTTAAATGTCTCCACTTAATAAAGCTGATCCTCTCCTCTTTTCCACTACTGACTTGTAGGGTTATAAGTTGTATAGGAATGGAATAAATTGACTTTGAGTCGCTTTTTAAAAGGCTTTCTCAATTTGGAAAATGTCCAATTTTGAAATTAAGATACTAAGATTATAGAGCCCCCCACAGATTATTCCATTCAACTTGTTCTAGTATTGATTTTCAAGCACAAAAACTCAGTGAATTTAACAAGCAGAAATGCATTTGCCAAGTACAAATGGATCCACATCTCTTTGCATAGTTAGTAATCTACACATTTACAAAAATCTAATAAAAATGTTTCTTGAAGATGACTAGATCTAAAATGATAAATATTGAATATCCTGGCAATTAGGAAGAGAATGTGAGTTATCTGATCCAGTGAAATGAAATTTTGCATTAAGAGGCATGTTAATTGAAAGCTGAAGATTAATGCTTTTTACTCACATATGTGTTAAGTTACAATTCACTTCTGCCGCTTTTCAAACAGCAAAAGTATTAGATTTTTCCTTCACTTTGGCAGTTTAGCTTTTAACTTTGTTTTACTGGCTTTCTTTCACTCACTCATGTACTTACTAACTTATGAATTCATTCATTTGATTAATTTTTAAATGTGCATTTATGCTAATTTCTATAGGAGACATAAGTGAAGAAAGAAATCCCTATTCTTCAGGAATTTATAATTTATTAGAGAAGTTAAAATAATACAACATGAAACAGTAGATACGGACTTCTAGTTCAAGATGGCAGTCTGAGTAACCATGTCAGCTTCCCTTTGCCCAGCATAGAGACACTCATACCTAATTCACAAGGGTCTCATCTCAAGATCTTTACCTTAATTATACCTTCAAAGGCCCTATTCCAGATAAGGTCACTCAGAGGTTCTGGATAGACTTGTCTTTTGGGGTCAACAATTCAATCCATTATAGAAACATAGCACAGGAATGGAAAACATGAGAGCAAAAGTGTTTAAGGACCCAAAGCATAAATCCAGTTGGAAGTAACGTTCAAAATATTTACCTACGTGTATGACATAGGCACAGACTGATCAAAATGGAAGCCATCCAATCAGAATTATTGTTCAGTCAGGTGAATGTTAGTCCAAGATTCTAAAGCAGAGAATAGAAGTGGTGAAGCAGAGGAAATAATCAAAGAAAGAGTAGAAGAAAATTTTTACAGGCTTAAGAAAGATTAATTCTTAGCTGGGAGTGGTGGCTCATGCCTGTAATCCCAGCACTTTGGGAGCCTGAGGTGGGTGGATCACCTGAGGTCAGGAGTTCAAGACCAGCCTGGCCAACACGGTGAAACCCCGTCTGTACCAAAAATACAAAAAATTAGTTGGGTCTGGCGGCACTCACCTGTAGTCCCAGCTACTCAGGAGGCTGAGGCAGGAGAATCTCTTGAGCCCAGGAGGCGGTGGTTGCAGTGAGCTGAGATTACACCACTGCACTCCAGCCTGGGCAACAGAGCAAGACTCCATCTCAAAAAAAGAAAAAAAGAAAAAAGAGAAAGATTGATTCTTGATTTTTAAAGAATTCAGTAAGTGCCAAGCAAGGTAAATGAAAAAGACAAAACTTAGGAGAAATTAATTTTGATACTTTCTAGGGGAAATTTCATCACTCCAAGAATAAGAGAAAATCTGAAAAGCTTACAGTAAAAAGAAAATTGTTTACTTACAAAGAAATTGTACTAGTCAGGGTTCTCCAAAGAGACAACCAATAGGAGACAGATCAATAAATCAATCAATAGATAAGATTTGTTAGGGAAGTTGGTTCACATGATTATGGAGGCTGGGAAGTCCCATGACAGACCATTTGCAAACTGGAGAACCAGGGAGCCAGTAGTGTGGCTCAGTTTAAGTCCAAAGGCCTTAGAACCAAGGAAGCTGATGGTGGAACTCTCAGCCTAAGGCCAAAAGCCTGAGAACCTAAGGGGCAGCTTGTTTAAGTCTTACAGTTCAAAGGTCAGACAGCCTGGAGTTCTGATGTCCACGAAAAGGGAAGAAGAGTGTTCCAGTGTTCCAGCTCTAGGAGAGAGAAGAAATGGCCTCTTTTCTGCCTTTTTTGTTCTACCTGAGCCCCGAGCCAGCTGCAGGGTTCTACCCACATCAAGAGTGGTCTTCCCCACTCACGCCACTGACCCACTTACCAGTCTCCTCTAGAACCACCTTCACAGACAAACCTAGAAACAATGCTTCACCAGTTCTCCTGCTATTGTTAAATCCAGTCAAGTAGACATCTGAAATTAATTATCACAGAAATGTTTGAAATGTGAATCAAATTTCTCATCCCCATACCAGATGTTAGAACACAGAGTAGCAATACCTTTTTCAAGGAAATTAAAGAAAAATAAATAAGAAGAAACTTCCTATTTATGGTTTCTGAAGAGTGAAACTGGGATAGGTGGTGGAGAAAAAACTTTTTTGGCCAGGTGCAGTGGCTCACGCCTGTAATCCCAGCACTTTGGGAGGCCGAGGCGGATGGATCCCTTGAGGTCAGGAGTTTGAGACCAGCCTGGCCAACATGGTGAAACCCTGTCTCTCCTAAAAATACAAAAACTAGCCAGGCATGATGGCGGGCACCTATAATCCCAGCTACTCAGGACGCTAAGGCAGGAGAATTGCCTGAACCTGGGAGGCAGAGGCTGCAGTGAGCCAAGATAGCACCAATGTGCTCCAGCCTGGGCAACAAAGCGAGACTCTGTCTCAAAAAAAAAAAAAAAAAAAAAAAAAAAAAAAAAAAAAAAAAAAAAAAAAAAAAAAAAACCACTTTTCCTTTACATTTTATCCCTTTTGTACTTAAAAAATACACTCATCCCTATAATTTTTAAATTTAAATCATAACAAAAAGGTAGTATATTGTATTATCATACTGCTTTTCAAACTTTAATGTGCCTATGAATCAATGAAGGCTCTTGTTAAAATACATATTCTGATTCAGTCAGTGTTGAGTGTTATCTGAGACTGCATTTCTAACAAGCTCCTATGATATGTGGATGTTGCTTGTCCTAGAACCACACTTTGACTAGCAAAGGTGTACAAGTTCAAAGAAGAGTGCAGCATTCTGTCTCAGCAGTCCTAAAGTTTGGTGTGCAAAAGATTCACCAATGGAGTGTGTTAAAATACAATTTCCTCAGTCCCAGTGCAGGAGATTCCAATTCAGTAGGCTTGGAATAAAGTTATAGCATCCACATTTTCAATGAACTCTACTCTTAATTCTTCTACATGCTTACATTTACATTATGTTATGCTGACAAACTTTTCATAGATAAAATTTTAGAGGATGTTGTTTTGTTTATCTCTGACAATCATTTTATATGTTTATCATGTACAACATGATGTTTTGAAATATGTATAAGTTGTGGAATGGCTAAATTGAGCTAATTAACATATGCATTACCTCACATACGCATCAGTTTTTGTGGTGAGAACACTTAAAATCTATCTTAGCAATTTTCAAAACACAATACATTGTTATTAACTGTAGCCACCATGTTGTATAATAGATCCCTTAAACTTATTACTTTTATCTAACTGAAATTTTATATCCTTTGACCAACATCTCCCTAATCCATGAGTTCAACTTTTTAAGATTCCACATACAAGTGAGATCATGTGGTATTTGTCTTTCTGTGTCTGACTTATTTCACTTAATACAATATTCCCCAGCTTCATCTATGTTGTTGCAAATAACACAAGTGTCCTTCATTTTTAAAGCTGAATAGTATTCCATTGTGTATATGTGCCACATTTTCTTTATCCATTTACCTGTTGAAGGACACTTAGCTTGATTTCATGTCTTGGGTATTTTGAAAAATGTTGCAAAGAACATGAGAGTGTAGATATCTCTGTCATACACTGATTTTATTCCCTTTGAATATATACCCAGTATTGGGATTGCTGGATCATATGGCAGTTCTATTTTTAATTTTTTGAGGAATTTCCATACTGGTTTTCATAATGGCTGCACTAATTTGCATTCCTGCCAATAGTGCACAAGTGTTCCCTTTTCTTCACATCCTTGTCAATATTTATCTTTTGTCTTTTTCTCTTTTTCTTTTTTTTTTTTTGAGATAGTGTCTCACTCTGTTGCCCAGGCTGGAGTGCAGTGGCACGATCTCGGCTCACCGCAACTTCCGCCTCCCGGGTTCAAGTGATTCTCCTGCCTCAGCCTCCCAAGTAGCTGCGATTGCAGGCACGTGCCACCACCCTTGGATAATTTTTGTATTTTTAGTAGAGACGAGGTTTCACCATGTTGGCCAGGCTGATCTTGAAATCCCAACCTCAGGTGATCCGCCTGCCTCGGCCTCCCAGAGTGCTGGGGTTACAGGCATGAGCCACTGTGCCTGGCCTTTTTTTTTTTTTCTTTTGAGACGGAGTCTCTTGCTCTGTTGCCCAGACTGGAGTGCAGTGGCACCATCTCAGCTCACTGCAACCTCCACCTCCTGAGTTCATGCAATTCTCTTGCCCCAGCCTCCTGAGTAGCTGGGATTACAGGCGTGCACCACCACACCCGGCTAATTTTTAGTATTTTTAATAGAGACGGGATTTCACCATGTTGGCCAGGCTGGTCTTGACCCCCTGACCTCAAGTGATCCACCCGCCTCAAACCCCCAAAATGCTGGGATCACAGATGTGAGCCACCACACCCAGCAATCTTTTGTCTTTTTCATAATAGCCATTCTAACAGGTATGCAGTGAAATCTCATTGTGGTATTAATTTGCATTTTTCTGCTGATTGGTGATATTGAGCATTTTTTTGTACACCTGTTGGCCATTTGTATATATTCTTTTTAGAAATGTCTGTTCAGATCCTCTGCCTATTTTTTAATTGGTTTGTTTTCTTGCTATTGAGTTCCTTTATATATTTTGGATATTAAGCCTTTATCATATGTATTCTGGGGATGTTGTTTAATCTATACTCCCCTGTTAATTAACTTTTATTAAGAAATGTTGTAGAGTTTTTGGATTGCATTAAAATTAGGTAGATACCAAATTGAAATGGAATTTGTGACTTTTAGCAAAATACTAAAATAAGGTGTTTAATAATTAAAAGAATTAAAATGAAATGTTGGTTATATTTTAAAATTTGTATTTATGTTTAATGGCTAATGAAAGCTTAGGAAGCTGTCCCTAAAATGCCACATTATGTTAATTATGTATTATCTACGTTCAAAAACTATAAGAGAAAAATTAACAAATTAATGTCCTGGGCTAGAGAAAAAAATCTTAATATGTAAATCTTAATTTGCTTTTGGAGATTCAGTCCTTAGCACCATTAACAAATCAATACAGAGTAAAAGAGAGTGATTTTAGTTTTTACTTTGAATATCCTCTAATGTCTCCCTACAAATTGCCAGGTTCCAAACCTCAACCAATGCTTAGAAACTTTAAGTATAATATTTACTGAGACTGTCATTTATTCATTGGTTGGTTCATTCCTTTTTTAATAGTTATTAAACACCCATTTTGTGGTACTCTGTAAAGTGTGTGTCCTGCTCCCACTGAGTTCTCAGCCATGCTTGGAGACCCGTGAAATTAATTTGCATCAAAATGCTCAACGTTGGTCTTTCTTTTAAAAGCGGGAAAAGACGCTAAAAACTATAGGCTATTATACAATGGGATTCCGACCTGATAAATCCTGATAAGGTGAAAATGCATTTAATCCACCTAACCTACTAAATACCATAGCTTAACCTAGTCTACCTTAAACATGCTTAGAACATTACATTAGTCTACAATTGGGCAAAATTGTCTAACACAAAGCCTACTTTATATTAAAGTATGGAATATCTCATATAATTTATTTAATTCTGTACTAAAAGTGAAAAACAGGATGGTTGTGTGGATACTTACAGTATGGTTTCTACTGAATGTGTATCATTTTTACACCATTTTAAAGTCAAAAAATTGTAAACTAAACCATGGTAAGTTGGAGACCATCTGTATAAGTAATATGGAAATTCATTATTTTTACAGCAATAAAGTAATGAGAACAGAGAAAGTTTCCATAAATGCTATCCTCAATCCTAATCTCTATGCATTTAGATATGCATTTACATATATATTTATGTGTGTGTGCATATATGTATATATACACACACATATATATGTATATAGGTATGTAAGTCAGCCCTCTGTATCCGTGGATTCCGCATCTGTGAAATCAAAGAGCCATGGATCAAAAATACTCTTAAAAAACCTTGTGTCTGTACTAAACACGTACAGACATTTTTTTCTTGTCATTATTCCCTAAACAATAGAGTATAACAACTATTTACATGTGTTTACATTATATTAGGTATTATGTGTAATCTAGAGATGATGTCAAGTACGTAGGAGAATGTACACGGATTATATGTAAATACTACACTGTTTTGTATCAGGCACTTGAGCATCTGTAGATTTTGGTATCTGTGGGAGGAACTGGAACCAATCCCACGTGGATACCAAGGGACAACTCTATATGCATGCATATATGGATAAAGAGAGCTATGTACATAAATATAATATAGAGAGATATCTACAAAAACTTATGTATATATGTATATATCTCTCCTTTGTATGCATATGTGTATATATATGTGATTTGGTGTGAGTGTGTGATGTTCTACACAGTTGATGTTTTATCATACATTTTTAGCAATTTGATTTTTTTTCATTAATATGTCGTAGAGATCTTACTGTGTTAGTCCATACAGATTGACCTCATTGTCAATTCGTAGGCTAAACAGGATACCTATTTAGCTATTGCTCAATTGATGATGATCTATGTTGCTTCCAGCTTTTGCTTTTACAAATATACTGCACTGAACATCCTTGTACATGCTTCATCATGCCCACCTAAGTGGGGATTTCTATAGAATAAACGCTGAATAGTCAGATTATTATGGGTTATACAATGTTTAGGTTTTCTTAGATACTTCTAAACTGCTAAATTAATTTGTTTAGCAGATATAATCTTATCAGTATTACAAAGTATTAAATCTTAACAAGTTGGCTTTGTGAAAAATAACTTGTTTTTGCTCAGTTTAATTTCCTCAGTGACAAACTGTAGCCCTGTAGATAAGGAAGAAGAAAGAAGGGCAATATATTTGAAGTGAAGATTTGGATTTGAATTATAGAAGTTTCTTGCTAATGAACCTGGGAAAACTGCTTTGAAATATACGATGATCAGATACCCAATTAACTAGAGTACTAAAAACAAAAGCCAGTAATTAAAACCTTACCATCAACCTGAGGGTCTTTATTGAAGCTCTTCTGGTTTAATACTCTTAATTTTTTTAAAAAAATCAATCTGTTGAATGTATTAAAAAGCTGGCTTAATAAAACCTGAAGATAGCTTAAGAATAATGAGAAACTCGGGCTTATTTTGAAAAGTGACCATTAAAACTAAAATCTTCCTTATAGGTGATTCTATTCAATGATTCAGTCCACTGATGTTTAGAATGGATTCCATCAGCTGGTAAAAGGCACTCCTTCAGGATGGACACTCTCCCCCTGCAGCTATCCACAGCCCTCATGCCAACCAAACTGCTCCTGTTAAGGCCCAGTGCTAACACTGACCCTCACTGTTCATACTCAGGCTGTTAGTTGCTAGTCTGCATATACTTATAGGATTTCTTCGTACTGTTATGGATTATATCGACTCTTTCTCCTCTCTCTCTTTACTCCCATGTGGACTCCTGGAAGACTGAACCATGACATATTCATTATTGTATTCCCAGCTGACAGTACTGTGCTTAGGAGCCTAGTGGTTAAGATATTGGCTTCAAGCAGATCTGTATTTAACCTCATTTCTGCCACTTTCCAGCTTTGTGTATTCTTGAGGAAATTGTTCCAATACATAGGCCTCAGTTTCCTTTTCTGTAAATTGGGACCACCTACCTTAAAGGATCATTAGGAGAGGATTAATTTTAATATCTGCATGCTTAGTATAGTATAAACAGTGAAATGATAGCTGCTGTTAATGTTACCAACATAAGGAACATATATGTATCTTTACTTTGTTTTCTCTAGTATAAGCCGTATCCCTGCATTTATTCAGCACAGACTTGGAGAGCTCAGCATAAAATATAGTCAGGTTTTCAAGATATTTGTCTGCTCAGACACTTAAAAATTTGGTGGAAGACACAGCATTTGCTCCTAGTAGCGATAAACATATCCAGGAATGAGCTGGCATACTAAGCTCAGTGGTCTCCTATTTGGCCCAGTGTAGAGATTTTAGAAAGGCGGGGGACCACATATAAAGAAAATAATTGAGCATCTTCAGAATGCAATCTAATAGCTAGCTTTATCACCTTCCCAGGAATGTGTGCTTAATAAAATAAGTCTTGGAGAACATTTACACATTGGTACTATGTTAGAGAAAGGTCTTTAATCCCTCTTTGGGAATTAACACACATATCATTTTTACTTCTATACATATAAAATATTTATTCTTCCCACCAAGAGCTATACTGCTGCTGTTGAAATCTGGGTCTAGGAATTATTGTTTACATCTCAGCTCGGTCACTTTATACCCCTCTCTGCTGTGTTTATGTTGAAGATTCTAAGCTGCCTTAGCGCTCTATCAACTCGGCATTTGGATCCAAACTCATATCTTTTATGGTGACTGGCTGTCAAATTGGTACTCAATGTACTTTCTGCTCCTGAAACCCTTTCTGCTCCCCACTTTCTTCTCTGATTTTATGTGTCCTTTAATTTCCTCTTGAAAAATACGGGCTGCCAATGGCAATTCTTTCTGTGATCATGCTGCCTAGAGAGCTCCATTTCCTGTGCTACCCACCATTGCTGAACATCTCCTTGTCTGTCACAGTACCCCTGGTCTCCTCAGAAACAGACATGAAACACCGTCTCACTCTTTTTGAACAGTGAACTTTTACTTTCCCATTCCCTCTGACCTTCTCTGGGTGGTATGAAATAGAAAGCAGATATGGCGTATCAAAATTGTCTCCTTCAGTCAAGTTGCCACGGGGGAAAAACCCAAGATTCTGTGAGGCTACTGTGTCTCAGATCTTTCCTGGAAACATCATAAGCAAGAGCCCGTTCTCCATCATCCATCATTCTGAATCCCTGGAGCATATTCTAGGATGTGCGGTGTATGAGGACTCTCCTGGTGCCACCTTCTGCATTTGGTTTCCTGCCATCTCCTGTCTCAGGATTCAAGGCCTCATAGGCCTGGCTAGACTCCACACAGTATTCCTCCTGGTGGTGCCAAATTAACCAACCTGCCTTTGTATTTGGAACCTTCTCTGAAAGCTTTCCAGCAGTTTCTTATTGCCAAGGTCTCTGCTCCCAATTTTAAAGCCTTGAAGTCTCGCCTTTTCTCTGTCATCCCTCTAGCCTTGTTTGATCAATGACCACCCTGGCGTCCAGGGCTCTGTTTTATTCTGTGGGTGCTATTCTGTGTGTTTGGAAGGTTCCATTGTATGTCATCCACTTACTACCTGGTCCTCAGCCCACATTTGAAGCCAGCTATTTTGGTTTCCTTATTCTCTCAGTAACGTTCAGGTCTAGACACTGCCCTGGATGTGGGGTTTTATTTTCTTTCACGTGGGTGTCATGAGAGTCATTGTAATCCCCATGATATTAGTTGAAAACAAAGGTGTTGGATAGTGACTGTACATATACCTGAATACTTGCATCAAATAGGGGATTTTGGAAAATAGATCCTAAAAGGGAAACTTCTCATGGTGGAGAGTCAGTGAGGTGAATATTTTTAAGTTATTTTACTTGTTTTTCCCTCAAATCATTTCTCACAGGTACCACCTGATCATAAGATAAGCTTTGCTCTCCTCTTTCTTTCATACAGTTTCAGTTTCCCGTTCACCATGGCAGGTAATTTTTCCACGCAGTAGAGTGAGGGTAGGGTTGAGTTGTAGGCAGCCAAACTGCCTGGGTTTGAATCCCACTTTGGCCACTTATTAGCATTAGGTGTGTGATCTTGAGTGATGTTTTCTCTTCTCTTCTCTTTTTCTTTTCTTTCTTTTCATTTCTTTTCTTTTTTCTTTATTTTCTTTTCAGACAGTGTCTCACTCTTACTCTGTTGCCCAGGCACAATCATAGCTCACTGCAGGCTCAGACTCCTGGGCTCAAGCTATCCTCCTGCCTCAACCTCCCGAGGAGTTAGGACTACAGGTGCAAGCTACCATGCTTGGCTAATTTTTTATGTTATTTTTTTGTAGAGACACGGTCTTGCTTTGTTGCCCAGGCTGGTCTTAAGCTCCTGATCTCAAGTGATCTACCCACCTCAGCCTTCTAAAGTGTTGAGGTTACAAGCGTGAAGCACCACGCCTGGCTTTCAGTAATGTTTCTTAATCTTTGTTCCTCAGTTTCCTCAGGCATAAAATAGTTCTTACTTTATAGGGGGTTCTTGTAGGAATTACATAAGTTAAAATATTATTATCTTGAAATACAAAAGAAAAGTGATAAATTTTATCTACCTGTCACCACTCCTGTGATATCCATATGTATATTACTCTTATGCATCTGGACTTTGACTGATAAAAGACTTTTTTTGCTACTATTATGTACCTTAATCTTGCCTTTATTCTCTACTTGTATGCTCCTTGTATGTTTGCCCATGTTAATGGTTCGTAGTTTATCCCAGAGAACAGTGCTCCATACAAATGTTGCCTAATAAAAGCTTTTCAGTGAGCTTGATGACAAAGGACATTATCTTAGCTTTGCACAGCCTGAAAAATATTTAAATTCTGTATCTTAATCAGGCTGTTTTAACTCTATTTGTATATTTAGTCCATTTGTTAACCTCATCCTGTACTTTTTAATGTGATTATAATCTGTTTTCTCAGAATGATGAAGCTTGAATGAGATAATCTATAAATGAAAGTATGTTGTAAATAGAAAAGTGCCATGCAAATATAAAATATATTAGTAATAAATAACCTTATGGAGTCACAAAACAGTGTGTTATCTTTGGGTGAAAATAAGGCAGCTGTGATTTGATTCATGCAGTAGAAAAAGCCTTGAAGTAGATGTAAAGTATATGAGAGGTTTGCTTCTAAGTGAATTGATGACTATGATTACTTATTTGCTTTTAAATCTCTTTAGATGTTTATTAAACTTCTATCATGCTCCAAAATTAGTTTTTAAAAATTACTCAGTTTATTAAAACATAATTTTGTTGCATACCAACACTTATTAGGATACAACTTTATATGCTTTTGAGGAAAAGCAATGACCATTCGAGGTAAACCAACTACATGGCAGGTGCAATGTTACAAGTTTTACATTTGATAAGATTTTATTCTCTAGTTTCATACCTGGCATCCTGCTTAGCCTACCTTTACTGTCAGAGATCTTATCAGCAAGTAGCAATCTATTCCCTCAAGAAATGTTCCTGCTGATATGGAAAAATAGGAAGGAAATGTCACTGGAACCGTAATAGGCCTTTGTAAATCTTGGCTTAATACTGACACAAACAGCCATCCTGCTCTTAAATCCTCTGATACTCTTTAATTAAAGCCTTTTCAGAGCCCTGAAAATTACCAATAGGTAAGCTAAAATAAAATCTATTTTATTTGATGAAATGTGGCTTTAAGCACTTTTTCAAGACATATAAAAGTATTTGTCAATTTCTGTTAAGTTTTAGTAAAATAACAACTTACCTCCTTGATCTTAAATAAATATGTCTGCCCTTTTATTGTATCCTACCTGTTATCTAAAAGAGACTTGAAAAAGGTTATGATGTGTAACATATGCACCATAAAACTAATGAATTACTACTAGACAGTACTCTAGAAGTTGGCACAGAAAATAAAACAAATTTGTTCAAAAAGAGACTAATATAGTTATATAATGAGCAGCTGGTTTGTTTGACTCTCAGCTTTCTGGCAGCCAGGGGAAAAATGGAAATAGGCTAAATTATATATTCTCAGTATCATAAAGGAAAAAACATGTCAAATTCTTAATGTACTGTATTATGTACAGTATAACCGTATTCATAAATACAGTTATACATACATGCCTCACCACATGTTGGAAAAAACTTACTCAAAAACATGTCTGTTTTACTAAATTTATATTTTTAATTACTTTGCTTAAGTTAATGTGAAAAACTTTTTTTTATCCCTTGGGAATACTCTTTCTGTGCATGCAATTTTAGGTAGCAGCAGGGTATGGATGATAAAGAAAATTTTGCCATAGAGAAAAAAGTAAAAATTGTGAATGTATCTAATTTTAAAAATATTGGCTGTATAGTTAGGATTCTGACAAATTGCATAATGACTAGCTCTGTCAACAATTGGGAGGTAAGGAAGAACAAAAATAAATTGCTTTCAAAGTGTAGAATTTGTGAAAAGAATGAAGACCTCTATCTTCAGTGTACCTACTTGGAATTTGATTTCCAAAGCTCAAGTTTGTTTAAAATTTTAGCCTAGGAAAATATTGGTGTGCAATAGAAGAGGAAGGCAGATTGGTTACTGAAGTACAATAATGCACTTGTAGCAGGAGTGGGAGTCAGCTCAGGAAACATATATTCTTAGTTGAAATGCATTTGTTAGTAACATACTATTGACCACTTGAGAAAGAATAGTAGAGGAAATATTTTCAAGCAAACCAATATACTTATTTTCACCTTTCTAGAAATGTTTGAAGAAATGAAACAAAGGAAAGTGACTCACTGGGACTTATAACTGAGAGTCATGAGAGGGTAAGAAGTTATAGTGATAGAAAATAAAAACAAATTGCTTCTTTGGGTGAAACTGTGAAGTCTGTGGCAGATGGTTTCTAAATCAATAACCTTTTCTTCAGATTCGCATGTGGTGGAAGATAGTGTAACTATAGATTGTAATATACTGTCATACTTTATTAGCATTACTAAACCTTTCTGTTTGAAACCTAGGGGCACTTCGAAGAAGTTTCTTTTTAAAAAATTTATTCTGCTTAAACTGTCTAAATACAAATGGGTACAAATATATAGTTAGATCAAAGGAATAGGATTTGATAGCACAACAGGATGACTATAGTAAACACAGATATTTTTCATGTAAGCCCTTTGTACAGATACTTGAAGAGAGTTCCCTGGCCTATTTTTATATATGACGGTGGATAGATTTTATGTTTTCATTATTAAAGTAAATTGGACAAAACAGAGAATAGTTAGCAATTTATATTTGTTTTTATATATTATGTGCTTTGATCTTCATTATCAAATAACTTGTAATAAGGTCATGAGAATTCATAAACTAGCTTAAAATTATTTAATTGTACAAGTCTTTTCTTTGTGTTTGACTGACTGGTTTCACATTATTATCATATTGCTTCAAACCAAATATATAGGTTAATTTTCAACTCTAATGGAATTTGGCAGATTTAAGATTTTAGTTCTATAGAATAGTTTCATTTTGGGTTGTTCATGTTGTTAAAAGTTAGTTTTTAAACTGTATCAAATATCTGTATTGTAAATCTCTTCTATCAAGTGTCTTCTCAAATGTACATCAAATAGCACTTATATAATGTGTGGAATATACTTTATGTTTTAGGTGAATTCTTTCATTTATTTGCAAATAGCATTGTCAGGAAGATAGAAAAGGAATTATTTTTATTCCCGTTTTTTTTTTAGTAAGGAAACTTGGAAGCAAGTAGCTAGTAAATGACATGGAATCCTGGTTTCAAAAGCTCAACTCTTTCCTGGGTTCCAGATTGGTAGTTGACAATGAATTTGCTCCCAAGTTTGCATGAGAGGAACCTCAAAAATCAATAGCTCTAGAATATAGATATCTAAAAGGAAGAGAGGTTTAGCAGAAAGAAAATTCATAAAGATAGTGGTGCATTGTTTTTGATAGTGAAGAATTTATTCTTTAAACTAGATAACTGACTCAGAATAATTAAAT
The DNA here is from genome assembly GCF_000001405.40 of Homo sapiens. Lineage (NCBI taxonomy): Eukaryota > Metazoa > Chordata > Mammalia > Primates > Hominidae > Homo > Homo sapiens. The sequence goes on along the minus strand of NC_000005.10, from coordinate 95,190,374 downwards.
GCTGTCTTTATATTTAGCATCTCAGGCATCTTTTCCTCATGTCTTAATTTCCTTTTATTTCAAAATTAAAATGATGGTGCACTTTCCAAGAATTGGCTTCTCTGCAGGCTAGTTGGATATTTCCAGTGTCAGGACATCAGAATTTCCATGGCAGTTCCACAAGGCATAAATAGTAGAGAGCTGTTTGTATCCTTACCAGATTTCCCTTTCAGGCTGTAATATGCTGCTGGAGTGTTTGTGTTAGAAACACATTATTTTGCTTTAAAAACACGGCAAGCTTGAGGTAGTTGAAGGCCATTAATAAAGAAGCTGGTAGCTTCATCTTCTAAGCTTTTCCCTGGAACATGCTTCAATCTCTTTGCATATATATACGTCTCTCCCACCAAGTACGGATATTAAGCCCACTAATTAATATTTTCCATATCATTTAATCTCCTGCTCTATTTGTTAATTCTCTGGAAATGTTCAGTAATCAAAAGTGCATAGTCAAGGGAGGATATGATAAGTCAGGTATGTCCTTGAACCAACAGACCCCTTTTGTTTACCCAGTAAGTCTTGAAGATAACACTAATTAGGCACATGGAAAAATATGCAAATTATAGCCTGTACAAATTAAAAGTCATCATTAACAGTATCTCACGGAAATATAGACCTTAGGTTTCTCATTCCTCACACCCTCTGTGGTGTATAGAGGTGTTGTAATAGAGAAAAGAGGCTTTACTACTCCCAGATTTCCTGGATTCCTATTCAATGTGCCCTATTTCCTTGACTGGTATACCCTTCCCTTTAAGGCCATCTGACCAGGATCAAAGATGCCTGCATTAGAAACTCCCCAGACATTTCCTTGCCTCCATCTTCAATATCCTAGACTCCTCTCTGTCTTACAACCATACCGACACTTAAAAATAACTTGTTGAGTTGTTGAGGTATAATTTGCATACACAATAAAAAGCACAGATTTAAAGGATATGCTTTGATAAGTTTTGATAAATGTGTGTCGTATGTAACCACCACCTTAATCAAGATGTCTTTATATTTCCATCATCCTAGAAAGGCCTGCAGATTCTTTTGCAGTCGCTTCACTCCTCCCTTTCACCAACTCTTTAATTTTTTTCATCACCATTGATTAGTTTTATTTGTTCTGCAACTTCATATAAATGAAATATTGTCTTCTTTCATTCAGTATTGTCTGGGAAATTAACTATGGTGTTGCATGTATGAACAATTTGTTCATTTCTATTTCTGAGTAGGAAAATCTGCTTCTCCATTCACCTGTTGTTGGGCATTTGGGTTATTTCCGGTCTAGGACTGTTATGAAAATGCTACTATGAGATTGTATTCAAATCTTTTTGCTTTAATACACCTTTTTATTTTGAGATTTTTTAGATTCACGTGTGATTTTAAGACATAACACAGAGAGATTCCGTGTATCCTTTATTCAGTTTTCTCCAGTAGTAACATCTTACAGAATTATAGTACAGTATCATGACCAGGAATTGACATTGTTATCATCTACTGATGTTATTTAGATTTCCCAGTTTTACATGTACTCGAGTGTGTGTGTGTATATTTAGTTCTAGACAATTTTATTTCATGTGTAGTTTTGCATATTCACCACCCCTGTCAGAACAGTTTTGTCACCACAAAGATCTCCCGCATTGCCCTTTAATAACCACATACATCTCCTCCATCCCCAACCCCTGGAAATGAGTAATATATTCTCCATCTCTATAATCTTGTTATTTCAAGAATGCTATTTAAACGGAATCATATAATATGCAACTTTTAAGATTGACATTTTTCACTCAGCATCCTTCCCTTGAGATTTATCTAAGCTGTGTGTATATCAATGGGTTTCCTTCCCATCGAAGGTTGTTTCTAGTTTTTGGCTGTTACTAATAAAGCTGCTGTGAACATTAGTGTACATGTTTTTGTGTAAAGATAAGTTTTCATTGCTCTGGTATAAATGCCCAAGAGCACAATTGCTGGGTCATATGGTGATAGTATGTTTAGTTTTATATAAAACTGCTGAGCTGTTTTCCAGAATAACGGTACCGTTTTACATTTCCAGCATCATTGCACCGGTGAGCCAACTTCTCAGCATCATCAGCATTTGATGTTGTCACTCTTTTTTATCTGAGCTATTCTTACAGGTGTGCAGTGATATCTCACTGTAGTTTTAATTTGTTTCTTTAATGGTTAATGGTGTTGAACATCTTTTCATGTACTCATTTGCCATCTATGTATCTGTCTTGGTAAAATATCTTTTCCATGTCTTTTGTCCATTTTCTGTTTGAATGGTGTTTCTTTACTGTTGAGTTATGAGAATTCTTTTTAAAAATTTTTAATAATTTTTAATTGTGTGCGTACATAGTAGGTGTATATATCTATGGGGTACATGAGACGTTTTGATACAGGCATGCAATGTGTAATAATCACATCATGGAGAATGGGATATCTATCCCCTCAAGCATTTATCCTTTATGTTAGAAGCAATCCAATTATACTCTTTCAGTTATTTTTAAATGTACTATTAACTTAATATTGACTATAGTCACCCTGTTGTGCTATCAAATAGTAGGTCTTATTCATTGTTTCTTTTTGTACCCATTAACTATCCTCACCTGCTTCTTACCCTTCCCCCTACCCCCAATCCCTTACCAAAAAGATGGGATTGCCAGGCGCGGTGGCTCACGCCTGTAATCCCAGCACTTTAGGAGACTGAGGCGGGTGGATCACGAGGTCAGGAGATCACAACCATCCCGGCTAACATGGTGAAACCCTATCTCTACTAAAAATATCAAACAATTAGCCGGGCGTGGTGGCGGGTGCCTGTAGTCCCAGCTACTTGGGAGGCTGAGGCAGGAAAATCACTTGAACGCGGAAGGTGGAGGTTAAGATGAGCTGAGGTCACACCACCGCACTCCATCCTGGGCAACAGAGCAAGACTCCATCTCAAAACAAAAACAAAAAAACTTGATTTGAGCCCACAGATAAGTGAGAACATATGATGTTTGTCTTTCTGGGTCTGGCTTATTTCACTTAACATAATGATCTCCTTTTCCAACCACGTTGTTGCAAATGACAGGATCTCATTCTTTTTATGGCTGAATAGTATTCCATTTTGTATATGTACCACATTTCCTTTATCCATTCACCTGCTGATGGACACTTACGTTGCTTCCAAATCTTAGCTATTGTGAACAGTGCAGCAATAAACATGGGAGTGCAAATATCTCTTCGATTTACTGCTTTCCTTTCTTTTGGGTATATACCCAGCAGTTAGGATTGCTGGATTATATGCTAGCTTTATTTTTAGTTTTTTAAGCAACCTCCAAACTGTATTCCATAGTAGTTGTACTAATTTGCATTCCCACCAACAGTGTATGAGGGTTCCCTTTTCTCCACATTCTTGCCAGCATTTATTGTTGCCTGTCTTTTGGATATAAGCCATTTTAACTTTCATTGGCATCTTTATTAAAAGCCACTGGATGTATTTTGTGGGTCTGTTTCTGGATTCTGGGTTCTCTTCTGTGGCTCTCTCTGGATGGATCTAGGAATAGATCTAGAGTCTGTTCCCTAAAACACTACCATACTGTCTTGATTTTTCTAGCTAATAATGTAAGCCTTATTAAAAGGCAGAGTGATTTCTGTACCTACTTTATTCTTCTTTATCAACTTTCTTTTAGCTATTATAGGGCTATGCATTTCCATATAAATTTTCTCTATGTCCACAAAGCTGGGATTTTGATAGGAATTATATTAAACTCATATGTCAACTTGGGGAGAGTTAACCACTTCACTATGTTGAGTTTTCCAATCCATGAACAAGGTATATCTCTCCATTTATTTCTATCTTTCTTTTATTTCATCAGCATTTTGCAATTTTTAGCATAAGATCCCATGCACATTTTCTTAATATATTTTTAAGTATTTCATTTTCTTTGAAGTGATTCTAAATAGTATTATATTTTAAATTTCAGTTTCTGCATGTTAATTGTTAGTATATAGAAATATGATGGATTTTTGTGGATTGATCTTCTATCTTGCAACTTTGCAAAACTTGCTTATTAGGTCTGGGAGTTTTTTTTTTCTTTTTTTTCTTTTTTTTTTGGTAGATTCCTTGGGATTTTCTACATAGACAATTACGTTATCTGCAAATAGAGATGGGTTTACTTCTTCTTTCCCAGTCTGAATATCTTTTTTTTTCTTTCTCTTGCCTTATTTCAGTGGCTAGAACTGAACGTTTTATTTTTATTTTATTTATGTATTTATTTTGAGACAGAGTATCGCTCCATCACCCAGGCTGGAGTGCAGTGGCGCAATTTCGGCTCACTGCAACCTCTGCCTCCCAGGGTTTTTTGTTTGTTTGTTTGTTTGTTTTTGAGATGGAGTCTCTCTCTATTGCCCAGGCTTGAGTGCAGTGGCATGATCTTGGGTCACTGCAACCTCTGCCTCATGGGTTCAAGCGATTCTTTTGCCTCAGCCTCCTGAGTAGCTGGGATTACAGGTGCGTGCCACCATGTCCGGCTTATTTTTTTAGTAGAGACAGGGTTTCACCATGTTGGCCAGGCTGGTCTCAAACTCCTGACCTTGTGATCCAACTGCCTCATCCTCCCAAAGTGCTGGGATTACAGGCGTGAACCACCATGCCTGGCCTCACTTCCCAGGTTCAAGGGATTCTCCTGCCTCAGCTTCCCGAGTAGCTGGGATTACAGGCATGCGCTGCCATGCCTGGCTAATTTTCTATTTTTAGTAGAGACAGGGTTTCACCATGTTGGTCAGGCTGGTCTCCAACTCCTGACCTTAGGCAATCCACCCACTTCGATCTCCCAAATACTGGGATTACAGGTATGAGCCACTGCACCTGGCCTGAGAGTTCTATTTTTAAAAAACCATGAATGATCCTGTATTTTGTTAGCTGCCTTTTCTGTGCCAATTGATATGATTTCTCATCTCTAACCTGTTGATATGGTGGATTTCATTGATCAATTTTCCAAATATTAAACCAGCATTAAATATAGGGAACAAATACAAACTTGGTCATGGTATGTTATTGGATTTGAATTTGCTAATGTTTTGTTGAGGATTTCTGCATCTAAGTTCATAGAATATATTTTTTGTTTTCTTTGTTTGTACTGTCTTTGTTAGGTTTTGGTATCATTACAATACTAGCCTCATAAAGTAAGTTGAGAAACATTCCCTCCACTTCCGTTTTCTCAGAATGGTTGTGTAAAATTGTAACTGCCCAGTGGGTTCACCTTGCCCACTGCCTAGACAGAGCTGCTTTCTTAAGACAGGGGAACTGTAATGGAAAAAGAGTAATTCATGCAGAGCCGGCTGTGCAAGAGACCGGAGTTTTATCATTACTCAAATCAGTCTCCCTGAGCATTCGGGGATCAGAATTTTTAAAGATAATTTGGCAGATAGGGCCTTGGGAAGTGGGGAATGCTGATTGGTCAGGTTGGAGATGGAATCATAGGGGGTTGAAGTTAGGTTTTCTTAATGTCTTCTGTTCCTGGGTGAGATGGCAGAACTGGTTGAGGCAGATTACCAGTCTGGGTGGTGTCAGCTGATCCATCAAGTGCAGGGTCTGAAAAATGTCTCAAGTACTGATCTTAGGTTTTACAATAGTGATGTTATCCCCAGGAGCAATTTGGGGAGGTTCAGACTTTTGGAGCCAGAAGCTGCATGACCCCTAAACTGTAATTTTTAATCTTGTAGCTAATTTGTTAGTCCTGTAAAGGCAGACTGGTCCCCAGGCAAGAAGGGGGTCTTTTCAGGAAAGGGCTGTTATCAGTTTTGTTTGATAGTTAAACCATGAACTGAATCCTTCCCAAAGTTAGTTTGCCCTACACCCGGGAATGAACAAGGACAGCTTAAAGGTTAGAAGCAAGATGGAGTCGGTTAGGTCTGATTTCTTTCACTGTCATAATTTGCTCAGTTATAATTTTGCAAAGGTGGTTTCAAAATTAGTGTCAATTTTTTAAATGTTTGGTAAAATTCTCCAGTGAAATTATCTGGACCTGAATATTTTTCTTTGGAGAACTTTTTGATTATGGATTCAGTTTCTTTATTGTTATTTGGATGTGTAATCCTTTTTGTGGACACGTATTTCCTTTTGGGCAAATATCTAGAAGTTGGAGATTCTATACCTTTGGGTCAGTAGATGTTAAACTTCATTTAAAAAGTGCCAAACTCCTTTTTTTATTATTATTATTATACTTTAAGATCTGGGATACATGTGCAGAACGTACAGGTTTGTTACATAGGTATACATGTGCCATGGTGGTTTGCTGCACCCACCAACCCATCATCCACATTAAGTATTTCTTCTAATGCTATCCCTCCCCTAGCCCCTCACCCCCCAACAGGCCCCGGTGTGTGATGTTCCCCTCCCTGCGTCCATGTGTTCTCATTGTTCAACTCCCAATTATGAGTGAGAACATGCGGTGTTTGCCAAACTCTTTTTCAAAATGTTCACGCCATATTATACTCCAAAGAACACTGTAGCAAGTTTCAGTTGCTCTTCACCCTTCTTTGGTATTGTCAGTCTGATTAATTTCAGCCATTCCAATAGATCTGAAGTAGTATCTAATTGTGATTTTTATTTTTATTTCCTTCATTAATGAAGGTGGACATCCTTTTATGTACTTATTTACCATTCTCATACTTTTTTTGGCGAATGTCGGCTCAATCTTTGCCCAATTATTTTGCTTGTTTGCATGTTTATTTTTAGTCAGTAGTTTGTCTTTTTCTTGAGTTGCAAGATCTCATTATATATTTTGGATATACAATATGTCAGATATATGTATTTCAAATTCATGCTCCAAATTTCTGGCTTTCCTTTGCATTTTCTTGATATCCTTTGAAAAGTAAAAGTTTTAATTTTGATCAATTGCAGTGTATTGTTTTTCCTTCTATGTTTGTGCTTTCATGTTCTCATTAATAAATTTTTAATTCTAATAAATATAAATTATATTTATTTTAAATTAATAAATGAACCTACTCCATGGCTGTAAAATTTTTCTCCTATGTTTCATTCTAGAAGTTTTAAGGCTTATGCTTAGATTTATGTTTTAGGCTATGATTCATTCTTTGTATGGTGTGAGGTTGAGGTTTATTATTTTTCATAAAGATGCCCAGTTGATTCAGCATAATTTTTTGAGACCACTATCCATTTCTCTTTGAATTGCCTTGGCACATTTGACAAATATCAATTAACCACTTATGTATGGATCTATTTCTGGACTCTATTCTGTTCCACTGATATATTCATCTGTCCTTATACTGGCGCTGTCCTGATTTGATTATTGTAGCTTTATAATATTCTTTTTTTTTTTTTTTTTGAGACGGAGTCTTGCTCTATCACCCAGGCTGGAGTGCAATGGTGCGATCTCAGCCCACTGCAACCTCTGTCTTCCAGGTTCAAGCGATTCTCCTGCCTCAGCCTCCTGAGTAGCTGGGATTACAGGCACCCGCCACCATGTCCGGCTAATTTTTATTTTGTATTTTTAGTAGAGACGGATTTTACCATGTTAGCCAGGATGGTCTTGATCTCCTGACCTTGTGATCCACCCGCCTCGGCCTCCCAGCTTTATAATATTCTTTAAGCCAGTTAACATGAGTCCCCCCCATTTTTTTTATAATTTTAAAAATGATTCTGACTATGGTAGTTATTTTTGTTTCTTTATACAATGTTTGCTTTCCACAGTGGTGTGGGACTGTAAAAATGGCCATGCAAGCTGAAACCATGCAAAATGATTGTAAAAATCAATGAAAATATTACTATTGTTCCATAACCTATAAAACATTTTGATATTAAAAAATCTCTTACTGCTTAAAGTTATGAAAGTATAAGAAAATGAAAAAATAGTACAACCAATACTAATTTAACATACTATAGTTTCAAACATTAGAAACATTCAAAATTAAAGTATTTTATATTCTGGGAAAAAAGTGTCAGGAGTAGTTTGAACAGCGCTTGCCTTCTTCTTGTATAACCTACCATACAGAGTGAGCATCTTCTCAATATCTTATCAAATCATCATGCTCTTTTCTAAGTTTGAATCACCTTCCAATGTTTTCTCCTTTGTGCCTTCAATATCATGATGTATCTTTGAGAATTCCTTTAAGGGGAAGTTTTTCAGCAAGCGTGACTTCTGGGGCATCTTCATCCTTTTCTTCACACCCACTTTTCCTCATGTGTGTTGATAGCTGTGCTTCACTGAGTTCCTTTGGTTATAGAGCTATAGTTTCTCAAATGATGCCAGTATCAATATTCCCATGGTCAGATATTTCTTTTGTAACTCTATTTACATTTTATTTTTATTTTATTTTGTGTTATCATTTGTTGTTTCTTTGCTGCTTTTTCATCTTTGTTGTCTAATTCTCTCTTTCAGTGACCCGTTTTCATAAAACATCCTATGGGTTTATCAGTGGGAGACAAAGAGGCATCCAAAGTCCATGCTTTGCTGTCTGTGATGAACTGAATAACAAACACAGTGAGCAATCACTAACGGATGGTGAAAGGAGTGATGCAATTAGTTACTGATCATTATGCACATCTCTCTTTTCACATAGCGATTTGTGGACTGAAGGGCTGGTGGCAAATTTTGTATCTTATGCAATTACTTACTGTTAATCTACCATGAGAACTGAAATTTGAAGCATGCTGTTGAGGGACTAGGGTTTTTATTTAAAATGTTGTAACTGAACCCCATGCATATCAAAAGTGTGCTAAGTGAGGATTGTCTCTCTCTCTCTCTCTCACCCTGTGTATGTATGTGTGTGTGTACTTATAATGGAATATCAAGAGGTATGATAATTTTTATGAAGGAAAATGAAGAGGGAACAGGGATGCGAACAGGAAGTGCTCTTTTATATAAAGTCATCATGGAAGACATCCTGCTGAGCTGACCTTTAGGCAATCAATCAATAAAGCACTGCTAAGATTGAAGGAGGTGGGGAATATTATGTGGAAGGAATAGCAAATGCAAATCCCCCAAAAGAGGAATGAGCTTGTAGTATAAAAACAGCAGAATGTAGACGTGTAGCTAGAGTGAGCTAGAGGGAGAGAATTAGAAGATGAGCTTGGAGAAGCACAAAGAGGACAGATCACAGGAGCCCTTGTAGGCTGTGGTAAAGAGTTTGGATTTTATACTTTGTGTGATGAGAAGCTGCCAGACAGTTTTAATCAGAGGAGTGATGTGATTCAATATGCATTTTTAGAGGATCATTCTGGAAACTGAGCTAAAAGTTGACTATGGAATAGCTATAGTGGAAACAAGAAAACCCCTTCCTGGCTGGAGGCCAAGTTGGGAGGTTTTTGCAGCAGTTCAGGTGAGGAATAATGATGGTTTGGACCAGGGTTTTAGCAATAGGGTTTAAGAAGAGGTCAGCTTCAGGGTATATCCTGAAGACCAAACTGAGCAAACTGATAGATTAGGTATGGGCTGTGAGGGAAAGAAAGGAATTAAAGATCATTCCTAAGTTTTTGGCTAGGGCAAGTAAGGGTATAATGGTATGATATATAAAGATGGAGAAGATGGGAAGCAGCAGCTGGGAAGGGAAAATTAAAAGTTTTCCTTTAGATGTGATAAGTTGAGAGGAATATTATCACCTATTCTAGAGCTCAGGGAAGAGACGGTGGCTAGAGATACAAATTTGGGAGTCATTGATATATAAATGCTATTTAAAACCTCAAACTGGTTGAGAATCATATAGGGAGTTACTAGATACAGAACAGTAAGAGGTTAAGGACTATACCCGGTAGTGCCCCGAACTGTAGACGTGAGATAGACAGGGAAAGTTTAGCAAAAGAGAAAGAGCAGCCAGAGAGGTGGTGGAAAAGCCAAGAAAGCACAGTGCCCAGAAACCAAATTTTAGTAACATGTGAAGAAGGAGGAAGCTTTCAGCTTTGGTCAAAATGCTCCTAAGAGGTCAAGTAGTGTGGACTAATTAACCATTGAAACTGGAATATTAAGATCAATCTGGACCTAGACAGGGTTGTTTTGCTGGAGTAACATGGCCTAAGGCCCAACTGGAATGTTTGGAGGCAGACAGGGAGGTGGGAATGGAGAGGGAAAATAGTGACTGCCTCCTACATTGTTTCTTTGTTGACTTTTTGTCTTCATGACCTGTCTAGTGCTGACAGTGGAGTATTCAAGTCCCCCACTATTGTTGTGTTGCCTTCTGTTTCATTTGGTAGGTCTAGTAGTAATTGTTTTATAAATTTGGGAGCTCCAGTGTTAGGTGCATATGTATATTTAGGATTGTGATATTTTCCTGTTGGATTAGTCCTTTTATCATTGTATAATGTCCCTCTTTGTCTTTCTTAACTGCTGTTGCTTTAAAGTTTGTTTTATTCTGATATAGGAATAGCTACTCCTGCTTGCTTTTGGTTTCTATTTGAATGGAATATCTTTTTCTACCTCTTTACCTTAAGTTTATGTGAGTTCCTATGTGTTAGGTGAGTCTCCTGAAGACAGTAGAAACTTGGTTGGTGAATTCTTATCCATTTGCCATTCTGTATTTGTATTGAGATGTGAGCTACTATTCTGTTTATTGTGCTATTTGTTGCCTGAATACCTTGTTTATTTTTTCATTGTGTTATTGTTACATAAGTCCTGTGAGATTTATGCTTTAAGGAGGTTCTATTTTGGTGTGTTTTGAGGATTTGTTTCAAGATTTAGAGCGCCTTTTAGCAGTTCTTGTAGTGCCAGATTGGTAGTGGTGAATTCTCTCAGCATTTGTTATGTCTGGAAAAGACTGTATCTTTCCTTCATTTATGAAGCCTAGTTTCTCTGGATAAAAAATTCTTGGTTGATAATTGTTTTGTTTAAGGAGGCTAAAATAGGACCCCAATTACTCTAGCTTGTATGGTTTCTGCTAAGAAATCTGTTAGTCTGATAGGTTTTCCTTTATAGGTTACCTGATGCTTTTGCTTCACAGCTTTTAAGATTCTTTCCTTCATCTTGACTTTAGATAACCTGATGACTATGTGCCTAGATGATGATCTTTTTGTAATGAATTTCCTGGATGTTCTTTGAGCTACTCGTATTTGGATATCTAGATCTCTTGCAAGGCCAGAGGAGATTTCCTTGATTATTCCCTGAAATGTGTTTTCCAGACTTTTAGATTTCTCTTCTTCCTCAGGAACACCACCAGTTATTCTTAGGTTTGGATGCCTAACATAGTCCCAAACTTCTTGGAGGCTTTGTTCATTTTTAAATATTTTTTGTCTTTGTCTTTGTCAGATTGGGTTAATTCAAAAGCTTTGTCTTTGAGCTCTGAAGTTCTTTCTTCTGATCATTTTATTCTATTACTGAGACTTTCCAATGCATTTTGCATTTCTCTAAGTGTATCCTTGATTTCCAGAAGTCGTGATTGTTTTTTATTTATGCTATCTATTTCACTGAAGATTTTTCCTCTCATATCGTGTATCATGTTTTTGATTTCTTTAAGTTGGAGTTCACGTTTCTCTAGTGCCTCCTTGATTAGCTTAATAATGGGCCTTCTGAATTCTTTTTCTGGCAATTCAGAAATTTTGTCTTGGTTTGGATCCATTACTGGTGAGCTGGTGTGGTCTTTTGGGGATGTTAAAGAAACTTGTTTTATCGTAATACCAGAATTATTTTTCTGGTTCCTTCTCATTTGGATAGGCTATGTCAGAGGGAAGATCTGGAACTCAAGTGCTGCTGTTCAGATTCTTTTGCTCCATGGGGTGCTCCTTTGATGTGGTGTTCTCCCCCTTCCCCTAGGGATGGGGCTTCCTGAGAGGCGAACTGCAGTGATTGCTTTTGCTCTTCTGGGTCTAGTCACCCAGCAGAGCCTACCAGGCTCTGAGCTGGTACTAAGGAATGTCTGCAAAGTGAAATAGACTCTGTGTGGGTCCTTGCTTGTATTTTTCTTTAGTGTGCTGGTTTTGTGTTGGTTGGCCTTCAGCCAGGAACACAAGAGTGCACCACTGCACTCTAGCCTGGGCGACAGAGCAAGACTCTGTCTCATTTTCCAGAGCGTATCAGCTGCAGCTGTATAAGCAGGATCAGGCAGTGGGTGGGGTTATAGAGCTCCCAAGAGATTATGTTCTTTGTCTTCAGCTGCCAGGGCAGGCAGAGAAAGACCACTAGGTGGGGACAAGGATAGGCCTGTCTGATCTCAGAGTCTCCTTGGGTGGGCCTTGCTGCAGCTGCTGTGGGGGATGGGAGTGTGGTTCTCAGCCCAATGGAGGTATGTTCACAGGGGGATTATGGCTGCCTTTGCTGAGTCACACAGGTCACCAGGGAAGTGGGGGAAAGACGGCAGTCACAGGCCTCACCCAGTTCCCACATAGCCTGCAGTCCACTTAGGAGCATGCTGACCAAAGTCAAGAGTTTCCCCATTCTCAAAACACTACAGAAATTTGATTTGTAGGCACTACATTTTTTTGCTTTCCCACCACCTCACTGACTGCTTTATCGTAATCTCTTTTACTAAATTTTTCCTATTTTACCTCTACAATTTGGGATCCCACCTGGTATAGTACTTAACTTCCTCCTGTTTTCTGTCTAGTAATTCCTTATATGATCTCAACCAGCTTGGGTTTTAAATAGACACAAGCAAAATTCCAATTTTGGTTACCAGTCAGTGTACATTAACTGTGGTAATTGCAATAAAGCACAACTGCTACCTCTTCAGTCCACAAATCACTATGCAAATAACGAATGTGCAACTTGATCAGTGACCAATCACGTTACTCCTTTCACTGCATGTCTGTTATTCAGCTCATGCACAGATGGCAAAGCATATAGCTATGTTTCTTGTCGCTCAGTGATATAACTGGATAATAGAGCTTTTAAGATACTACTCTTAATGCTTAATGTTTTTTTAATGCTCCAGATAACCGTGATTCTCTTGGGGACTTAAATGAAAATGTGAATATTTGCTTTCTACCATTAAACATAACTTCATTAATCCAGCCAATGGATCATAGAATTATTTCAACTTCTAAATCTTAGATGGACTTTCAGACAGAGTATTAAACCGGAGATCATACAATTTATCTGAGTTTTGTAAAAGCACATTGCCTTTGGAGTCTTCCCTACAGCTCTGCCTAGGGCCCAACTCATCAGATTTTGGACTCATTAAATCTCCACAATCACAGGAGCCAATTCCTTAAAATAAATCTCTTTCTCTCTGTGTGTATGTGGGTACATGTAAATATAAATATATAAATATAGATATAAAAATAAATATATATTTCTATGTATACACACCCTAATTCTGTTTCTCCGGATAACCCTAATATATATTATGTGTATATATTATGTATGTGTATTTCATGTCTCTCTCTCTCTCTCAAATTAGCTGGGCATGGTGGCGGGCGCCTGTAGTCCCAGCTACTCGGGAGGCTGAGGCAGGAGAATGGCGTGAACCCAGGAGGCTGAGCTTGTAGTGAGCGGAGATTGCACCACTGCACTCTAGCCTGGGCGACAGAGCAAGACTCTGTCTCAAAAAAAAAATGTAGGTATATATATATTTTTATTTTTTATATTTGAGACAGTGTCTCACTCTGTTGCCCAATCTTGGCTTACTGCAGCCTCGATCTCCCAGGCTCAGGTGATTCTCCCCACTTCAGCCTCCTGATTAGCTGGGACTACAGACATTACAGGCATGCACCACCATGCCCAGCTAATTTTTTGTATTTTTAGTAGAGACAGGGTTTTGGCATGTTGGCCAGGCTGGTCTCAAACTCCCGGACTCACAAAATCTATCCTCCTTGGCCTCCCAAAGTATGTATATGTATTTTTAAATGAAAACTTATTGGAGAAAAAGACTTTATATCAATACTGCTGTTTTTGTTGTTGTTTAAAACAGAGTCTCACTTTGTCGCCCAGGCTGGAGTGCAGTAGTACAATCTCAGCTCACTCCAACCTCTGCCTCCTGGATTCAAGCGATTCTCCTGCCTCAGCCTCCTCAGTAGCTGGGATTACAGGTGTGTGCCATCACACCTGGCTAATTTTTGTATTTTTAGTAGAGATGGGGCTTCACCATGGTGGCCAGGCTAGTCTCGAACTCCTCGGCTCAAGTGATCTGCCCACCTTTGCCTCCCAAAGTTCTGGGATTACAGGCGTGAGCCACCACGCATGGCCTACTACTGCTCGTTCTTATGTGCCCCAGACCTAGAATAGTGCTGGGCATACTAAACAAATATTTGTTAAAAAAAAATACATTTTATCAATTAGAATAACAAAGATAGTTTTTAAGTCCTTTCACATCAAGTAGCTCATTTGATTTTCTCAAGGAGGCAAGAAGGCCTATAAATAGGAATCACCAGTATTTTATAGGGAAGAAATGCAGACTCAGAACGCTGGCATGAGGTTTTGGTGTTAGAGCCAGATTTCTTGCCTTTCAGCCTGCGTTTTGTCCATCTTATCCTGATATTCTGCTAGCACTTCTGGAAAACAAAAGGGTAATAGAGATGTCAGTTTTTTATGTTTTTGTTTTGTTTGGTTTTGAGAAAACCTTATGTAATTTTTCTTTCTTTTGGAGTGAACTGAATTCACTGGGGGAAGCATGTGCTGGAGGCCAGCAACATCCTGGCAGGTGTGAGTGGGTGGGCCTCTGAGGGCCGTGCTGAGGACACCTTGTTTACGTAGAGGAAACAGGACTGCAGAAAGGCATTTCTCCTTACACTTAAAATCCAGTTGTGCTGAAAATCTGGACCTACCCATAAGCTATTTCAAGCAGTCTTCACCAAAGCCATCCTTTAGAATGCTTTAGAATTTGATTTGCAAGTGGATTTTTCTGTTATGGGAGTCAGGGTTTATTGTGTGGTAGGAGGAGAATTTACTTTGGATATTCTTTTAATTCCTTCCATGTGCCCCAAATGTTTTTCTAATTGTTCCTCAGCTGAGAAGATAGCTTCATGAAGGAATAGAGGGAAAGGGTACCAATGTTTGTTGAAACAGGTGCCAGTCAGCCACACTGAGTGAAAACCAAACTGAGTCCAGGAACACGAGTTTGGTTTCAAGCTTCTTGTGCCATTTCCTGCGTGTTTGCCTGCTAAAGGGCAGTTGAGTGTTCAAAGCTATCCCTCTCAATTGAAAACTCATCTGACAATAATGAAGCGTGTCAGCTCAGAAAGGCATTAGGAGCTGGAGACATAGCCAAGTGCTTGTATTCAACATTGATTAATGAATTGGTTCTAATCTCAGAGCATCATTTTCACTTATAATTTTTAACTCAAAAAATTGATTTAAAAGTGCAATATAAGTTTAATTCTATTTTTTTCCCACTGTGTCTGGAGAACAAGTTTTTTTCTTGCATTTTTCCCTTTTTCCCTCAATTTACTTAAGCATAGATTTTATGTCATTCTCTCATCACATACCAAAAAACTTAGCAGTTGTGCCAATATAATAAATGTTGAAGTAAGAAAGACAGGGAGACAAATGGAAAAAAAAGAGAATACAAAAAGTATGGCTAACATTATGTAAGAAGAAAAATACAAATGGCTTTCTAGTAACCAAATAAGATGTACACATGAACTTCATAAATATCCTATTGCTTTGTGGAGACTTTCGTTTTATTTTAGAATAATTAAAAATAGTAATTAACAGTTTATTGAGTACTTACTTTATGCCAGGCTCTGTTCTCAGGACTACTCATGAAATAACTCACAGAATCCATACAGCAACCTTATGAAGGAGGTCTGAGGGGAGTCCCCATTTTACATGTGAATTACGCTGTGAGGCAAGGGAGCTGAAGTAGTTTGCCAAAGGTCACACACCTAGTAAGTAGGGGAACAGATTCAAACAAGAATGAGACAGACATTTTCTGTTATTTTTCACATGCAAAAATGTCTCTATTCTACCTCACCATTTGATTAATAATTCTGGGCTAAGAAATAATTTCTTTTAGAATTTGAAGGCTTGTTCTTATAACTTTTAACTTGTAATATTTTTTTGAGAAATCTAAGCCATTTTGATTTCTCATTCTTTGCATATGGCTAGTTTTTGGTTCTTGGGTTTAGTATCTTTTCATTATCTCTGATTTTGAAATTTTATGATAATGAGCATTAATAATTAATACGGGTTTTGAAAAAAATGTGCTGGACAGTTGATGGGCCATTTTATATGATACATGGTCTTCATTTTGGGGAAGGTTTATTTTCGTCCTCTTTTGATCCCATCATTATCCCTCTGATTTCTCTTTGGAGCATGCATTTATTCATTCAACAAATAGTTATCATGCCCCTCCCCTAGCAAGGCATTGTAATTCTGTGCTAGAGGTAATAGCAGTGAACAAAACATTGCCCTCATGGAGCCAATTTGATATTGGGCCTTCTTGATTGACCCTTTAATTAGCTTGTTTTTCCTGTAGTCCATCCTTTCAACTACTTTATATTATTTTCTGAAATATTTCCTTGGCTTTTTCTTCCATTTCTTTAACTGATTTATTTTTAATTTCAGTTCTTTCATTTTTAATTTCCAATTACTCTTTCTTGTTCTCTGATTTGTTTCTTATCTCTCTCTGAGAAAATTAATTGTTGCTTTTTTTTTTTTAAGTATTCTCCATTCCCTTCATAGCCTCTATTAACTCCAGATTGCTTTGTGGTTGTTTATTTGGGTCTCTTTTATGTTGGTGGCTTTCCCTAAATGTCTGATGATTCTTGTCTCTGTGCTCATACTTAAGAGTTAAGCACTAAAATACTGATTAAATTTTCTGCCTACATGTGTGAATATATACTCTGGTAAATTGCTCTAAATGTCAATTATGTGGCCAGGAGGTAAAGGGAGGAGAAAGTAGAATTGAGACTGGATGTAATTGTTAGGATCAGAATGTAGCATGCCTTGCCTACCAAGGTAAGCAGTTTAACCTTTACTTTATAAACACTGAGGAGCTAGATGATGGCTATACTTGAGGTGAGTTATTAGGAGTCTCTCCTTGTAGTCCTAGGATGCAAATTTTCTGTCTTTGTTTCATTCTCTCATAAATTTTTTTTCTGGTTATGATTATATTTTACTTGTAGTGACTAAATATTATTTATTCCTTCCACTTGCCATATGCATTCCCAATATAATTTAGTTCTTGCAATTTGAATAGAGGAATCAAGTAGTAACTCTAGTCAGTTATTCTCCTGCTGCCTAGGAAATCACTGAGTTCTAATAGATTGAAATTGCTTGTAGCCTCATGGGCTCTAAGAGTCAGTCAATAATGTGTATTTTCAAAGTAGATGTTTTAGTAACTACTCTTTTGGTAAAGTAACATTGTGAGTCTTCGATCTCCATACAAGAAAATAATCTTTATTTGTTCTAAATAATTCCAAGTAAATACATGATAGTTTTCAGTTCAACAGACTATACAAAAAAACATCAGAACAACTTCTTTTCCTAAAAAAAAGGCTGAAATTAATATGGTCTATAATCTGTGAAAATTACCATGTGTAAATGAAGAGGGACTATGTTCCTATTCAATGAATGCATATACTTATTGTTAAGCTCTAGGGTGTTTATTGTGTTCTCTCAGAGCCCTTTGCATTCCTAAGCTCTTGGAGATTTGACCTATGGTAACACTGCCCCTACCATAAGCAATGGGGTAATTGGCTTTAAAGTAAGGAAATGGCACACAACAGAACAAGAGATACCATAGTTCTCTCACTCAGATCCTTAATTTATTCAACAAATATGTATTGTGCATATATTATGAACCAGACACCACTGATAAAAGGCAAAATTCACATCTTGGTAGAGCTCTGCAGTGCCTCATGTAGTGCTAGACATCATACAGGCACCAAAAAAAAAATAGTTTGATATGAAGAAAGTAATAATTCATCTATGCCTGTGAAGAAGTCCTGGGAGGGCTTTTTAGCACTCTAATGGTTAAGCACAGTGGAATTTTTAGCACAGAAATTACAGAAAGGAGTCTTAGAAGTAATACGAATTAATGTCCCTGTCTGACAGCTTTGAAGAGAGTAGTGGTTCTCCCAGCACAGAGTTTGAGATCTGAGAACGGACAGACTGCCTCCTCAAGTGGGTCCCTGACCCACAAGTAGCCTAACTGGGAGGCATCCCCCAGTAGGGGCAGACTGACACCTCACACGGCCAGGTACCCCTCTGAGACAAAGCTTGCAGAGGAATGATCAGGCAGCAACATTTGCTGTTCAGCAATATGCGCTGTTCTGCAGCCTCCACTGCTGATACGTAGGCAAACGGTCTGGAGTGGACCTCCAGCAAACTCCAACAGACCTGCAGCTGAGGGTCCTGACTGTTAGAAGGAAAACTAACAAACAGAAAGGACATCCACACCAAAACCCCATCTGTACCTCACCATCATCAAAGATCAAAGGTAGATAAAACTACAAAGATGGGGAAAAAACAGAGCAGAAAAGCTGAAATTTCTAAAAATCAAAGCACCTCTCCCCCTTTAAAGGAACGCAGCTCCTCTCCAGCAATGGAACAAGCTGGATGGAGAATGACTTTGACGAGTTGAGAGAAGAAGGCTTCAGACGATTAAACTCCTCCGAGCTAAAGGAGTAAGTTGAAACCCATCGCAAAGAAGCTAAAAACCTTGAAAAAAGATGAGATGAATGGCTAACTAGATTAACCAGTGTAGAGAAGTCCTTAAATGACCTGATGGAGCTGAAAACCATGGCATGAGAACTACGCAACGAATGCACAAGCTTCAGTAACCGATTCGATCAACTGGAAGAAAGGGTACCAGCGATGGAAGATCAAATAATGAAATGAAGCGAGAAGAGAAGTTTAGAGAAAAACGAGTAAAAAGAAATGAACAAAGCCTCCAAGAAATATGGGACTATGCGAAAAGACCAAATCTACGTCTGATTGGTGTACCTGAAAGTGACACAGAGAATGGAACCAAGTTGGAAAACACTCTGCAGGATATTATCCAGGAGAACTTCCCCAACCTAGCAAGGCAGGCCAACATTCAAATTCAGGAAATACAGAAAACACCACAAAGATACTCCTTGAGAAGGGCAACTCCAAGACACATAATTGTCAGATTCACCAAAGTTGAAATGAAGGAAAAAATGTTAAGGGCAGCCCGAGAGAAAGGTGGGGTTATCCACAAAGGGAAGCCCATCAGACTAACAGCGGATCTCTCGGCAGAAACTCTACAAGCCAGAAGAGAGTGGGGGCCAATATTCAACATTCTTAAAGAAAAGAATTTTCAACCCAGAATCTCATATCCAGCCACACTAAGCTTCATAAGTGAAGGAGAAATATAATCCTTTACAGAGAAGCAAATGCTGAGTGATTTTGTCACCACCAGGCCTGCCCTACAAGAGCTCCTGAAATAAGCACTAAACATGGAAAGGAACAACTGGTACCAGCCACTGCAAAAACATGCCAAATTGTAAAGACCATCGAGACTAGGAAGAAACTGCATCAACTAAAGAGCAGAATAACCAGCTAACGTCATAATGACAGGATCAAATTCACACATAACAATATTAACCTTAAATGTAAATGGACTAAATGCTCCAATTAAAAGACACAGACTGGCAAATTGGATAAAGAGCCAAGACCCATCAGTGTGCTGTTTTCAGGAGACCCATCTCATGTGCAGAGACACATATAGGCTCAAAATAAAGGAATGGAAGAAGATCTACCAAGCAAATAGAAAACAAAAAAAGGCAGGGGTTGCAATCCCAGTCTCTGATAAAACAGACTTTAAACCAACAAAGATCAAAAGAGACAAAGAAGGCCATTACATAATGGTAAAGGGATCAATTCAACAAGAAGAGCTAACTATCCTAAATATATATGCACCCAATACAGGAGCACCCAGATTCATAAAGCAAGTCCTTAGAGACTTACAAAGAGACTTAGACTCCCACACAATAATAATGGGAGACTTTAACACCCCACTGTCAACATTAGACAGATCAACGAGACAGAAAGTTAAAAGGATATTCAGGAATTGAACTCAGCTCTGCACCAAGCAGACCTAATAGACATCTACAGAACTCTCCACCTGAAATCAACAGAATATACATTCTACTAAGCACCACATTGCACTTTTTCCAAAATTGACCACATAGTTGGAAGTAAAGCACTCCTCAGCAAATGTAAAAGAACAGAAATTATAACAAACTGTCTCTCAGACCACAGTGCAATCAAACTAGAACTCTGGATGAAGAAACTCACTGAAAACCACTCAACTACATGGAAACTGAACAACCAGCTCCTGAATGACTACTGGCTACATAACGAAATGAAGGCAGAAATAAAGATGTTCTTTGAAACCAATGAGAACAAAGACACAACATACCAGAATCTCTGGGACACATTCAAAGCAGTGTGTAGAGGGAAATTTATAGCACTAAATGTCCACAAGAGAAAGCAGCAAAGATCTAAAATAGACACCCTAACATCACAATTAAAAGAACTAGAGAAGCAAGAGCAAACACATTCAAAAGCTAGCAGAATGTGCAAGAAAAGTTGTGCAAGAAATAACTAAGATCAGAGCAGAACTGAAGGAGATAGAGACACGAAAAACCCTTAAAAAAATCAATGAATTCAGGACCTGGTTTTTGAAAAGATTAACAAAACAGGTAGACTGCTAGCCAGGCTGATAAAGAAGAGAAGACAGAAGAATCAAATAGATGCAATAAAAAATGATAAAGGGGATATCTCCACTGATCCCACAGAAATACAAACTACCCTCAGAGAATACTATAAACACCACTACTCAAATAAACTCGAAAATCTAGAAAAAATGGATAAATTCCGGACACATACACCCTCCCAAGACTAAACCAGGAAGAAGTTGAATTCCTGAATAGACCAATAACAGGCTCTTAAATTGAGGCAATAATTAATAGCCTACCAACCAAAAAAAGTCCAGGACCAGATAGATTCACAGCCAAATTCTACCAGAGGTACAAGGAGGAGCTGGTACTATTCCTTCTGAAACTATTCCAATCAACAGAAAAAGAGGGAATCCTCCCTAACTCATTTTATGAGGCCAACATCATCCTGATACCAAAGCCTGGCATAAACACCACAAAAAAAGAGAATTATAGACCAATATCCCTGATGAACATTGATGCAAAAATCCTCAATAAAATACTGGCAAACCGAATCCAGCAGCACATCGAAAAGCTTATCCACCATGATCAAGTTGGCTTCCTCTGTGGGTTGCAAGGCTGGTTCAACATATGCAAATCAATAAATGTAATCCAGCATATAAACAGAACCAAAGACAAAAACCACATGATTATCTCAAAAGATGCAGAAAAGGCCTTTGACAAAATTCAGCAGCCCTTCATGATAAAAACTCAATAAATTAGGTATTGATGGGAGGTATCTCAAAATAATAAGAGCTATTTATGACAAACCCACAGCCAATATCATACTGAATGGGCAAAAACTGGAAGCATTCCCTTTGAAAACTGGCACAAGACAGGGATGCCCTCTCTCACCACTCCTATTCAACATAGTGTTGGAAGTTCTGGCCAGGGCAATCAGGCAGGAGAAAGAAATAAAGGGTATTCAATTAGGAAAAGAGGAAGTCAAATTGTCCCTGTTTGCAGATGACATGATTGTATATTTAGAAAACCCCATTGTCTCAGCCCAAAATCTCCTTAAGCTGATAAGCAACTTCAGCAAAGTCTCGGGATAAAAATCAATGTGCAAAAATCACAAGCATTCTTATATGCCAATAACAGACAAACAGAGCCAAATCACTAGTGAACTCCCATTCACAATTGCTTCAAAGAGAATAAAATACCTAGGAATCCACCTTACAAGGGATGTGAAGGACCTCTTCAAGGAGAACTACAAACCACTGCTCAACGAAATAAAAGAGGACACAAACAAATGGAAGAACATTCATTCCATGCTCATGGATAGGTAGAATCAATATCGTGAAAATGGCCATACTGCCCAAGGTAATTTATAGATTCAATGCCATCCCCATTAAGCTACCAATGACTTTCTTCACAGAATTGGAAAAAACTACTTTAAAGTTCATATGGAACCAAAAAAGAGCCCACATTGCCAAGTCAATCCTAAGCCAAAAGAACAAAGTTGGAGGCATCATGCTACCTGACTTCAAACTACACTACAAGGCTACAGTAACCAAAACAGCATGGTACTGGTACCAAAACAGAGAAATAAACCAATGGAACAGAACAGAGCCCTCAGAAATACTACCACACGTCTACAACTATCTGATCTTTGACAAACCTGACAAAAACAGGAAATGGGGAAAGGATTCCCTATTTAATAAATGGTGCTGAGAAAACTGGCTAGCCATATGTAGAAAGCTGAAACTGGATCCCTTCTTTACACCTTATACAAAAATTAATTCAAGATGGATTAAAGACTTAAATGTTAGACCTAAAACCATAAAAACCCTAGAAGAAAACCTAGGCAATACCATTCAGGACATAGGCATGGGCAAGGACTTCATGTCTAAAACACCAAAAGCAATGGCAACAAAAGCCAAAATTGACAAATGGGATTTAATTAAACTAAAGAGCTTCTGCAAGCAAAAGAAACTACCATCAGAGTGAACAGGCAACCTACAGAATGGGAGAAAATTTTTCCAATCTACTCATCTGACAAAGGGCTAATATCCAGAATCTACAAAGAACTCAAGAAAAAACAAACAACCCCATCTACAAGTGGGCAAAGGATATGAACAGACACTTCTCAAAAGAAGACATTTATGTAGCCAAAAGACACATGAAAAAATGCTCATCATCACTGGCCATCAGAGAAATGCAAATCAAAACCACAATGAGATACCATCTCACACCAGTTAGAATGGCGATCATTAAGAAGTCAGGAAACAACAGGTGCTGGAGAGGATGTGGAGAAATAGGAACACTTTTACACTGTTGGTGGGACTGTAAACTAGTTTGACCATTGTGGAAGTCAGTGTGGCGATTCCTCAGGGATCTAGAACTAGAAATACCATTTGACCCAGCCATCCCATTACTGGGTATATACCCAAAGGATTATAAATCATACTGCTATAAAGACATGTGCACATGTATGTTTATTGCAGCATTCTTCACAATAGCAAAGACTTGGAACCAACCCAAATGTCCATCAATGATAGACTGGATTAAGAAAATGTGGCACATATACACCATGGAATACTATGCAGCCATAAAAAATGATGAGCTCACGTCCTTTGTAGGGACATGGATGAAGCTGGAAACCATCATTCTGAGCTATTGCAAGGACAGAAAACCAAACACTGCATGTTCTCGCTCATAGGTGGGAATTGAACAATCAGAACACTTGGACACAGGGCAACATCACACACTGGGGCCTGTCATAGGGTGCAGGGAGTGGGGAAGGATAGCATTAGGAGATATACCTAATGTAAATGACGAGTTAATGGGTGCAGCACACCAACATGGCACATGTATACATATGTAACAAACCTGCACATTGTGCACATGCACCCTAGAACTTAAAGTACAAAAAAAAAAAAAAAGAATAGAAAGGGAAAGACACATGGAAAAATGTTTAGAGAAATGATTAAAATGGCTGTGCACAGTGGCTCACGCCTGTAATCCCAGCACTTTGGGAGGCTGAGGCGGGCGGATCACAAGGTCAGGAGATCAAGACCATCCTGGCTAACACGGTGAAACCCCATCTCTACTAAAAATACAAAAAATTAGCCAGGCGTGGTGGTGGGTGCCTGTGGTCCCAGCTACTCGGGAGGGTGAGGCAGGAGAATGGCGTGAACCCGGGAGGCAGAGCTTGCAGTGAGCCGAGATCGTGCCACTGCACCCCAGCCTGGGTGACGAGTGAGACTCCATCTCAAAAAAAAAAAAAAAAAATGATTAAAATTAGGGTGGTAAATAAGTTTTTAAAATAAAGTAAGGCATATTCACAATTTCAAGTAGAAAAAAAGTAATATGAATTATGGAGTGGCTTTTGACAAGACGGTAAGAATCTAGCTAAGTGACAGTGAGATGTTGCAAGAATCTTCTATCTCTTAAGTGGTTTTATGAAACATACACTTACCTGCATTTTTATGACATTGCTATTGGAGAGGTATGTTTTGATGTGAAGCACTACATGCTTATAGACCAGGCTCCCTTGATTGGAGAACTCAAAGCTTTTAGGATAGAAGAAAAATGAGAAATTCCTTTGAGTGGTATAGAGAAAAGGAAACACACTAAGTTCATTTTGTCCATAGGGGAAAAAGTGCAAAAAGCCAGGTCTCGAGCAGTTTTCACCTATACAACACTGGAGCTCACTGTTGGTCGTATGGGAGCAAGAGGTAACCTTCTATAATTTTGAAGAGGTTAGGAGAATGCATTTATAAAGACAATTTAGGCAATGCAGCTTATCAATAATGGCCACAGATTTAATATCAAGAGCCCATGGAGACTGAAGCTGGTGAGAAATATGGTAATGGGGGGTTATGGAGACCTTGATCAAGAGCCCAGCTACAAAGGGAAGGAATATTACTGTGGTTATGACAAGCCCTGAGAGGGAGGCATATCAAACAGTAGGTCAGTGCAAAATTCTGGACCAATTGGGAACATCAGAGTCAGTGGGTCGAGATCCAAGAAGGACGAGAACATAGGAAACAGCCGGGCAGAATCAGAATGTTCCAAAGACATGACTAAGCAAGTAAGAAACCAAGTCCCTCTCAGAGTTGGAAAGACAGACTCACAGATTAAGATAATGTGTATCATGGTTGATCCTTCTGGTTAAGTTTCAAGCGGACTTCAGGGCTCAGTGTTATATCCCAGATTGAGGGAGAATGTGGCTGCTGGTGGTCTTTGTAGCAGACAGCTATATCCTCTGAGGAGTCCTCAGTTGTAACACGTGTTTTGATTTTATTAATGCAAGACATTTGAATTCCCCAAAGCAATTCACACCTATTAACTTGTTGATTCTCATGATCTTTCACATAGATTGATATAGATGTGTAATCACAATTTTTCAGTATCATGAAAAAAATTCCACACAAAACCATCAACTAGGTCAGCTTCATTTCTACTGCGTACTAAATATCAAAGATTGTACACTGCTAATAAAATGAGGGGAGGGTCCCAAATAAATTTGGTGGTTTATCTCTCCAAAGTATTAGGTGGGCACAAAAGTAATTGCAGTTTTTGCCATTACTTTTGCTCCATCCTAATACAAAATGAAATTGTATCAGATGCTTATCGTATTTATTTCCTTTGGTTCCATGCTGAGGCACAGACTTTTCACCAAAATGTTATTCATCTTTTTCATTATTTAGAGGTGTCTCTGGGAAGTCACCACTCAGCAAGGGTTTAAATTTCTCAGTTCCTGTTGAATCTAGGTGGGGCCATGTGACTGCTTCTCACCAATGACTTGTGAGTGCAAATAGTGTCATTTCTGGGTTGACACAGTTAAGAAGTGGGTGTGCCTTATTCCCCCTCCCTCTTTCTGTCTGCTGGATGCAGAGGACTCCTCCCAAAGCCTATGGGATGATACAGCCAGAAAATGAGAGGAGTTTGGGTTCTTGAATGACCACTTAGAGAAAAGCCGTCTTCCACTAGGAAGACTCACATTAGACCATGAGAAACAGATTTCTTGTATTAGGCCACTTGGAGTTTACATTATCCAGCTAGCATCACTGTAATTCCTTTTATAAATAGAAATATTAAAAGGTCATCAAATTAGCAAATAAAAATACAGTATACCCAGTTAAATTTGAATTTCAGATGAATAGCAAATAATTTTTAACATATAGTGTATGTTAACATTTAGTATAAGAATACATTTTAGTATAAATCTGTTCCAAATATTGCATGTATTATTATACTAAAACTTATTTATTGTTTATCTGAAATCCAAATATAATTGGTAAAATTTGGTTATTTTGTCTTGTAACCTAAGAATTATGAGTGAGCAAATTTAAAAATTGGTGACATAATTGTGTTTAGGTAATTAATTTGCTGTATGAAGCATTTTTTGGGGGGAGAGATTTGTTTCTGACCAAATGTTTTCTTTAATCTTGCCCTCTGTGGTAAGTTGCAGAGTTTAAGATTCCAAAACATTTATTGTTGCAGACATTCTAAAGCTAAAATTTGCTAAGGAGCTGCTTGTAAACCTTTTTTTTTGATGTGAATAAGAAAGGAAAGTGATTTACAGAAAAAATTAAAAGTGAGTTCAATTGTTTACATCATTTTCTTAACTAAGGCAAATAATGCTCCCACTTCAATTTCACACTGTTTTGATGAAGATAAAGGAAAAAACCTCAATCTATTTTCAAAGAAAAGTATGCAGAACCTAGGAACACCATCAGTAGGTACCAGGGCTGGTTCCTTTTCTGCCTAGCTATGAAGTAATGGAAAATAGAATATATGAACTCAGATGCAGAAGTAATAAATCATAGATACAAAGAATTTCAAATAATTACCAATTGGAGAAAATAAAAGTTGATTGGCATTACAGTATATTAATTAAAACCTCTTACCATAAACTAGAGCTGTAAAAGAAATACCTTTCTAAAATAAAAGCATGAGATAATTAATGAGCTAGACTTAAAAGAAAATGTGATTTTCAACCATCATTTAAATTTTTTCTTTTACAGAAAGAGAACTGAGGCTCAGAAAAGTTACAAATATGTCCCAAGACCACACGGCTGATTAGTGTTACAGAGAATTCCTATAATGGAAGCAAACTGAGATACTAACTTCTCTTTCACCATTAGGAAAACAATACCTACATTTAATTGCTTTGAAGAAAAAAGTAGAACCTCCCAGTGATATGACACATCTTTCTGATAAGAGTAGCAAATCATACAAAATTTCGAGGCATTTAAATATTGTATATACTATTGAATATGCAGTGTTACCCAACACGTGTTAGGCAGTCCTACTGCTCTCTATATAGTAATGCCTTACAGGCTAATATGCATTTTTCCCCCTTTCATTTGAAACAGGGAGGGATTTTCTCAGCAAGAATGAACCAAAAGAACATTTGGAATGCTTTCATAATAAAGGCTGAATTTTTAATGTCAAGCTAATGCCAACCAGGAAACATCAATACATGGCAACTCTTATATTGGGACTATACAGAACATTTAAAAAGCATTATCTACCTAACCCAAAAGGTCACAGTATATATCTGTCACCTTGGGAACTGAGGCCTTGTCTATTCAACAGTTATTGATCTCCTGCTGGGAGGCAGGCACTATGCCAAGCCCTGGCACAAACCCTGGCTTTTCTGACACCTTTCCTTCACTATACTAAATCTTTAACTCCTAACTCTAAATAAAAACAAGGTAAGATAGTTTGGGTATGTTAATAATCAAAAGCATGTATTTTGGATAAATTCATATACAAAGAAGACAAATTTTGATGTGTAATTTTTGTTTTTTTAAGTTAATATTAATAAAATTAAAATGTTGAAGGTCTGCATCACACGGACTTGTTCAAAGAGTAAGGATGATACTGATATTTCTAATATTGCTTTCCAATTTAGGCCATCCTTTAGATATGACAGAGTATTTAATCCTAGTTCCTGCCAATATTTTGTGTTTGCTGAGAAGAGCCAGGAAATAGTGCCAAGAGCTGCTGTAAGGTTTATATGTAAATCCTGAGGGAAGAGCACAAAGTTAAGTAGTGTTCATGGTTGACAGATTAATGGTGTTGGTGACATGGAATCTCACTGTTACAGAATGAAGCAGGCTATTATTGAAGCTGGGAGAAATGAAAGTAATCTAACATTTTCCTTGCTACCAAAATGATATGTGTGTAGCTTTCTCAGTTTCACATTGGATCATGGCATTCTGTTGGTATTTTGGCTGAAATGTCTGATGGCAATATAATGAGTCTTTTTGGAATAATCCTTTTTAGAATGTCATTTGATGAAGTTGTGCAAACATGATATATTTTATAGATTTAGCTACAGGTTTGGTAACTTCACTGTTTGCTTCACAGCCTGTAAATAATCTAAAAGAGGAAGTTACATGACTTTTCTTCCATTTAACAGTCTGTTTCCTTTCTATGGGTTTCCTCTCCTACAAGTTAAGGCCAACAAAGAAGTGTTGAAAAATCTTGTCAGGTAATTGTTTCATTACTTTTTCAAAAATACAACTTTTGTTGTCTTCTGGTAAGTGATGAGGCACCCTTGTCTCTCAAAGAAGTGAAATTCTTTTGTAATAAAATAGATGTAGATGTAGATGAGTAGATATAAATCTCTATGTAAACATAACAGTACATTATAAACATTATGGGTTTGTCTCCATCTAAAATATTATCAATGCTATTCTTAGCCTACTTATCGTCTCAGTGCACAAGTTCTTCCTGGTATCGTTTTTATACCAGCAGTGGCAAATTACCTACATACTGATGTTTTCTAATTCTAAATGCTTGGAGCAGACCATTCTCCTGAACTCTAGATCCACATTCTTCACTGCCCACTGGATACTTTGACAGGAGTCTCAAAGTTAACATCTCCCCACTTGATCAGAGTGTTTTTCTTACAAAGCCGACTCTGATTCCTGAAGTCCTCTATGCTTCTCTGTATTTCTCTTTAAATAGGAGTATAGTAGAGTGATTAGCAGAGCACAGGCTGTGCAACCAGACAGACTGGGTTCAAATCCCGACTTCTTTTGTCATTTTCTAGTTGGTGAACTTTGATAAGTTACTCACCCTTTCTGTGCCTCATTTTCCTAACCTTTTTTTAAATTTTATTTTTAATTATCAAATAATAATAGTTTATTTTTATGGGGTACAAAGTGATGTTTCCATATATGTTTACAATGTGGAATGATTAAATCAGACTGATTAACAAATTTATTACATATTTTTTGTGGTGAAAACATTTAAAATCTCTTTTAGCAATTTTGAAGTATACGATCCATTTTATTAATTATAGTCACCATTTTGTGCATTAGATCACTGAAGCTTATTTCTCGTAACCGAAACTTTGCACCCTTTGATCAACATCTCCCCTTTCCCTCTTGACCCCCTTCCCCCAGCCTCTGGTAACTACCATTCTATTCTCTACTTCTGTGAGTTCAACTTTTTAAAATTCTACGTATGAGTGAGATATGCAGTATCTGTCTCTCTATGCCTGGCTTATTTCACTTAACATAATGTCCTCGAGGTTCAGCCATGCTGTTGCAAATGACAGGATTTCCCCCCTTTATGAGGCCGAATACTATCCTATTATGCATATAAGCCACATTTCCTTTATCCGTGCATCTGATGATGGACACCTAGGTTGCTTCCATATCTTAGCTATTGTGAAGAATGGTGCAATGAACATGGAAGTACAGATATCTCTTCAGCATACTGATTTCAGTCCCTTTGGATATATACCCAGAAGTAGGATTGCTGGATCATGTGGTAATTCTATTTTTAGTTTTCTGAGGAATGTCCATACTGTTTTCCATAATGGCTGTGTTAGTTTATCATCCCAGCAACAGTTCACAAGAGTTCCCTTTCTCCACACCCTTACTAACACTTGCTATCCTTTTTCTTTTTGATAATAGCAATATTAACAGGTGTGAGGTAGTATTGCTTTAATTTGCATTACCCTGATTATTAGTGATAGGCATTTTTTTCATATAACTGTTGGCTATTGTATGTCTTCTTTTGAGAATTGTCTATTTAGGTCCTTTGCTCATTATTTGATTAGGTTATTTGTTTTCTTGCTATTGAGTTATTTGAGTTCCTATATTTTGGGTATTAGCCCCTTATTAGACATATGGTTTGCAAATATTTTCTCCCACTCCATGGTTTGTCTCTTCACTCTGTTAAGTGTTTCCTTTGCTGTGCAGAAGCTTTTTAGTTTAATGCAATCCCATTTGTTTATTTTTGCTTTTGTTGCTGTACTTTTGGGGTTATATCTAAGAAATATTTGCCCAGACCAATGTCTCAAAAAATAATAAAAATTAAAAGAAATAATGTCTCTTGTTATATAATGAGGATTAAGTGAACAAAGCTCCAAAAACAGTGCCTAGAACATGGCAAATGTTCTATTAATGTTAGCTATTATTACTCTTTCCAAAATGCATAATATAGTGAGTCCTCAAATTAGAAACTAGTAATTGTACTCCTTCTCCATTTGTAATCTGTTTATCACCTGGACAAGTCAACTTTACTCCCTGAAGATCTATTTTATCTGCGCTTTTCTTTCCTAACACCAGTATTTTTGTTCAAATCTTCATCATTTCTCACCCAGGATAACATATCTCCCTGCTGCCATCTGATTCTCCTTCACTATTTGCAATTTGTCTAATCATATCACTCCTTTGATTACAAAACTTCAGTAACATTCTATGGCTCACAAGAGGGCATCAAAATTTCTGCCGTTGTATACAAAGCACTTCATGATCTGGCTTCTTCTGCCTACTTTTCCAACTTCTTCTCCTGGGCTTTCTGCATCTGTGCCCTTCATCCTTACCTAGCTACTTGCAGTTCCCCAAACATAGCATGCTGTTCTCACGCCTTCATATATTTCCAGGTGTGTTGACTCTTTTGCATATGGTTTACCACTGCCTGCTTATCTGCTTGGTAAATTTCTTATCTGCTAAAACTCAGCTTCAAGGTTAACCCCTTTAGAGAAGATCTCTATGATCACTCTAGGTAGAACTTGATGCTTCCCTCTTTGTGTTTCTGTTTTATTCATAGTACTTGCCTTATCTCTACACTGTATGGAACATCTTCCAGAGAAATGACTCTCAAGCTTCAATGTGCTTCAGACTCACAAGTGGAACTTGAAAAAAAAATCAAAGTTGTGCTTCAGAAATTCTGATACACTGGGTATGGATGGTGCTAAGCTTCTATATAGTTATAAAATCCTAAGATATATCTGGTACATACTCACATTTTAGAACCATTGTTGTGTCTTAGTAATCTCTTTATCCTTAGAACTTAACATAGTATATAGTACATGCATTATGGGCACTTCACAAATGATTTTTGAAAATAGAATATGACATTCTTTTGCTGGTGAGCTGTATACATAGTGATAGTATAACTGATATACTTGGCACACAGTAGTTATCAGAAAGTGTGTAATGTTTGGATGTAAGAATAAATGAATGAAAAGAGCTTAGGGAATTGAGAGAAAGCAACTATTAGCATAGCCTCTTGAATCTCTCAAATATTGCAAATTCCATATATGTTTTCTGAGTTTTGGGTAATTAGGATTTGAAGTCAATCATTGATGTCTTCAAAGGCATATCTGGAGACATGATATTGTGGTTTGGAATTTTTATACTAAGTTAGTAGACACAGTCTTATAGATAGAGTTGACAACCCTTTACAAAAATCAGGTACTTTGACTTTAATTATTTTTTAGACGTGATGTCATTTTAATTCTACATGGTTGTAGTCTGGTATGATTGCCTAAAGTCAACATCAAATAGTTTTTCAAAAAATAATTTTCTCAAAGTTATGGATACATACTCAACAGAAACTAAAAAATTCTGCACCATAAAAAAATTAAGAAATTATATTAAATAAATTTGCTTTTTATTATTTTGAGACAAGGTCTGGATCTATCACCCAGGCTGGAGTGCAGTGGTGTGATCTCAGCTCACTGCAACCTCTGCCTCCCGGCTCAAGCCTCCTGAGTAGCTGGGACCATAGGCATGCACCACCATGCCTGGCTAATTTTTTTTTTTTTTTTTGGTATTTTTTGTAGAGACAGAGTTTCACCATGCTGCCCAGGCTGGTCATGAACTTGTGAGGTCAAGTGATCCTCCTGCCTTGGCCTCCCAAAGTGCTGGGATTACAGGCATGAGCCATTGCACATGTCCCTAAATTTGCTTTTGAGTTTAACTATTTATCTAAAATTACAGATGCTATTTAAGTGAGTTAAATTCCTTTTGGAAAATGTTGGGAATAGGCTTGATATTCCTTGTTGTTATTTTTAAAATCTGGCTTCTTAACAATGGCATCCTTCTTAAAAAGTACCAGATTTACTATTTATTGCTATACATATCCTGTAATTTAAAAAGCCATCACAGCCTTTTGTATTTCCATTTTTATCATATTTTCCATCTCAGCCAGGCTCTCAAGTTAATTTGTACCCAGAGGATTGTATAATTTTTGCAAAGCTGCAATGCACAAAGGCCTATAGAAAGTGAAATCCATCAAAAAATGTTTTGTGACTAAAATCTTGAGATTTACAATAAATGAATGATATGTGATGATGAAAAATGCCAGTGGAATGTGTTTACCATTTTAAGAATGTTTACAAAAAAAGCAAGATATTGTCACAGTCCATATTGTGCAGGTCTGTGTTTGTGGAATTGACTGCCAGGCTCAATATGTAACATTTTCGTTGTGTCTACTTAATATCAATTCTATTTATTTACTTAATTAACCAAGGGCTTTCTTTAGTGAGATCATGTATGATTTGTTCTAGGTATTATAGGTATAGTAGATGTAGACTTGCACTAAACACTGATTTTTAATGAACTACAACAGGGGTTGGCAGATATTTTCTGTAAAGAACCAGTAAATATTTTAGGCTTTGCGGGCCATGCTGTTTCTGTCATGACAACTCAACATTGCCGGCGTAATGGGAAAACAGCCATAAACAATAAATGAAGGAAAGGGAGTGACTGTGTTTCAATAAAACATTATTTATAAAAACAGGCATCTGGCTGACTTGGCCCGTGAGCCACAGTTTGCTGATCCCTGCTCCATGTAATCATATATTAATTTCAAAATTGAGAAGCTCTTTTAGGCCATGATTGCATGGTGACTTTGTTTGTACATTACTTTTCCATAATGAGAAATCTTAAAATTTTTTCCCAGTATTTTTAATGGTATATTTAGTTGTTTATCCCTTGATTTGAGAAAAAGATTAAATATAAATCTCTTGCCTTCGTCTTTAGCCTTATTTATACCACTGACCATGGACAAGTTGCTAAAGTTTTCTGTTTCCTAGTTTTCTATATGGGTCTACAGGGCAGCTGAATTCATTTGATAGAATAATATAAATTAGAAAACTAGCTTTCAATATCTTATCTGTATCTAGGGTCAGTGCAAGTGAATTCATAAAATATTTGGTTTATCTTTAGGGTGCCCTGGGTTCCAGGCCCTTTATCCTGTCTCTTAGCTTTTCAGGACCTTCTATAGCAGTACCCTCTTCTATCAAAGATTGGCTATTCCATGTCCCATTCCCAAAGAAACCTTTTGCTGGACAATTGGTTGATATATTTTAAGACCTAACTACTACTTTATAATATATTTGGATTTTCATAGTCTTTCTGAAGACTATTTTAACCCAAATGAGTTAATTTTCACTAATTTACATATATATTTGATTTTACCTATTTATAATTTTCACATAACTACTTCAAAAAAGTATTAGGGCCACAGAGTAAATTATAATGACAGGAATACCGGGCACTTTATTAAGGTGATGTGAGCTTTGGGTTTAAGCTTGTAGTCCTACTCCTCAAATCACATTTCTTAGCAAGCTTGACTCTCTCTCTACTCATAAGATCAGCCATGAATGCATGAGAAAATATGAATTAATAACGTTTCACCAATATATCAGATGTTGAGGAAATTATATTTTACTGCCAAGTCTGTTTGCTGAAATATTTAGTTTTAAAATTGGTTTGTGACTTTAGTTGATCAGTGACAGGAATGCAAAAAAACTTCTATGTTTTGTACAAATATTTACAATTAATTACAAGAGGAACCAAAAACACTTACAATAAATGTTCAGACTTTGACATAAGCCCAGTTTTCTTAAGTTGGCACCTAATTAGAAAAGTGTTCTTCAGTGAGTCATTTCATCTACTTCTCTTTGTTCTCTGTCTTCAGCATCATTATTGGGGTGGCTATGAAGAAAGCAGATGAGAGCTTTTTAAAAACTACCACAGAACACATGTTAGGGAAGTAGTGTCTGTGAACAAGAATGATATGAGTTAAGGTAACTAGAGAATGGGGATCATTGCTTAAACGGAAACTCACTTATCCAGGCAAGTCTGTAATGCATATTCAGTAGAATTAAAACCTAGAGTTTCCAAAATGGTTTGGGTATTGGATTCAGAATATCTTTAATTCACTTTGCAGTTCAGATCATGTGCCTAAGAGATGTGTTTGTTGACCATTAAATGTATCATCCACAGATAAATGCTGGTCATTAGTCTTCTCTTCCGGTGTAACAAATTACCACTTAGCAACTTAACATAAATTTCTTATCTCAGTCTCCGTGGGTCTGGAATCAGGCCTCCTTTTCTCTGAATCTTTTGTTTGGAATCTCACCAGGCTGTTATCAAAGTGTCCACCACACTGTAGTTCTCATCTGGAGTTCAGAGTCCTCTTCCAAGCTCATTTACATCATTGACAGGAATCAGGTCTTTGTGTTCCTAGTTCCTAGAAACTGAAGTCCCTTGTTTCTTGCTGACTGTTGGCCAGGGATTGCTTTCAGCTCCTAGAGGCCACCTCAGGTCCTAGCCATGTGGCCACCTTACAATATGGGAGCTTATGTCTTCAAAGCCAGTGGAAGAAAACTCTCTCCAGGGTGCAGATCATGTAATGGAATCAAATGAGTGACCAACCCATCACCTTTGTCATTCAGTAGAACCTAACCAAGGAAATGACTCTCCTATCGTAATCACATCTCTCCCACACTTGGGGGAAAGGGGATATATAGGGTGTGAACACTATGGGGGAGGAATCCTAGGGGCCCTCTTAGAATTCTGACAACCACAGCTATTGTGCAGTTCAGGTCTCCTTCCATAGCTTTGAGGTCTGTGCAGTTTAATGGCTTCTAGCCATCTTGTGTATAGGTTGCTATATTGGAATATAATTAAAATCCTAAACTGGATTGTAACTCTTTACTTTTTTTTTTGTTACAGACTTCATTTTGGTGCTCAAAATGGAACATTTTTAAGGATTAGGTGGCAGGGTGTAAAAAATAACTTTTTTCACCCACCTTAGGGTTTCTTTTTTTATTAGCTATTATAAAGCAAAACAATCATACACATACTAATTGTTTTCAAATGTTTAATGTACATTTGAAGGAATTTTATACTCAAAAAAATTAGGTAAACAAGAGTCCAACAATCTTGCCTAAATCCTTCATTAGAATAAGGAATGTACCCAGCCTGATTGTCCATAAATTGTATACTTGATGTTTCCTGCCTCTCCTTCCTTATAATATCTACCTCTACTATATGCCTGTAATTTTCATTCAACATCTCCTTGCCTGTGTCTTTATATTTTTAGTCATGCAATTCTCCCTTATTTGCCTAGTCATTCTTCTACATATACTGCATGATCTGAGTAGAGCTCTAAATAGCTAATATTTTTTCTGTAAAGCAAAGGCTAAAAAGGCAAATTTGATTTCACTAATAATTATTGATGTATTTATATTCTTAATGCCATCTCTTTTGCTTTTGTTCATATTCATTATAAAATTATACAGGCTTATAATTAGCTACCAGCATAGTGTCTAAACCGTGCTCTTCATCATAAATACAATTCATCATATTTACTCCTTAATCAGTTTTTCCTTATATGTTGAAAAAACTCTAAATAAGATATCCATCAAGGCTAACCTTAATAAATCATGGAAATGACAAAATTATCACAAAATTTATCCACCATTGTCACAATTTTTATTTTATAAAAAAACTATTCTAATATTTAATATTATGAAAGGTATATTATAAAATTATTTTTCGATAGTCTAGTTTTATTGGCTTTCTTCGTTGTTTCACTTATTTTAAAAATCAGTTCATGTAGGCATTTTAGGCAATCTTCACACAATTTCAGTTATAGGATTGAAGAACTTGTTTGCCATAATTACACAAAGCCTCAGTTTTCTTGGTTTGTAGTTAGGATCCTGTATAATTTCAAAAGGAAGTTAACTTATTTAAGCTAAAAAATTCCTAATTAGTATGTAAATGTGGAGGCAGCTCTCTTGCTCATTATGTTGTATGTTAGAATTTTTGTAGCTGAAGTAACCCTTATAGTTCATCTCATTCTATTCCTCTATTTCACAAATGAGGAAACCAATACCAAGGGATTTAACATATAGTAGAAATATGTTCAAAGGTTAAGAATGGTTTCTTGGCCTCAGGTTTCTGTTGGCATAGAGACTTCATATTGCTACATGAGCAAGCTGCACTTTTGATTGTATTACTCTTAACCCTACAGGCCTTCTGTGAATAAGAAACAGCTAAGCCCCAGGTATGTGCCTAGTTCACCCTTGAGAGAGGAAACAGTGTGTGAAATATCTGTTCCTGGATAAGTGATACAGTGTGACAAGATGAGCACAAACACATCAATACAGCCAAACAACAGCATCACAACCACCACCAACTCAAAGGCTTCCTACATGTAGTTATACTATCAGATTGTAAGTAGATAAAATGGTAAAATGTATTTTATCATAAAGGAATATTTGTTTCATTATTAAAATTATCAAGCATTTCTTTCGGGCATGACTTTCAGAGAAGTGAGCTAAAAATATAATTTTTACATTGTTTTAGAAATGTAATAAAGACCTTTGATTTTAGAAAGACAAACACAGATCATTCAAAGGCCTCTAATTACTCATTCTCTTTGGAAAGAAGAAATAACCTTAAAAACAACGACTGCTCCTAATGAGGCTTCAGAATTCTGCAGACATTCTTGGCAAAGGAACACTCCATTTCCTCTTAATGGGAAAGCATTCTGTCTCAGTACTTCTTGATCACTCCTCGGAGACAGCACCACAAAACAGATTTAAGCACATATTTTTCACTGCTTTTAAGCTTTGTATATCTGTTGCCATTGTGCTGAGCTTTTTAAACTTCTATGCAAACTTTAATGTCTGGAAGCATTTTCTCTTTCTCTAATTTCATTCTCCACCTTTGTCAACACATGCAGATTTGAGGATCAGATGGAAAACTGTCAGGACCATGTTCTTAAGGCTGCTGTCCTGGGCACAGTTTATTGTGTGTTTGGCCTGCTGGGCCTGCTAGTTGAACTGGCAAGGATTCAGTTTGGTTCACTGAACTTGTATGTATATAATTGTATTAGTCCATTTTCACACTGTTATGAAAAACTGCCTGAGACTAAGTAATTTATAAAGGAAAGAGGTTTAATTGGTTCACAGTTCCACATAGCTGGGGAGGCCTCAGGAAACTTACAATCATGGAGGAGGGCGAAAGGGAAGCAAGGCATATATTACATGGTGGCAGGAGAGGTCGGGGGGAATGCCAAACATTTTTAAACCATCAGATCTCGTGAGAACTCACTATCATGAGAACAGCATGGGAGAACCACCCCCATGATCCAGTGACCTCCCAACTAGTCCCTCCATCAACACGTGGGGATCACAATTTGAGATGACATTTGGTTGGGGACACAAAGCCAAAGCATATCAATAATGATTACTATAATGGCATATTGTTGGCTAAGGAGACTGACTATGTTTTCTTTTCTCCCTGGTCAATGGAAGTGATGGTTTTACAGGACCACATGCCCATATCCTTACTCTGTGCCCATTTCCCCTTTATGAGATGACTAGACAGAAATAGGGAAGTATACATTCTGTCTGGAAAGGAAAGGAGAGTGAGAGCCCCTGGGGAATCATTTGGGACCAAGTTTCTGCCTTTGGGATCCTTAGAAGGTATATTAGGCAGCTGAGCCAAGCAGACATAAAGCATATGCTGATGTTTGTTCCTGTATCTGATTAGTTACATAAATTTATTCCCCTTCAGCAAACTCCACACAAACATAAGAATGTAAATAAAGAGTGAACCCAAAAGTTATTTTTCCTTCACCTCCCTGCCCTGAAGGAATATTTGCCAAAAGAACAAAACAAAGGAATCAAATTTAACGATAACCCTCGTTAATGAAGCTAAACTGGTCTAGACTCACTTTCTGGGTCCAAACTTAATCCAGTTTCTAGAATTAATTTTTCCCCATATCTGGTAACATTTCCTAGTTTCCAAATGGGAGAATTGCCCTGGATATTATATCCATATATCTGATGATGAACCTGCAAAAAGAATAGCTGAGAATTAGGGCTCAGAATATAAGAAAGATATTGTCCCCTACACATAGAATGCATTTCTTTGGCTATTGAATTTCAGTCTGACGTGCCTAAGGCTTCCTGCCCAAGCTCATTTCCATTGCATGCCTAATTTGAAAATGCAAAAATAGTGGAAGAGAATCTGGAATGATCCTGGTGTTTTGATCAGATTTAAATTAGAAATAAATCCAAATCATTTTCTCTCTCATTTCTGAATTTTCATTGAAACTTAATAGGGTGGTGGAGAGCAAGTGACATTATTTATGGGCTTTAGTTCATTTTCTTAAAGTTACTATTTTGACTGTATTAAATGACTTTAGATTTTAAACACTGGTTTTAATTGCACTCATAATCCAAAACTTTTTTTCCGTACTGTTTAGCTAGGAAAGATAGATGGCAAAGTATTATCTTTGGCTATAACCTGGAATATTCATCAGTAAAGCTTTCAACAATGTTGCCATTTACAATTTCTGAGTGTTAAGGGGAGAGCCATACAGATGTTGCTAGGAAAAGTATATGTGTGGAAGGGAGTGTGGTCGGGGACTGTTTTGGGAGTGCCGGCTTCTTTAACCAGAGGCAGCGAGTTAAAGGATGAAGCAGAGAGGAAATGCCAAAGTAAGAGACCACTGCTGGCCTGTGGAAAGAAGGATTTTGCTTAAAGTTAAAGCAAGTGGTAAGTGGTAGGATCTCCTAATCTTAATAGCAAAGTCAGAGAGGAAATCAGATAAGTGGAAAAATTGGTTGAAATGCAGATACAGCATTGCAGAGAGTCCAGCTTGGTAGGGGACTATAGTGGAATGTTTTAACTCTTAAGTCCTCCTTGGCCAAGCCATTTTTAATAATGGCCATTCAGAAGCTACCACATAATAATAAGCTTAATGCAATATTTTAAAATACACAGTTGACCCTTGAGAACATGGGTTTGAATTGCATGGGTCCACTTATACATGGATTTTCTTCTGCCTCTGAAACCCTTGAGACAGCAAGACCAATCCCTCCTCTACCTTCTCCTTCTCAACCTACTCAACATGAAGATGATTAGGATGAAAACCTTTAGGATGATCCACTTCTACTTAATGAATAGTAAATACATTATCTTCCTTATGATTTTCTTAATGATATTTTCTGGCCGGGTGTGGTGGCTCATGCCTATAATCCTAGCACTTTCGAAGGCCAAAGCTGACAGATTGCCTGAGCTCAGGAGTTCGAGAGCAGCCTGGGCAACATGGCAAAACCTCATCTCTACTAAAAATACTATATATATATATATATATATATATGAGCCAGGCGTGGTGGTGCACACCTGTAGTCCCAGCTACTTGGGAGGCTGAGCAGAAGAATATCTTGAACCTGGGAGGTGGAGGTTGCAGTGAGCCATCGTGCCACTGCACTCCAGCCTGGGCAACAGAGCAAGACTCTGTCTCAAATAATAATGATAATATTTTCTTATGCTTACTTTACTGTAAGATTACAGTATACATTACAACATATGCGTTTATTGACTGTTTATGTTATTGATAAGGCTTCTAGTCAACAGTAGGTTACTAGTAATTAAGTTTTTGAGGAGTCAAAAGTTATGTGTGGATTTTCAACTGTGGACTTTGGTGCCTCTAACCCTGTGTTGTTCAGGGGTCAACTGTATATTCTTTCTGTGGTAACATTTTTAGATGTTATAGCCTTTAGACATTAGAAATGGAAATTTAGTTGAACTCGAGTGTTCTTTTCACTTTCTTTGAAAGAATGCCACATAATACTAATTCTGATACCTTTGTAGTATTAGAAAATGATATGATAACCACGTTTCCAGGTAGAAAGATACGAAATGTATTCATAAACTGGATTTTTTGTTGTTGTTAATTTTAACTTTTCTCATCCAAAAGTAACTAGATAAAACTGCTAATGAGAAAACCTCCCAGCTAAAGCCAAAGATTTTACTCCCAGGCCTCATATATAGTTCATTGACTCTTACTTAGGATACCATACTATAAAATTTAACTATCTTTTTCCAAAATGATCAGAACCACCGGCTTAGAAAGAGGTTTGTTCTGCTAGAGGTTTGGCTCCATAACAGCAAAAGTTATAGTCCAATGTCAAGAGAGAAAGAAATAAGGCAGCAGAGACATAATTATAGCATTAGTGAATAAAGTAAAGATGCTTATAACATTCCACCCATCAATAAAAGTTCAAATTATCATTATTAGGTTATGCAATTAAAACAAATATGGGGAAGAGATGCTGCACTTTAGAAAGTTTTCATCAAAAATCATTTAAAAATATAAAAACAAATGGGTTCAAGATGACTGACTAGAAGGGGCTGATGTGTAACACCCTCACAGAAAGGAAACAAAGTGGTGAGTAAATACTGACTGTCCAAGTGAATTGTCTAAGAAACCATATCAGGACTCATCAAGGGAGCAAAGGGACACATGGAGAACAGAGAAGAGTGAAGCTGGGCAGCTGCCCACCCAGGACCAATGTGAAACCAGGAGAAGTTCTGTAACATGGGCAAAGGGTGAGAGAGTGAAAAGCCCTGGGGAATGCACACTTCCTACAGGGACCTGCACAATCCTGGGAATAGGAGAAACCCTATGAGGTTCCTGGACTTCTAGACTGATAGAGAGAACCTCTGGGAGTTTTTGCAGGGCACCGCTTAAGGCCGCAGGGAGCCCAACAGTCCTTGGATCCCTGAGCAGCCCAGCAGTAGCTACTGTAGCCCCAGTGGAGGCCACAGTCATGGTGCTGGGGAGCAGTCAGACTGTACCACTTCTCACCAGACAAAGCTCAGTTTCTGCTTCCAGCACAGTGACCCTGCCCTTGTTTGAACTCTGGGCGGGCACAGCTCTGTGTTCTCCCAGGAAACACCCATATGGCAGACTCCACCCAGCCCCACTGCTCCTAACCAGGCAAGACTTGGGCTCCCAGCACAGTGGCTCTGTCCTTGCCTGAAATCTGTGGGTGGGCACAGCTCCGTATTTTCCCAGGAAACACCCCAATAACAGATCATGTGTCCCCTGCTCCCTGCTGCTCCTAGGCAGGCAAGACTCGCCACCTTGGATGGTACCCAAGCAGTAGAGGAGCCCCTACTCTTATAATACTGAGGGGGTGAGACACCCGAGTTCATTGGTTGGTGGAGGAGCTGATCATGCTTCCTTCTACAGGGTCAGTCTGGGAAGGGTATGGCCTATCTGCCAGCTGTGGCCTCTGCCTGAGGGAGTCCTAAGCCTATAACACCTAACAAAAGAAATGCATACATGGTGCCAGTGATCAGAAGGGGCTCCTCCAGGACACAGAAGTGGACTTGGTGAGGGGGCCATCTCTCTCTTTCCAACCACAGAGCACTACAGCAAACACTGGAATACAAAAGACCTGCATAGCTCAGTGAGAGCCTATCTGCTGGCCATTACTGTTAAGTGTCATCTACTGGATCACAGTCCAAATTACAGCACCAAAAATATTTTGCCAGTATACAGTGCCTGTGAAAATTAAGGCAAAAATTCAGCCACAAATAAAGATGCTGAACATATCTTTGGCCACCTGAAAGCACCCAGAAATGAAGCCAACTCATTATACTCATCTTACATCACAGTTAAAGGAAAGGATCACCAGCCCTCTCAGATGAGAAAGAATCAACACAGGAATTCTGGCAATTAAAAAAAAACAGAGTCCCCTTATCTCTAAAGTAACATACTAGCCCCTCAGAAATGTTTTTAACCACATTATAGTTATAGAATTCAGAATCTGAATGGCAAGGAAGCTCATTGAGATCCAAGAAAAAGTTGAAACCCAATCCAAGGAATCCAAGGAATCCAGTAAAATGATCCAAGAGCTGAAAAATGAAATAGCCATTTTAAGAAAGTACCAAATTGAACTTCTGGAATTGGAGAACTCACTACAAGAATTTCACAATGTAATCAGAAGCATTAACAGAATAGACCAAGCTGAGGAAAGAATGTCAGAGCTTGAAGACTACTTTCATTCAAATCAGTCAGACAAAAATAAAGAAAAAAATGTTTAAAGAACAAAACCTCCAATAAATATGGAATTTTATAAAGAGACCAAATCTATGACTCATTGGCATTCCTGAGAAAGGAGAGAGAGTAAGCAACTTGGAAAACATACTTGAGGATGTAGTTCATGAAAATTATCCCAATCTTGCCAGAGAGGTAGACATGGACATGCAAATTCAGGGAATACAGAGACCCCCTATGAGATACTATACAAGACAATCATCCCCAAGCACATAGTCATCAGGTTCACCAATGTCAACACAAAACAAAACATCTTAAAGGCAGCTAGAGAGAAAGATCAGGCCACTTACAAAAGGAACCCCAATAGGCTAGCAGCAGACCTCTCAGCAGAAACCTTACAAGCTAGAAGAGATAGGGGACCTATTTTCAGCATCCTCAATGAAAAGAAATTCAACCAAGAATCTCATATCCCACCAAACTAAGCTTCATAAGCAAAGGAGAAATAAAATTCTTCTCAGACAAGCAAACACTATGGGAAGTTGTTACCACCAGATGAACCTTACAAGAGGTCCTAAAGGGAATGCTAAACATGGAAATGAAAGACTGATACTTGCTACCACAAAAACACACTTAAGCACATAGATCATAGACAGTATAAAGCAATTAGACAATGAAGTCTACAAAACAACCAGTTAACAACACAATGAGAGTATCAAAATCTTACATGTCAATACTAACCATGAATATAAATGATCTAAGCCCCCCACTTAAAAAGCATAGAGTGGCAAACTGGATAAAGAGATAAGACCCAACTGTCTGCTGCCTTTGAGAGACCCATCTTGCATGTAGTGACACCCACAAGCTGAAAGTAATGAGATGGAGAAAGATCTATCATGCAAAAGGAAAACAAAAAAGAGCAAGTATCACTATTCTTATATCAGATAAGACAGATTTTAAACCAACAACTATCAAGAAGGACAAAGAAGGGCATTACATAATGGCAAAGGGTTCAACTCAACAAGAAGGTGTAACTATCATAAATAAATAAGCACCCAATAGCTGGGCGCGGTGGCTCACGCCTGTAATCCCAGCACTTTGGGAGACCGAGGCAGGTGGATCACGAGGTCAGGAGATCGAGACCATCCTGGCTAGCACAGTGAAACCCTGTCTCTACTAAAAATACAAAAAAATTAGCCAGGCATGGTGGCGGCACCTGTAGTCCCAGCTGCTCAGGAGGCTGAGGAAGGAGAATGGCATGAACCCAGGAGGCGGAGCTGGCACTGAGCCAAGATCACACCACTGCACTCCAGCCTGGTCAACAGAGTGAGACTCTGTCTTAAAAAAATAAATAAATAAATAAAATAAAATAAATAAGCACCCAACATCGTAGCACCCAGATTCATAAAACAAGTTCTTTTTGACCTATGA
The DNA here is from genome assembly GCF_000001405.40 of Homo sapiens. Taxonomy (NCBI): domain Eukaryota; kingdom Metazoa; phylum Chordata; class Mammalia; order Primates; family Hominidae; genus Homo; species Homo sapiens. Next base: position 95,147,014 of record NC_000005.10, on the reverse strand, counting down.
AAAGACTCAGACAGCCACACAATACTAGTGGGGGACTTGAACACCCCACTGATAGCATTAGATCATTGAGGCATAAAACTAACAAAGAAATTCTGTACTTAAACTCTACACTTGACCAACTGGACTTAATAGATCTCTACAGAATACTGCACCCAACAACCACAAAATATACACGGTTTTTATCCAAACATGAATCATATTCTAAGATAGTCCACATGCCCAGCTATAAAACAAGTCTCAACAAGTTAAAAAAAATCATAACAAACACTCTCTTGGACAACAGGGCAATAAAAATAGAAATCAATACCAAGAACATCTCTCAAAACTAGCAAAAACATGGAAATTAAACAACTTGCTCTGAAGTAACTCTTGGGTGAACAACAAAATTAAGGCAAAAATTTAAAAAAAATCTTTAAAATTAATGAAAATAAAGATACAACTTACCAAAATTTTGGGGATGCAGCTAAAGCATATTGAGAGGAAAGTTTATAGTGCTAAATACTTTCATCAAGAAGTTAGAAAGATTTCAAATTAATTACCCACCATAGTACTTACAGGAAGTAGAGGAGAAAATAACAAACCAACATAAAACTTAGCAAAAGAAAAGAACTAAAATCTGGAAATAACTGAATGAAATTGAGATGCAAAAGTTACTACAAAATGTCAATGAAAGCAAGAGTTAGTTCTTGGAAAGAATAAACAAGATGTATAGAACACTAGCTAGATTAACAAAGGAAAAAAAGGATCCAAATAAGCACAATCAGAAATGACAAAGGTGGCATTACAACTGATCCTACAGAAATACAAAAGATCCACAAAGACTATTATGAACACCTCTGTGCACACAAATTTAGAAAATCTTGAGGAAATGGATACATTCTTGGAAACAAATAATCTCCCAAGATTCAAATGAAATTCAAAAGAAAATGAAAATCTGAACGGACCAATAACAACCTCTGAAATTGAATCAGTAATTAAAAAAAAAGAAAAAAGCCATGGACCAGATGGATTAACAGCAGAGTTCTACCAGACATACAAAGAAGAACTGGAACCAATCTCACTGAAACCATTCCAGAAAATGAAACAGGAGAGGCTCCTCCCTAACTGATTTTATGAAGCCAGTATCATCCTGATATCAAAATCTGGCAGAGATGCATGAAAAAAGAAAACTTCAGGAAAATATCCCTGATGAACATAGACACAAAAATTCCCAACAAAATACTAGCAAACTGAATTCAGCAGCATATCAAAAGTTAATTAGTCATGATCAAATATACTGTGTTCCCGGGATGCAAGGTTGGTTCAACATATGCAAACCAATAAATGTGATTCACCACATAAACAGAATAAAAAACAAAACCCATATGATTATCTTAATAGATGTGGAAAAACTGATGAAATCTGATATCCCTTCATGTTCAAAACCCTCAACAGCTTATGCATTGAAGACACATACCTCAAAATAATAAGAGCCATTCATGACAAACCCACAGTCAACATCATACTGAATAGGCAAAAGTTGGAATCATTCCTCTTGAGAACTAGAACAAGATAAGGATGCCCACTTTCACCACTCCTATTCAACATAGTATTGGAAGTCCTGGCCAGTGCAATCAGGCAAGAGAAAGAAATAAAAGACATCCAAATAGGAAAAGAAGTCAAAGTATCTCCCTCTGCTGAATATATAATTCTATACCTAGAAAACCCCAAAAGACTGCACCAAAATGTTCCTGGAGCTGATAAATGACTTCAGTAAACTTTCAGTATACAAAATCAAATACAAAAATCAGTAACATTTCTATACACCAATAACATCCTAGCTCTGAGCCAAATCAAGAACACAATCCCATTTAAAATAGCTGCAAAAAATTGAAGTATCTAAGAATGCATCTAAACAAGGAGGTGATAGATCTCTACAAGGAGAACCATAAAACTGCTGAAAGAAATCATAGATGGCACAAATAAATGGAAGAGTATTCCATGCTCATGGATTAGAAGAATCAATATCATTAAAATGGCCATATTTCCCAAAGCAATTTACAGATTCAATGCCATCTCTATCAAAATATCAACGTCATTTTTTCCACAGAAGTAGGAAAAAAACTATTCCAAAATTCATATGGAACCAAAATATCCAAAATAACCCTAAGTAAGAAGAACAATGTCAAAGGCATTATGTGACCTAACTTCCCACTATACTACAAGGCTATAGTAACCAAAACAGCATGGGACTATTATAAAAACAGATACACAGACCAATGGAACAGAGTAGAGAACTCAGAAATAAAGTCACAGAGGTACAACCATCTGATCATTGACAAAGCTGACAAAAATGAGCAATGGTGAAATGATTCCCTATTTAATAAATGGCGTTGGGATAACTGGTTAGTCCTATGCAGAAGGATGAAACTAGACTCATAAAACCCCTACATTCCACCATATACAGTAACTAACTCAAGATGGATTAAACATTTAAGGGTAAGACCTCAAACTGTAAAAAACAAAGCCGAAAATACTCTTCTTAACACTGGCTTTGGAAAATAATTGATGGCTAAGTCTCCAAAAGCAACTGCAACAAAAACAAAAATTGACAAGTGGAAACTAAACAAACTAAACAGCATTTGCACACCCAAAGAAATTATCAACAGAGTAAGCAGACAGCCTATGGAATGGAAGAAAATATTCATAAACTATGCATCTGACAAAGATCTGTTATCCAGAGTCTACAAGGAACTTAAATCCACAAACAAAAACCAAATAATTCAATTAAAAAATGGGCAAAGGACATGAACAGATACTTTTCAAAAGAAGACATACAAGCGGCCAACAAATATATGAAAAAGTGCTTAACATTACTAATCATTAGAGAAATGCAAATCAAAACCACAGTGAGATACCAACTCACACCAGTCAGAATAACACTTATTAAAAAGTCAAAAGATAGTAGATGCTGGTTAGGCTGCAGAGAAAAGGGAACTCTTAGACACTGTTCGTAGGAATGCAAATTAGTTCAGTCACTGTGGAATGAATGCAGTTTGGAGATTTCTCAAAGAACTTCAAACAGAACTACCATTTGACCCAGCAATCCCATTACTAAATATATACCCAAAGAAAAATAAATTTTCTACATAAAAGATACATGCACTTCTATGTTCATCACTGTGCTAGTCACAAAAACAAAGACATGGAATCAACTTAGGTGCCTAGCAACAGTGGACTGGATAAAGAAAATATGGTACATACACTCCATGGAATAATATGCAGCCATAAAAAGAACAAGATCATGTCCTTTGCAGCAACATGGATGCAGCTGGAGGCCATTATTCCAAGTGAATTAATGCAGGAACAGAAAACCAAATGCCGCATGTACTCACATGTAAGTGGGAGCTAAAATTAAATACAAATTGACACAAAGATGGAAACGGTAGAAACTGGTGACTATTAGAGGAGGAAGGGAGGGAGGGGAAGATGGGCTGAAAAACTGCCTATTGGGTACTATGCTTACTACCATCTGTACCCCAAACCATGGAATCACACAATATACCCGGGTAAAAAACCTGCACATGTACTCTCTGAATCAAAAAATAAACTATTTAAACACTGCTTAAATCAGCTGAGGAGTTGCATTTCTGGCTCCTAGAAATTTTATTTATGAATGTAAAACAGTATATTTTACAACTTTACAGCAAGATGTGTTGTTTGTAGCAAATTGGGTTAATTTGTGACCTGAAGAATAGGAAAAATTTTTGTTAAAACCTATGAGCCTATTGGTGAGAAAGAAGCCTGTTTCCCATGAATAATTTAATAAAGATAAACTGAGCTGCATGCCATTCTTCTATATTCTGCTACCAAGGATGAGCAGGGCTTCATGGTGGGCTGGTGTCCTGTGGAAGGAGGAATGCCTATAATACATGGTAACTGTCTTTGGTGTAGTGAAAGTGGATGCTTCTTAGTAACCCATATTCTTGTTGCTTTTTGGCCATTCTGTCTTTCCTTTTAGAATTTTAATTTTCTTGTTATGAAAAAAACAGTATATTTTATTTGCACAGTGGTGTTTATAGTTTATAATTGTCTTGCATGTCCATCATATTTAAAGCACTAGCTGTTTGTTCACCGGCTCGAGTTGCTCCATGACTTTAGCTACATAGTTTATCTCCTCCCATACCCTTACTCTTTTTCTTTTAAAAATATTATTTTATTTATTAGTGGATAATCAAGGTTTCATGCTATCTATGCTGTGTTGGAGGTGAAAGATTCAGGGCAATTGTTGGTCAGAGGCCGGTGAGCTCTTTTCATTCCCATTGATTCTATTCCCGTAGATGGTGAATTTTGACTTGGAAACCAGTTTTTATTAAGTTCTTAAAAATTTATTCAACAGAGGTTTAATTTAAAGGTTAGCTTTTCATGACTTTTTTCTTCCAGTCCCTGCTTGTATTGTATTTCCTTTCTTTATCCACAGTGACTATAATGATGGAAAAGACAATCGTGATTTTTGGTTTTATGGGAACTGAAGACTTTGATCACATATGTCTGCAGGGAAATGTGACATAGGGCCTAAACTGAAAAGAAATTTCCAAGCATGCTGGGGAGTTGTTCCTTATATAGAAATCTCATGTTTGATTCCTAATTATAATCTCGTGTTCTATTGTAAAAAGTTTCCTGTTAGCTTTATTTCTTGGCAGACAGCTCAAATTAGTAAAAACAATAGAGACGTATCATAAGCCACACTTCTTCTTATCTGGAGACTTGGCAATTTGGAGAATTACATGGTGTTTTTTTCTGGAGACAATGACCAAGCTAAAATCTGTGTTGTTAAAATCCCTAATAATTGAAGTTAACTTTACATATAGCCTTCATGAGACCTGCATTAGAAACATTAGACAATTATATAATAAAAAGAAATAGTGGGGAAAATTCTTATGTCAAGTTCATCTGAGTCAATGAAGAAATAATTTTGAAATGTTTTTTGAAAGGAATGAAGTTTTATCTCCTTTCATTTGTAGTAGCTCTTCTTGAAAAACATTTTTAAGCATATAGTAGATGACTTGTCATTGTTGAAAGTGGAAACTGGTAGTAAGTAAAGGCTTATTATACTTATTCAGATAGTTTTTATTAAAGTCTTTACCAATAACTTTTCTAAGAAAGTGATCAGCATGAAGTTTATTGCCTATTTGCCTAACACAAGTGTCTGAACTACATTAATAAAAATCCTGCTCTAAACATATTTTATGTTTTTATATGAAAACCAGCACTGGCACACCAGAAAAAAAGAAAGAAAAGTAGGATAGAAGAAAGGAAGGAAGGGAGGGAGGGAGAGAGAAAGATGGGGTAGGGAGAGCAAGGAGAAAGAGAAATGAAATCAAGAAGACAATGAAGATGAGCAGAACAGTGATGATCAGATCCAGGGACATGAAGGCATTCTTTTGACACTTCGGTATCAGGTAACAAAAAGTAAAACACAATGAAACTATCTAGGACTTTGCCTTCAAAAAATAGCCAAACTCTCATGTTGTTGCACACATACAACAGTGACCTAAATTGAGCCAGAGTCAGAGAATACCCCAGCTGTGTTCACAAGGGCTAGACGCTGAGAGGCAGATATTCCAGATTTAATCTGCAGAGTAACTGTAGGTATTTAGTGGATTACTGAAGTGTTTTTAAAACAAACTGTGGTCTTGAGTAACCAGCATACGCCCGTGGCAATCATTTTACACATTTTATTTGCTTCATCAAATTCTTTTAAATGTCTGTAACTAAAGCAAAGGTTAACTTTTGATAAGAGATTCCAAATTTATACAATCCAAATTAGTGAGATTTTACTTGAATGTCAAAAGTTATGTATCTTACTCTTAGTTAATAAGCCTGAGTAAGCTGAAGTGAAAAAAGTTTCAAATCAGTATAACCCCGTCTTTAAGGTTTTTAGGAAAGAGAGATGGCATAGGTAAACTCCTCTACCGTGAAGGTGAGCTGATGATATTCTTGATAAGGATAGATACACCAAGTTTCTTGGACTTGTCTTATGCCTCCTCCATTAGAAACCACTTCATTCTGAAACTGTGATCATAGAAGGGATGCATAATCTTTTCTAGTACATTCTCGTTAAATGGCACTTTTTTTTTTTTTTTTTTTTTTTTTGAGACGGAGTCTCGCTCTGTCGCCCAGGCTGGAGTGCAGTGGCGCAATCTCTGCTCACTGCAAGCTCCGCCTCCTGGGTTCACGCCATTCTCCTGCCTCAGCCTCCCGAGTAGCTGGGACTGCAGGTGCCCACCACCACACCCGGCTAATTTTTTTTTTTTTTTTTTTTTTTTTTTTTTTTTTTTTAGTAGGGACAGGGTTTCACGGTGTTAGCCAGGATGGTCTCGATCTCCTGCCTCGTGATCCACCCGCCTCGGCCTCCCGAAGTACTGGGATTACAGGCGTGAGCCATCGCGCCCGGCCGTTAAATGGTTCTTAAAGCAAAAAAATAGCCCAAAAGTTTTGTGACAGCAGTTTTTGAGAGACTGAAAAGAATATGCTTTTACCCTTTAAAATTTTCAAATCTTCAAAATACCAGTCTATTTTAAAAGTTTCTGCTTAGAATAATTTGCTGTTTGATGAAAATGCCTTCTGTCCTCCTAAGGTCTCTTCTGGACTATAGAGAAGTAACAAAAGTACCAATTGTGTGCATTTTTTCCCGTGTTACTAATTGCCTTAAACACCTTCAATATCCTGCTGCAAAGTCCCGGGTTGCAGATGAGGACATGAATGATAGCTGGCACTGTGGAAAACAGGACCAGAATCAATGAAACAGATGGCAAAAAACACATTTTTGCAAATATAAATTTTTTTGAAGAGAGAGTGAATGATTACTTTCCTGGAGGCAAAAGCCTATCCATCCTCTCTAGAAATGAGATGCCTTTTCTGCAATTCCAAATCTTGTCTGCATTGGAAGCATGAGTGTCATTGGAAGGTAGAGGTCAAGCTGAGATGAAAGTGGGTTTAGCTTTGGATGAGGGGATTCCAGCATGGAAGAGCAGCTCAGGGAGACCATCAAGTTCTCTTTAAGCTACACTTTTAAATTTAATGATTTTGATGTTTTTCTGTTTCTTCTCTGGATCATTTTATTTTTAAAGCAAAGCTTGTAAATATTAAAGTTGATTACCATTCCGTTATTCATTTATTATTCAACCATTTATTAAGCCCTATGCATCAGGCTGTGGGCTAGATAATAAGACAAAAATTAAGGAAAATTTTCACTTTTAAGGAGCTCTCAGTTTAGTGGCAAATGGGGCCAATACCACTTAACATTGTTCATAAGGAAACAGCTTCTGTGGATCTGCAGTTGTTTAGAGTTAGATGTGTTCTTGGATATGTAACTAAAAATAGAAACCTTTGATCTAGAAATTAACCTTTGGTGAGTAGCAAGAATTTATCTTTTTAAAATTAACTTTTTAAAATAAGGTTGATTTTGAGACTCCTTTTAAAAATTCCTTTGGCTAAAATAGCTTTGGAAAAAAAGGGGAAAATGTAAAAAAAGAAGCTCTCTTGTTCCCTAAGTGAGAGGCAAAGATATTGCAACAGGCAAATCTTGCTCTCACCTGCACTCATTTTCATTTGACATGGTGCAATGTTTAGATCTTTTTATTTCCTTAAGAAATTTGCATTTGCCGGAAAGAAAAGCATGCAAATATCTGTAAATCTCTAACCCTGTTTCCTCATGTTGGGTATATTCTCACAAAGCCTTCTAGATTACAAAGACATTAAGAATAATATAATTCAGCTCTATTTTCTTTGTTTTGAGCAGCAAATGTTTCTGGCAATTAGCATGCATCCATTAATTTTCTATGCTTAGAGTTTTTATTTTGGGCTTTAACATGAAGATCTAACTTTTTTGATGGATGTGTTCAATCATAATTATGTTTCTTAGCTGATGTTAAACTAATACGACTATTTGAAAGGAAAAAAAAACCCTAAATGTTTTATACAAGTTCTAAATATTAAATATTTTGAACATATAAACTCTAATTTTAAGATCACACTGACAACCTTATAATGTGTGTGTGTATGTGTGTATAATATACAGATAGAGAAACAGATCTAAATGAAGACTGTGACAAATTCGACACATCAGAAAAAGAATTAATTGAAAATAACTGATAATGAGATTGTCCACATACATTACAACTAGTTAAAAATTGCCTATCCAGCTAACGGGCAGGGTGTACTTTGCACACTAGAGGCAGTGACAACACCCTAAATGCACAAAGAAAAGATAAAGAAGATAATAATACCTTGTGATAAGGAATCCAGAGAGGGATGTGAGAGGGAGCAGCCGGTGGAGTGAGGGCAGCTGGAGGGACGGCGGCTCACATGGCAGTCAGTGGTGGTCTCTGTGAGGGGGTCATTCCTTTGGTTAGCAGACCTATTCCTGGACTCTTCAGAGGCCCTTCCAGACCAGTAACACTCATTCCAGGAAACCTCTCTTTAAATAGTTTGCTGTTTGTATAATAAGGCATTTTAGAAAGGAAACTTAAACGGAAAGAACAGATGATTCTTTGTGTATGCGACTAATTTAGTTTCCATCATTATGACACTTGCTCTTCTAGAAAGTTACAGGAGAGGATAGTGAGAAAAACCTGGATGGAGATTGACAAGGCTGTGTTCTTATTCAGCTCCACTGCTGCCATCTTCATAAGCTCTCTGGGCCTTGTTTTCTCATCTAAAAAGTGGCGCAGCTAGTCTCAATGCTCATATATTCCCATCGAGCTCCAAAACACATATTATTTTAATGTCGGGGGGGGGTTGCATCTCACAGGAAAGTCTATGAATGCATCTTGGTACACAATCATAGTGAGTTCAGTAGCAGACATAGCACAGTTCTTCTCCTGGGAGAATGAGAAAAGAGCATGACTTGAAATTACTGTAAAAGATGACCAGAAAAACAAAAGTGGGAGAAAAACACTTCCTATTGAAAAAAAAATTTGAAGTAATCTGAAAACACATTTGCGTGATTGTTATCTAGAACTGGAATTTCAGTGTTTTCTGTAGGACTTTTATTAAGTATCATATTTCCTGTAATTCAATAGTCATACTATTCAATAGTAATATTGAATAGTACTCAGTAAATGTTTTCTAAGAACATGTTGCTTGCAAATCATCAAGTTTGGTTTGGCAGGGAATCAATATGTTCCCCACATTAGGGAAACAGCCTTTTTTGGTGATTGAGCAGACATTAAAAAAGCAGAATTATTAATTCATTTATGATGTTTGCTTTATTCCACAAATATTTGAAGCAGCTTACAATAATGTATATACTAATAGACAATCAGAATAAGGGAAAATATAGATGAAATGGAAAACAATATTAGACTAGAGATCTACATACAAGCAATAGATTTCCACAAATGTGCCACAGTTGAGGTGAAATTTTGTCTTTGATCTTAGTAGTGGCCAAAGCTAAAAGAGAAGTTCAATGTCCATGCAAATAAGAGGATGTCAACTCTTTAAGAGAGGCAAAATCTTTGCTAGAATCTAGACCTGAAAGATATTGCATGCAACTTTAGTTTTGGGGGATACTGTTTAATGATGATATGTATTGAGCACTTACTGTGTGCTAGGCATGGTACAAAGTGTTTTACAAGCATTCTCTCATAAATCTTCACAGCAACTCTGTGAGCCAGGGACTATCGTGTTATTGACGACAATGCTGAGGCTTGGAGAATCCAATAAACTTTACATAATACATAGTAACAACTGGAAGCAGTGCTTGAACAATTGCGGAATCTATCCTCTTCATCACTAGGTTATACTTCCCCCGAAGCAAGCTTCCTGCCTCCTCTAGTGAGGCTCTAGGTCCTAAGCTACAAGCCAGCAACAAATACAGCACTAGATTTCATAAGGCTGTTGCTTATAACATCGCTGAAGGTAAGCAGGGGGCATCACACTGAAGGAATTCAGGAAAGAATTTCTGCTATAAGCTGAAAATGAATAAGTGAAATACCTTAGTAATTCTTTTCATTGTTGAGGTTTTAAACCTAGGCTGTCTAGATGAGTGGGTGGCATATACTTCACAAATAACCTTTACAAAATATAATTTTTCTCCATTGTAGTCTTGATGAAATTGATCAGGAAATAGTTCCAGGCAAGAGTCTGAAGTTACTCTTTGTTGACTGAAAGGCAGATCAATGTGAGGCAGGAAGATGTAGTGACTATTGCTCTGCCTTGAAGGCATCTAGACCTCTGTTAGTGCTCTGGCTGTGCCTCTTCCTAATTGTGAGATTCTGGACCAGGTACACAAATCTCCTTGTCTCAGTTTCTTCATCCGTAAAATAGGGATACTAATAGTATTTACATATAAAATTATTGTAAAGATTAAAAACATAGAGTCGGACACATTGTAAACTCTATTGTGAGCTAGAGCGTCTTCTCTCACTCTTCTCTCTTCTTGACTTCCTTCCGCAAAGATTTCCTCCCTTCCCCACTTCCCTCCCCCTTGAATTTTCCCTGTCCCCAACTTTTTTCCTCGCCACTTCATCTCTGTCTCCAGCTTCCCGTTTTCCATCTTCCTTCTCCTCTCCCTCTTCATCCCAATTCATCTTTTACATAATTGAGCAGATAGCTTAACTTAACATCTCATCACAAATCAGAGATACCAAGCCTGAACCCTTCCTGAATGAATAGAGCCATTTGCTTAAGAGACCAGCCCAAAGGATAACAAGAATTGTCTGGGAAGACAAAGGAAGTAAAATGTTTTGGGGGAGTACACAGGAGCAAGTTATTTCTTCTTGTGGGTGTTAGGGAAGGATTCACAGAGGAGTGATATTTCATTGGGTCTTCAGAAATAAGACCAGTGGATAAGGTTGAAGAGAGGGAGAAGGGATACCAAGGCTTAGAAATAATGATTACCAAGACATGTACATGAGGAGAAGCAAGTGCTTAAATGTTCTGGGAAGGTAGAAGGCTGATGCTATGCAGGAGATGAGGATAATAAAGTAGTTTAGGGACAGATTTTAAAACCTACTTCAATTATATTGAAATCTACTCTAATTGTAAGCTTCCAAGTGGATGCCAGAGTTGGCTTTCAATACATTTGCTTGTGATTCTCTGAAATGTATAATGTTTAATGAACTGATTTGGAACAATAAACCAGTTTTTACTGTAGTTGTTTTCAGTTTATTGAACCAAAATACTATTATGCTTACTGCATTAGTCAGGGTTCCCTAGAGGGACAGAACTAATAGGACAGACACATATATATAAAGGGGAGTTTATTAAGTATTAACTTACACAAACACAATGTCCCACAATAGGTTGTCTGCAAGCTTGAGGAGCATGGAGAGCCAGTCCGAGTCTCAAAACTGAAGAACTTGGAGAATGATGTTTGAGGGCAGGAAGCATCCAACACGGGAGAAAGATGTAGGCTGGGAGGCTAGGCCAGTCTTGCTTCTTCACGTTTTTCTGCCTGCTTTATATTCGATGGCAGCTGATCAGATTGTCTGCCTTCCCCAGCCCACTGACTCAAATGTTAATCTCCTTTGCCAGCACCCTCACAGATACACCTGGGAACAATACTTTGCATCCTTCAGTCCAATCAAGTTGACACTCAGTATCAACCATCACACTAAAGCTAATGATATTTCATTCAACTTGAAAACTTGTTTATTTTATAGGACTTTTTGGATTCAGGTTATAAACAATAAGTCATAGTTATCATTAATATTCTCAATTCACCACCATAGTGTATATTTTTCTTTCTTTCTTTGTGATTTGTTGATATTATGGTCCCTGACTGAAAAGTTGAGAATATGTATTCTTATTATCTACTATATCTTTCCAGAGTTATAGAATCTGTCTCCATATTTGTTTTGCAAACATAATTTCTTTTCTTTCAGATTTGTTTCTTTATACTGGTATTGGAACTATGCCTGATCTAGTGAAATACTGATTTTCACATACCTCAGTATCTGAATCTGACCTTTTTTTTTTCTGATCTGGAAAAAGAAGGAATTTTTTTTTTTTTTTTTTTTTTTTTTTTTTTTTTTTTGGCCATCAGGCAACAGTAAATCGAGATCCTTGAAGAGCAATGGAACTTAGAGGTTGTATTAAACCACAATTGCTTTCCAGAGACTGCCTATTATTTGGTCAAAAACAGTAACTTCAATTGTATTTTGAAAACTGAGAAGAAAGATTATTTTAATTAATTTATTATCTTCTGTAGTAAATTATTACAGTAATAGCTTCCAGTTAATCCAGCCTACCTGTATCATTGTCCCACTCTGACTCTGAGCTTGGCCATGTGATTTCCTTTGACCTGTATTAGCAAAGTGTTGCAAGCAGAGCTTTCAAGGGCACTTTAGCACAGGAGCTCTGTTTCTCTTGCTGCTTTTGGAACCCAGCTTTTGTGCAAAGAAGCCCTGGCTAGCCTGCTGGAGACCTGTGGCCAAGATGATAGCCAGCATCAACATAAGGGAGTGAGGCCTTCCTAGGCCATCCTGCCCCACCTGAAAAGCGGAAGGACTGCAGCTGCACGAGTGACTGAATCAGCAGAACTGACTGGCTGAATCCGCCCCAAATTGCCAACCCACTGAATTCTTGAGTTAATAAGGTGATTGTTGTTTTAAACCACTAAGCTGGAATGGTTTGTTCCACAGCAATACTGATACATTGTATGCCATTCTTTTATATGTAATCTTGCCTATAATGTGTGAACATTTGTACATATATCAGAATTTGGGCCAGATAAAATATTCAAATGCTTTTAGTGGAATCATGTTTAATAACTCAAGATATCATGAAAAATAGAGTTTCAAAAATCATAAACATACTACACTGATTAAAACACTTAACATTGGAAAAATAATGATCCGATAAATATTTACTCATTGTTTCCAATCTCACCTATTTATAGAATAGATTTGAAGCATCCTATGGTATTAAAACATGAAGATCCAAGGTAATTAAAGAGTAGAACAAGAATCAATTCAGAAGATCAGACAAACAGATGAAAAGTACGTGCCAAGCATGCACTAATTATTAGGATAAGGAGGTCAGCTTTGGTCCAACCTTCTTGATAGCCAAGAAACAGTGAAAATTTGGGGTTTTTACAGTTCTTATTCAAGTAGGAAGCAGAAAAATTCTTCTGAGGAACAAACCTTTTTTCTTTCCGTAGAAGAAACTTACTACATGGACCTTAATTGCAGACAATAGGTTTTTTATGAGAGTGGTCCCTGCTTATCTGTGGCTTCACTTTCCAGTTTCAGTCACCCATGGTTAACCAGAGCTCAAAAATACGTGAGTACAGTACAGTAAGATATTTTAAGAGAGGCTACATTCATACAATGTTTATTACAGTGTATTGTTTTATTTTATTTATTTATTTTTTGAGATGGAATCTTGCTCTGTTACCCAGGCTGGAGTGCAATGGCACGATCTCGGCTCACTGCAACCTTCACCTCCCAGGTTGAAGTGATTCTTCTGCCTCAGCCTCCCAAGTAGCTGGGACTACAGGCATGTGCCGCCACACCCGGCTAATTTTTTGTATTTTTAGTAGAGACGGGGTTTTGCCATGTTGGCCAGGCTGGTCTCAAACTCCTGACCTCGGCCTCCCAAAGTACTGGGATTACAGGCATGAGCCACTGCACCCGGCCTTATTACAGTATATTGTTATAGCTCCATTTTATTATTAGTTATTGCTAATCTCTTAATTTATAAATTAAACTTTATGATAGATATCTTTGTATAGGAAAGAACATAATGTATATGTATCATTCAGTGCTATCCATGGTTTCAAGTATCCAGTGGGGGTCTTGAAACATATCCCCTGTAGATAAAGGGAAGCTACTGTATGGTTTTACAAAAGTTATACCAATATTTTTCTAATGGGCATTTTTTATATTGTCTCCCATAAAAAGCTTAAGAATGAACGTATTTATGATCAAATCTTAAATCACCTCAGGACTTCTTTAAAGGGACCAGGTACTTAAGTGTGATGATTTTTTATGAGTTCTTCAGGTTAATGAAAGAGCTTGGTCACAATCTAGCTCCTAACCTGGTTCTAACAAGTGATTAGCACTTGAGATGTGAGTGCAGCATGGAGGAATGTACTTATTGAGCGAGGGGTCAGCACTAGGAACTTGAGGGACTATGGTGATCAAAACATCCATGATCCCTGCCCTCATTTTACATAGGTTAGTAAAGAGACAAGTATAAATCAAGTAGTCACCCAATATGTAACCATGCACAGTGATACATGCTACAAAGCCAAAGCTCATGAGACTTCTTCCCAATAGTGAGAGAAGGCTGCCCCGAGGAAATGATGTAAGCTGGGATCTCCTTGGTGAGATAGTGCTACCAGGTGAAAGGAGGGACAGTGGGGGGACAGCACACCTGGCAGAGGATAGAGCGGTTTGCCAAAGTGCTGAGGTCGCGGGACTGCAGAGCCGACGAGTCAGGGATCTGTAAGAAGGCAACTGCGCCTGAGATGAAGCTGCAGCCATCCGGCCTTCCGCACACTCATTTCTGCACATAGGAATTCTATCGGAATACTTCTCTGTTGTTTTATGCATTTTCCAGGTTTTCTCCATTTAGCACTTAATATTTCTGTATTGGAAAAAAATAGTTGTTTGTAAAAGATAGCCCTGTGAAATACAAAGAAGTGTCACTTTGCTGATTCTTCATGGCTTTGCCTCCTGTTGTGCTGAGTGTCCTAACTATACCAGTGGCACTTGATTTTAAAAATTAATTAAATCAGCAAGTGCTGGCAAAACAAAACACTGTCAAATGTGATTAGCCAAATTCCTCTTGAGAAGCAAGAGATGTTACAGAATGTTACTGGGGCTCCCTTCAATTCTGGTGACTGTAATGAGAGATTTTTTGCTGTTGTTAATTCTCTACGGAATTGTCATAACTCTTCATCCTTTCAGGATGGGTTTGACTTGAGAAAAGAGCTAAAAGCCATTTGGAACAAATTTCAATAAAGAAAATAGATAATCACATTGAAAAATGATGGTTATAGTGAAAAGTAAACTATATAAGGTAATAAGACTAATTTCTTGTGTGGCTCATAAACTGGGGCTTTAAAGAGTCTAAATATTTTTGAGTAATAGCATAATTGGAATAAGCCTAGAGTCCCCAAGGTGACAATTTCAAGGGACAACACACTTAAGTAATTAGAATTTTGGAATGCATGTTTTAAAAAATCAGTTTGCTTGATTTAATGAGATATATTTATTCATTCATTCAACCAGCCTTTATTGAATGACTACTCTGGGAACAGTTCTATTTTAGGTGCTTGGGATGGATCAAGGAATAAAACAGACAGAGATCCCTGTCCTAGAGGAATTTACATTTTAGTGTCATATAGAGAGATAAAGAGTAAATGAAATAAGTAAAGAAATCATAAATTATGTTAGAAGTATAACTACGATGACAAAAAAGAAAAAAAAATAGATCAGAGCAAAGATGATAAGAAATGTACCAGACTTATGCACCTAATATCATAAAACCAAAACCTGGCCCATCCTTTTCATTTATGATCTCAGCCTTGTACACTAAATAGTTTTAACTCTTGTGTTATATTATTAACTCTCACAATCTTTTGATCCAGTGAGTAAGGGAAAAGTCCTCAGCAACAAAATCTAGCCACATGAACAGAATCAGGTCTATTAAAATCAAGCCCAGTCTCCTTGCTTCACATTTTCAGGGGCTCAGCCTGAAACACAATTAACAAATGTGTTTCTCCCATGCTCAGCCTTGATGTTTCTCTCTTGCTCCTGCTTGCAGTGCCTCAGAGTTGAGAGTTAGGCACAAGTAGTGCAAGAAAGGCAATGTTTCCTTCCTTGTTGTCAAAGGCAACTCTGACAACATTGAGATCTGGAAAAGCACTCTATTTGTTGCTCTGTTACCACCAAAGAGCCTGAGAGTATTTCAGTGGGGCAAAGGGAAATGATGGACAGCGACATTGGCCACTAGCAGTTCTCAGAATGGATTGAATACTGTGAACCACCTAATTTTTAAGCATGGGTTAGATTAACTTTGTTAAAACAAAACAAAACCAAAACGTGTCCCGGAATTTTCCTCAAACAAATGTAAAGGCAGTTAAAATAATTTATTGATTGAATAATTCTTACCCTGAAATTCTAATTCCTTGCACCTAGCCAATTGTGTCCCCATTCTCAAAAATTCATATGTTGAAGTCCTAACCCCCAGCACTTCAGAATGTGACTGTATTTGAAAATAAGACCTTTGAAAAGGTAATTAAACTGAAATGAAGTCATTAGGGTAGGTGATAATCCCGTATGATTGGGGTCCTTCTAAGAGGAGGAAATTTGGCCACAGACACACAGAGGGACACAGGGAGAAGACAGCCATCGACAAGCCAAGAAGAGAGGCCTCAGAAGAAACCAACCCTGCCAACACTTTGATCTTGGACTTCTAGCTCCCAGGACTGTGAGAAAATGCATCTCTGTTTAAGCCACCCACACTGTGACATTTTGTTACAGCAGCCTTAGCAAACTAATACACTGAAAAATAAGCTGGGTCTGGAATCCATATCTTATTGGTTGTTAGCTATCAAAATAATTTAAAACTTTACCCTAGCATACATACAAGCCAGTTGTTGCTGCTACCTGTCTCTCTCACTCCCCATTTTATGTCTCTTGTCAGTGGAAACGAAGCACCAGTGCTTTGCTTATGAACTTACTGTCAGAAACCCATCCCACCTCATTTACCTCAAAGATTCCAGGAGGTAGGAGATAGGAGACACGTTTTTCTTACTGTATTAATCAGGCTTCTTCAACAGAATCAATAGGATTTACATAGATAGATAAGAGGAGTTTATTATGGGAATTGGTTCCTCATTATGGAAGCTGAGAAGTTGTCTGCAAGCCAGAGAGCCAGGAAAGTCAGTGGTATAATTCAGCCCTATTTCTAAGGTCCGAGAAGCTGGGGGACAGGGGGTGATACTGGTGTAAATCCTGGAGTCCAAAGGTCTGAAAAGCAGAAGCACTGATGTCCAAGGACAGGAGAAGATGGATGTTCCAATTCAAGGAGAGAGACAAAAAATTTGCCCATCCTCTGGCTGGGCAGGGTGGCTCATGCCAGTAATCCCAGTACTCTGGGAGGCCAAGGCAGGTGGATCGCCTGAGGTCAGGAGTTCGAGACCAGTCTGGCCAACACAGCGAAACCCTGTCTCTATTAAAAAGACAAAAATTAGCCAGGCATGGTGGCAGGTGCCTGTAATCCCAGCTACTCGGGAGACTGGGGCAGGGAGAATTGCTCGAACCCAGAAGGCGGAGGTTGCAGTGAGCCAAGATTGCGCCACTGCACTCCAGCCTGGGTGACAGAGCGAGACTTTGTCTCAAAAAAAAAAGAAAATGTGCCCATCCTCTGCCTTTTTGTTCTCTCTGAGCCCTCAAGGATTGAATAAATCTGTCTACATTGATCTTCTCTACTCAGTTTACTGATTTAAGTGCTAATCTCTTCTAGAAATGTACTCACAGACATACTCAGAAGTAATGTTTTACCATCTGTTTGGGCATCCGTTAGCCCTGTCAAGTTGACACAGAAAATTAACCAACATACTCACAAAAATACTGTGGAGCCATGCTCTGCTATGTGCCCTTTATTTGGCAGGTTAGGTAACTACTCTTGACAGAGGCTAAATGAAGACCAAGCGTGATGAACCATCTAGGAGAACACACTTCAGTCAGATAGTTTTCTGAGTTACATTTATCCCGTGCACTTGACAAAATTGATAAAACTTGCTTCAGATAAAGAAGCACTGAAAAATAAAAATACAATAACTTGATTTTTGCCCCCAGTGCTATCCCTCTTCTGTGAGATGTTCTTGAGCTAGTATTCACTTTAACCTTGCATGAAGTTTAGTAAAGAGTCTTTCTTTGATCTTTTGAAGACACTGGATACTTTGGTTTCCTTACTGTTTCATAAGCATGGATCTAATTTCATTTTCCCAATTAAACCTGAGCAATTATATATTTAGGCATCCTTTGCTCCTTTAGCTCTCTCCATTCCCAAACTTTTCCAGTTATTTTTTTCTTTGTCTCTTTTGGGGCGTTTCTTATTCCTCTTGCTGCTTAAATGTTGGTGTTCCCCAGGTTGCCACTTAGGGCCACTTTACATTGTTATTGTTGAAAGGGCTCTCGTCCACACTTTTTTGTAAACAGCTTTGTTGAGATATAATTCACATACTGTACAATTCATTTGTTGGAAGTATGTAATTCTTGCCTTTTAGTATATTCACAGAGTCGTGCATTGATCGCACAACCCGCTTTAGAATGTTTTCATTCACCCAAGAAGAAATCCTGTGCCCCTTAGTTATCACTCCCTAGTCTCTCCATCCTTCCTCCCCTTCCCCAGTCCTAAGCAACCACTAATCCACTTTCTGTCTACATAGATTTGCCTATTCTGAATATTTCATACAAATGGAATCATACAATACGTGGCCCTTTGTGACTGGCTTCTTTCACTTAGCATTATATTTTTAAGGTTCATCCATGTTGTAGCATGTATCAGTACTTCATTTCTTTAAGACTAAATAATATTCCCTTGTACATGTATACCACATTCTACTTACCCATTCATCAGTTGATGGGCATTTAAGTTGTTCCACTTTTTGGCTGTTATACATAATGCTAACATGAATGTTTATGTACAGTTTTGTGTGTACATATGTTTTTATTTCTCTTGCACATATAATTGCTCGGTCATATGGTAATTCTATATCTAGCCATTGAAGAATACTTTGAAGAACTGCTAGATTATTTTCCAAAGTTCTCATCTCTTCTTGTGGTTTGGGCCACCATAACTGGCTTTGATCATGGTCGTGTACCTTGCCATGGAGCTTTAGACAAGTGCAGGGTATTCACTATTGACTATACTTTTTCCTGTTTAGCCTTCCAGCCTTTAGCATTTTGCTCCTCAAGCCAACCCCTTCATAGGAGCCAGAGTGAACTGTCAAAAATACTTATCTAGGCAAGTCGTTTTCCTGTTTTAAGCCCTCGCATGGCTTTCTAGTATAACTTGATGGAGCCTAAGCCCTCTGTAACAAGGTGCAGAAGAACACCTACCATCTGGTCGCTGCCCAGCTCTCCAGCCTTGTCTTTCTCTCCTCCCTGCCTCCCATTCAGATTGCACCAGCACTTTATGGCTCCAGTTCCCCTTAGACATTATGCCTCCATCTTTGCACTTAAATCATACACATCTGCTTCTAGGCCCAGTCTGGGTTATTTTCAATTTGAGGTTTTTGGAGGTCACATTTGACTTTAAAGGTAAAAAGTTGAAGGATATTTACAGTACGGGTTGGAGTCATCTGCTGACCACTCACTCTCGTTGGATGTTTCAGGAGCTTCCTTCCCCGGTTCTTTTTCCTGGACACTGACCCCTGCATTCACAAGCCCGCAATCTGGGGTCAGTCCACCTCCTCTGTGCTCCTTAATGACTCGATGGGTTGTTAGAACGTTGAAGTACTTCCTCTCTCCTTGGCAAATAGATGCTCTTCCAAGTTGCCCAAGACTGCACCACCACCTCCACTGCCCTGAACCTGCCCAGGGCTCCCCAGATTTCCTCATGGTCCAACAGCAGAAGGACTAAGGAGCCCCCAGAATCTGCCCTGGCACTGTTGCAGGTCTGTCCTGTGTCAGTATCCCTGTGCCTTAGTTGTAGAAGGTCAACCCTGAGTATCCCACTGAAGAGCACTTTCTGCTTGTCATTCAATATATACCCCCAAAATACTGGTGGAATGAACAGATGAATGAGTAAAAACTTTTTTTTTTTCATTTGATGGCTAGATATCAATGGGAAAAACCACTTTTTAGATCTAATGCTGGTTTCTCTGGTCACGGACCCTTCAAGAATATTTTATTTGTCATCCAAATGGCATTAGTATTTATTGAAGGCTAGATGAGGAATTTGCCTGCTATATTTCTGAAATCACCAAAAAGGATGATGTTCTTTCTTGCATTGCTCTCTCATGAAAAATCACTCCTAAAAAGGTAGCTCAACCTGCTGCTTTGACTTCCTTCAGTAACACGGAGAGCTCAAGGGAATCGTTAAAGAAAAATCGGACATAATAAAATGTGGTTATTTTAAAATTTGTGGTTTCCGTTGATTTCTAAAGTAGGGAAAATAGATTTGCTTTTATATTACATATTTTTTCTCACTAGAGGTATTTTCAAAAATTAAATGAGTTGGGCACATTGAGTTTATTAAAAGGATTTGCCATTAATTGAAAAAAAAGCCTTCTTAGATGCTTCACATACTGTATATTAACCAAAAGTTTGAACAGTCACTTCCATGTATGAAAATGTACCTTGCAGATGTAGTATAGCATGATCCCAGAATTTACCTGCTTCAGCTTGTCAAAGTGCAATAAAATAATGACACACCAATATCAAAATTTCAAAGTTCTAGAGGATCAAGTCTGTCATTACATATAAGAAGATGCATATGTGTGCACACAGGGGGTGTTTATACGTCTAAAAAAACTGATTTTGGAAATTATATTTGGGAATGTTTGTGGACCTGTGTTTTTCATTGAGGTAGAGTTTTTCTTTAAACAGACCATTAGGTACATGAAAGTTAAAAATAAATGCATGCATGGTTTTCTGATTGTTCTTTTACTTCACTGTGGCTGTTATTTATGACTCGCCTTCATTTCTTTAATATGAGCCAAGTTAAACACAAGTAGCCCTCAGATATAACTGTTGTACTTTCACCATTATTGATACTAATCAATAAGTGGGAGGAACACAGAAATTGTCTGCAGCTGATGTCTTCAGTTTACCTCTGATGTCATTAAATGTAGAGGTAACTGGTTTCTCTGTTGACCCTCTTATTCAACAGTGCAGGCCTGGTGGTGAGAGATTCTGTTAGTTTCATCTGAGTATCTTCTCCCTCCCTTTTCTCCCCCCATAGCTCTAGCACATAGTATAAATTTAAAGCAAAACAAAAAACCAATTTATTGCATAGGTCAGCTCTGTTCTTTACTGAAATTTTTTTTAAAAAACAAAGAGGCACGAAAGAAAGTTTAATATGTTATCTTTCTTCATAGCTTTGTGTTAGATTTTTATAAGGATGCTTGCAGTTTTGGAGTAATTTGAAGAGAAGTTGAAGAAGGTCTTGTTGGATAATTAGACATTTGATATGTACAAATTAGGTCAATGAAAAATGAGTGAATTGAATTGGCTTTTTCAGACCTGATAAGTTGTAAACACTAATTTCAAAACATATAGTTTATGTATATGATTTCATTCATTTATACCCTGATTGTGCATTTACTGTGTTCCAAGTACTATTTCAAACCCTTGGAATACACCAGTCAATAAGGCACAATTTCTGTACTCATAAGGTTTTCATTTCCTTAAAAAGAACACAACAAATAAATAAAATGAAAAAGAATCAGGTAGTAATGAGTGTTAGGAGTAAAACAAGACACTGATTTCATAAAGCATCTTTGTGTGGGGATGGAGAATACTTAGATTGGCTAGAGAAAGTCTTGCTAAATTGGCAACATTTGAGCTGATGTCTCAACAACAAGGAGACTGCCAGGTGAAGGTTGTGGCTAGCGATTCCAGGAAGAAGAGTCTTTAGGAGAAAAGGCGTGGAGACTCAGGTGGCAGCTAAGGTCAGTTAGTTAACAGCAGACATTAGATTGTGATTATATTGTTGCTCTGTCCTCATTATAATAGATAATATGTTTAAAATTGTTCCACCAAAACTCAAACCAGACAAGTGGTCCACTTGGAAGTTAACAAATATATACTTGAATCATTTAAGCACCCTAAAAATGTAACTAACATCAATTAAACAAATGATTGGATTGGAAGATACAGCAGTCAAGAGTTGCACAATGGACTAACTTTCTAATAATTGATGGGTATTACTCCCTTCTCTTCTGCACAAAACATACACATCCAAATTCTTAGTGTGTGTAATATCAGTGTTGAAAAATCCTTGACCCTTAAAATGTTTTGCTGTTTAAGTATCAAAGTCCATTACACTTTATTTTTGATCTCTGATCACTACTGAAGGATCTTCAAAGAGATGTTATGATTTAGCTATAACCTGTTCTAGGTGAAGTGGTATCTTTGATGTCCAGATAAAAGCACTTTTCAGTTCTAACAAAACAAAATAAAAAGGTGTGCAGAAGATGAAAGTCCTCAGGTAATATAAGAAGAGAAGGAAAATATTGAGATAAATATCTTTGAGGTCTCCAACCACTTTTTATATTCCTAGTGAATAATTTGGACTAAGCGGTTTAGCCATGACAAAACCCTGCATAGTGGGATCATATATTTGAGGGAAATGATATAGAGTATAAGTTCTACAAACGTAGGAATTATGCTTTTCTTTCCTGTAAAGGCTGGGATAGGACTTTACCCCCAGCATATGCTTCATAAATGCCAGTGATGGAAAGGACAAGGACTACTGTACTTCAGGGTCATTTTAATGAGATAACAGATCAGCATGGAGTTCTGGAATCTTACTCATATTCAAACAAGCAAGTACTACATTTCAGAACCTAACATCTAACAGACATCTGTATTAGTCAAGGTTCTCCAGAGAAACAAAACCAGTAAGAGATTTATATGTTTAATCCATATACTTTTTGAGCCAGATTTTCTCATTTATAAAGTGCCTTTTTCCATTTTATAAAGATAGTCTTGACAGATAGCATGTGCTTTCCCACACAAATCTGTCAGCTCGCTCATCTTTATCCACCACACCCACCTATGGTTCAAATCTGAAAACGTTCCAAAGTAGAGTATGCCAGTCAGCTAGAGGCAGTTGGAGAAAAACTCAGAAGTAAAAATTCATCTTAAACCTTCATTTATCTGAGATCTAAGCTTCACCACAGTAGGTAACTGCTGGATGGATAAAGGTCTTAGTCAGCTGGGGCCTTTGTGGCATCTCTCAGGCTCCAGGTTGGGTATACAAACAGGATATTACTCTTAAATGTGTACGTGTTACCCTTGAGGACCACTTTAGGCATTTAGACATCCAGTAATGTCTGAGAAAACCCTTATTTGTACATTGATACATGGGCTTATTTTAAAAAATCAGAGCTTGTTGGCCAGGCGTAGTGGCTCATGCCTGTAATCCTAGCACTTTGAGAGGCCGAGGCGGGCGGATCATGAGGTCAGGAGATCGAGACCATCCTGGCTAGTATGGTGAAACCCCGTTTCTATTAAAAATACAGAAAATTAGCCGGGCGCAGTGGCGGGCGCCTGTAGTCCCAGCTACTCGGGAGGCTGAGGCAGGAGAATGGCATGAACCCGGGAGGCAGAGCTTGCAGTGAGCCGAGATCGTGCCACTGCACTCCAGCCTGGGCAACAGAGCGAGACTCCATCTCAAAAAAAAAAAAAAAAGCAGAGCTTGTTAGAATCCAAATACTTTCTTAGAAACCCAAAGTATATATCTTGTGCTGAATGATAAATTCTACCTCTCCTGTAGAAGCCCAGTAATATCTTCAGTGAAAGGGGGTGACAAACATTTCACATGGAAAGAGGTGGATGTTCTTGGAAAACTCAAGGTGGATGTCATTTCTTAAAAGAAAAATATTTTCCTTTCTGAAGTACACATTATGGATCCTCAGCGACATTTATTTAAGGAGAGGCCTGCAATGAGTCTAAGCTCATAAATCTTGTTTACTGTTCTTCTCCTAATCCAGTGGATAAGAAAAATCAGACTCTTTACATATTATATTCTGTTCCTCCATTTTTTTTTAGTTGTGCTAGCCAGATTTTATTTTTAATTTTTGTGGGTACATAGTAGATATACATATTTATGGGTTACAGGAGATGTTTTGATACAGGCATGTAATGTGTAATAATCATATCAGGGTAAATGGGGTATTCATCACCTCAAGCATTTATTCTTTGTGTTAAAAACAATTTAATTATACTCCTTGAGTTATTTTAAAATGTACAATTATTTTTTACTGTAGTCACCCTGTTGCACTGTCAAATACTAGGTTTTATACTAACTATATTTTTGAACCCATTAACCATCTGCACTTTCTTCTCATCTCCCCACTACCTTTCCCAGCCTCTGGTAACCGCCCTTCTACTTATTTTAATTTTTAGTGCCCACAAATAAATGAGGACATGTGAAGTTTGTCTTTCTGTGCCTGGCTTATTTCATTTAACATAATGACCTCCAGTTCCATTTATGTTGTTGCAAATCACAAGAACTCATTATTTTATAGCTGAATAGTACTCTATGTGTATATGTATCACATTTTCTTTATCTGTTCATCTGGTGATGGCCACTTAGATTGATTCCAAATCTTGGCTATTGTGAATAATGCTGTAATCCACATGGAAAGGCAGATACCTCTTCAATATACTGAATTCCTTTCTCTTTGGTGTATACCTAGGAGTGGAATTGTTGGATAGTATGGTAGCTCTATTTTTAGTTTATTGAGGAACCTCCAGGCTGTTTATAGTGGTTGTACTAATTTACATTCCCACCCAGAGTGCGGGAGGGTTTCCTTTTCTCTATATCCTTGCCAATATTTGTTATTGCCTGTCTTTTGGATATAAGCCATTTTAATTGGGGTGAGATGATATCTCATTGTTGTTTTGATTTGCATTTTTCTGATGATCAATGATGTTGAGCACCATTTCATATACCTGTTTGCAGTCTTTATGTCTTCTTTTGAGACATGTTTATTCAGATCTTCTGTCTATTTTCAATTCAGATCATAAGATTCTTTTCCTATAGAGTCGTTTGAGCTCCTTATATATTCTGATTATTAACCACTTGTCAGATGGATAGTTTGCAAATGTTTTTTCCCATTCTGTGGGTTGTCTTTTCACTTTGTTGATTGTTTACTTGGCTGTTCAGAAGCTTTTCAGTTTGATGTAATCCAATTTGTCCATTTTTGGTTTGATTGCCTGAGCTTGTGGGGTATTACTCAAACGATCTTTGCTCAATCCAGTGTCCTGGAGAGTTTTCTCAATGTTTTCTTTTAGTAATTTCATAGTTTGAGGTCTTAGATTTAATTTTTAATTCATTTTGATTTGATTTTTATATATGGTGAGAGATAGGAGTACAGTTTCTTTCTTTTTTTTTTTTTTTTGCATATGGATATCCAGTTTGACCCCCACCATTTATTGAAGAGGCTGTCGTTTCCCCAGAATATCTTCTTGGCACTTTAGTCAAAAATGAATTCACTATAGATGTACGGATTAATCTCTGTGTTCTCTATTCTCTTTCACTGATCCATGTGTCTCTTTTTATGCCAGTACCATGTTACTGTAGTTCTGTAACATAAAGTCAGGTAATACGATTCTTCCAGTTTTGTTCTTTTTGTTTAGGATAACTTTGGCTATTCTGGGTCTTTTCTGGTTCTATTTAAATTTTAGGATTTTTTTTTTCTATTTCTATGAAGAATGTCGTTGATATTTTGATAAGGATTACATTAAATGTATAGATTGCTTTGGTTGGTATGGACATTTTAACAATATTAATTCTTCTAATCCATGAACATGGGATATCTTTCTCTTTTTTGTGTCTTCTTTTCTTTCTTGCATTCTGTGTTTTATAGTTTTCATTGTAGAGATCTTTCACTTCTTTAAGTTAATTCCTAGGTATTTTATTTTATTTGTGGTTATTGTAAATGGAATTACTTTCAAGATTTGTTCTTCAGATGATTGCTTTTGGCATACAGAAATGCTACTGGTTTTTGTATGTTGATTTTGTGTCCTGCAACTTTTTTTTTTTTTTTTTTTTTTTTTTGTGATGGAGTCTCGCTCTGTCACCCAGGCTGGAGTGCAGTGGCATGATCTCTGCTCACTGCAAGCTCCGCCTCCTGGGTTCACGCCATTCTCCTGCCTCAGCCTCCTGAGTGGCTGGGACTACAGGCACCCGCCACCGCACCAGGCTAATTTTTTGTATTTTTAGTAGAGACGGGGTTTCACTGCGTTAGCCAGGATGGTCTCGATCTCCTGACTTCGTGATCCGCCCACCTTGGCCTGACAAAGTGCTAGGATTACAGGCATGAGCCACCGCGCCTGGCCATGTCCTGCAACTTTACCTAATTTGTTTATCAGTTCTAATAGTTTTGGGGGGAAGTCTTTAGGTTTTTCCAAATTTAAGATCATATCATCTGCAAACAGGGATAATTTGACTTCTTCCTTTCCAATTTGGATGCCCTTGTTTCTTTCTCTGGTCTGACTGCTCCAGCTAGGACTTCTAGTACTGTGTTGAATAACAGTCATGAAAATGAGCATCCTTGTCATGTTCCTAATCTTAGAGAAGAAGCTTTCAGTTTTTCCCCATTCAGTATTATACTATTTATAGATCTGATGTATATGGCTTTTATTATGTTGAGGTATGTTTCTTCTATATCCAGGTTTTTGAGAGTTTTTGTGATGAAGGGATGTTGAATTTTATCAAATGTTTTTTCAACATCAATTGAAATGATTATCTGGTTTTTGTTCTTCATTCTGTTGGTATGATGCATCCCATTGTTTGATTTGCATATGTGGTACCATCCTTGCATTCATGGGATAAATCCCACTTGGTCATGATGAATGATCATCATAATGTACTGTTGAATTCAGTTTGCTGGTATTTTGTTGAGAATTTTTGGATCAATATTCATAAGTGATATTGGCCTATAGTTTTCTTTTTTTTAATGTGTCTTTGTCTGATTTTGGTATCAGGGTAATACTGGCCTTGCATAATGACTTTGGAAGTATTCCCTCTTCCTTTATTTTTCTGAATCATTTGAGTAGGATTGATATTAGTTCTTCTTTAAATGTTTGATGAAATTCAGCAGTGAAGCTACTGAGTCCTGGACTTTTCGTAGCTGGGAGACTTTTTTTTTTTTTTTTTGAGATGGAGTCTTGCTCTGTCGCCCAGGCTGGAGTGCAGTGGCGCAATCTCCGCTAACTACAAGCTCTGCCTCCCAGGTTCACGCCATTCTCCTGCCTCAGCCTCCTGAGTAGCTGGGACTACAGGCACCCGCCACCATGCCCGGCTAATTTTTTTGTATTTTTTTTTAGTAGAGACGAGGTTTCACCATACTAGCCAGGATGGTCTCGATCTCCTGACCTCGTGATCTGCCCACCTCGGCCTCCCAAAGTGCTGGGATTACAGACGTGAGCCACCGCGCCCGGCTGCTGGGAGACTCTTTCTATTATGGCTTTCATCTCCTTACTTGTTATTGGTCTATTCAGATTTTGGATTTCTTCATGGTTCAATCTTAATAGGTTTTACGCATGTAGGAATTTATCTGTTTCTTCTGGATTTTCCAATTTATTGCAGATAGTTGCTTATAGTAGCCACTAATGATTCTTGAATTTCTGCAGTATTAGTTACAATGTTTCCCTTTTCATTGTTGATTTTATTTATTTGAGTCTTTGTTTTTTTCCTCAGCCTGGCTAAAAGTTTGTCCATTTTCTTTATCTTTTCAAAAAACCAACTTTGTGCTTTTTGATCTTTTGTTTTGTTTTCTTCGTTTCAAACTTATTTTTGCTCTGAAATTTATTATTTCTTTTCTTCTACTAATTTTGGGTTTGGTTTGCTCTTGCTTTTCTAACTTTTAAAGATGCATTGTTAGCTTGCCTATTTAAAGTTTTTATTATTTTTTGATGTAGGCACGTATAACTATAAACTTTCTTCTACTTTTGCTGTATCCCATAGGTTTTGGTAGGTTGTGTTTCTATTATCATTTGTTTCAATAAATTTTTCCATTTTCTTTCTAATGTCTTCATTGACTCACTGATTATTCAGGAGTATATTTTTAAATTTCTGTATGTCTGTATAGTTCCTCAAATCCCTCTGGTTATTGATTTCTAGTTTAATTCCATTGTGTTCGGGGAAGATGCTTGATGTTATTTCAGTTTTCTTGAATGTTTTAAGACTTGTTTTGTGACCTAACATATGGTCTGTCTTTGAGAATGATCCATGTGCTGTGGAAAAGAATGTGTATTCTTCAGCTGTTGGATAAAATGTACTCTAAATATCTGGTAGGTCCATGTGTTCTGTAGTGCAGATTAAGTTTAATGTGTCTTTGTTGATTTTCTGTCTGGAAGATCTGTCCAATGCCAAAAGTGGTATGTTGAAATCTCCAGCTATTATTTTATTGGAGTCTATTTCTCTCTTTAGTTCTAATAGTATTTGCTTTATATGTCAGGATGCTGCAGTGTTAGGTACATGTATATTTGCAATTGTTAAATATTGTGCTGAATTGACCCCTTTATCATTATCTAGTGATTTTCTTTGTCTCTCCTTATGATTTTTGTCTTGAAATCTACTTTGGCTGATATAGGATAGGTATAGCCACTTTTGCTCTTTTTTGTTTCCATTGGTATGGAATATCTTTCTCCACCCCTTTACTTTCAGTCTGTGTATAGGTGAAGTGTGTTTCTTGTAGGCAACGGATCATTAGATCTTGTTCTTTAAAATCCATTCAGCCACTCTATGTCTTTTAATTGGAGAGTTTTGTCCATTTATGTTCAATGTTATTATTAATAAGTAAGGACTTACTCCCGTCATTTTGTCACTTGTTTTCTGTTTGTTTTATGGTCTCTTTCTTCTTTTCTTTCTGTATTACTTTCAGTGAAGGTGATTTTTTTCTGGTCATTTGATTTAATTTTATGCTTTTCATTTTTGTGTATCCGTTGTATGTTTTTTTTGATTTGAGGTTACCATAAGCCTTGCAAATACTGTCTTATAACCCTTTAAGCTGATAAGAACTTAATACTGCTTGCATAAACAAACAAACAAAAAGAAAACTAATAAAAACTCTACACCTTAACCTCTTTATTTTTAAATTTTATTTTGTTATTTTCATTTTAAGTTCTGGGGCACATGTGCAGGATGTACAGGTTTGTTACATAGGTAAATTGTGCAGGATGTGCAGGTTTGTTACACAGGTAAATGTGTGCCATGGAGGTTTGGTGCATCTATCATTGCATCACCTAGTTATTAAGCCCAACATGCATTAACTATTTTTCCTAATGCTCTCCCTCCCTCCACCTCACCCCTTGACAGGCCCCCATATGTATTGTTCCCCTTTCTTCTCCCTGTGTCCGTGTGTCCTCATTGTTCAGCTCCCATTTATAGGTGAGAACATGTGGTGTTTGGTTTTCTACTCCTGCGTTAGTTTGCTAAGGATAATGGATTCCAGCTCCATGCATGTCCCTGCAAAAAACATGATCTCATTCCTTTTTATGGCTGCATAGTATTGCATAGTGTATAGGTACCATATTTTCTTTATCCAGTCTATCACTGATGGGCATTTGGCTTTATTCCATGTCTTTTCTATTGTGAATAGTGCTGCAGTAAACATATGTGTACATGTATCTTTATAATAGAATTATTTATATTCATTTGGGTATATACTCAGTAATGGGATTGCTGGGTCAAATGGTTTTTCTGGTTCTAGATCTTTGAGGAATTGCTACACTGTCTTCTACAATGGTTGAACTAATTTACATTCCCACCAACAGTGTGAAAGCGTTCCTATTTCTCTGCAACCTTGCCAACATGTTGTTTCTTGACTTTCTAATAATCACCATTCTGACTGGCATGAAATGGTATCTCATTGTGGTTTTGATTTGCATTTCTTTAATGATCAGTGATGTTGAGCTTTTTTTTTTTTTTTTTTTTTTTTTGAGACGGAGTCTCGCTCTGTTGCCCAGGCTGCAGTGCAGTGGCGCAATCTTGGCTCACTGCAAGCTCTGCCTCCCGGGTTCATGCCATTCTCCGGCCTCAGCCTCCTGAGTAGCTGGGACTACAGGCGCCTGCCACCACACCCAGCTAATTTTTTTCTGTTTTTAGTAGAGACGGGGTTTCACCGTGTTAGCGAGGATGGTCTTGATCTCCTGACCTCGTGATCCACCCGCCTTGGCCTCCCAAAGAGCTTTTTTTTCATATGTTTGTTGGCTGTGTGAATGTCTTCTTTTGAAAAATGTCTGTTCATGTCCGTTGCCCACCTTTTAATGGGGTTGTTTGTTTTTTCTTCTAAATTTGATTAAGTTTCTTATAGAATCTGAATATTAGACATTTGTCAGACGGACAGATTGCAAAAATTTTCTCCATACTTTATCTAGAAAACTCCATTGTCTAAGCCCAAAAGATTCTTAAGTTGGTAAGCAACTTCAGCAGTCTCAGAATACAAAATCAATGTTCAGAAATCACAGGCATTTGTATACACCCGCAACAGGCAAGCAGACAGCCAAGTCATAAATGAATTCCCATTCACAGTTGTCACAATGAGAATAAAATACCTAGGAATACAGCTAACAAGGGAAGTGAAGGACCTCTTCAAGGAGAACTACAAACCACCACTCAAGAAAACCAGAGAGGACACAAAAAAATGGAAAAACATTCCATGCTCATGGATAGGAAGAATCAATATCGTGAAAATGGCCATACTGCCCAAAGTAATTTATAGATTTTATGCTATTCCCATTAAACTACCATTGGAATTCTTCACAGAATTAAAAAAAAAAAAACTTTAAAAATTTATATGAAACCAAAAAAGAGCTTGAATAGCCAAGACAATCCTAAGCAAAAAGAACAAAACTGGAGGCATCATGCTACCTAACTTCAAACTATACCACAAGACTGCAGTAACCAGAACAGCATGGTACTGCTTCCTCCAACTCTTAACCTTTTGTTGTTTCCATTTATATCTTAATGTATTGTCTATCTCTTGAAAAGTTGTCAGTTACTATTTTTGATTGGTTCATCATCTTTCTACTTCAGATAACTAGTTTACACACTACAGTTATAGTGTTATAATCTGTGTTTTTCGGTGCACTTACTATTACCAATGAGTTTTATAGCTTCAGATGATTTCTTATTGCTTTTTTATTGTCTTTTTCTTTCTGATTGAAGTACTCCCTTTAGCATTTTTTTGTAGGATAGGTCTGGTGTGATGAAATCTCTCAGCTTTTATTTGTCTGGGAAAGTGTTTATTTCTCCTTCGTGTTCGAAGGACATTTTTCTAGAGTAAAAGTTTTTTACTCTAGACATATTCTTCTGGAGTAAAAGTTTTTTTTTTTCCTTTAGCACTTTAAGTATGTCATGCCACTATCTTCTGGTCTGTGAGGTTTGCACTGAAAAGTCTGATGACAGATGTATTACAGCTCCATTTTATGTTATTTGTTTCTTTTCTCTTGCTACTTTTAGAATCTTTACCCATGATCTTTGGGAGTTTGATTATTAAATACATTGAGGTAGTATTCTTAAGGTTAAATCTGCTTGGTATTCTATAACCTTCTTGTACTCAGATATTATCTTTCTCTAGCTTTGGGGAGTTCTGTGTTATTATCTCTTTGAATAAACTTTCTACCTCTATCTCTTTCTCGACCTCATCTTTAAGGCCAATAACTCTTAGATTTGCCTTTTTGATGCTATTTTCTAGAATCTGTAGGCATGCTTTATTGTCTTTTATTCTTTTTTCTTTTGTCTCCTCTGACTATTTTCAAATAGCCTATCAGCAAACTCATTTATTCTTTCTTCTGCTTGATCAATTCTGCTATTAAAAGACTCTGATGCATTCTTCAGTATGCCAATTGCATTTTTCAACTCCAGAAATTCTGCTTGATTCTTTTAAATTATTTTAATCTCTTTGTTCAGTTTATCTGATAGAATTCTGAATTCCTTCTTTGTATTATCTTGAAATTCTTTGAGTTTCCTCAAGACAGCTATTTTTGATTCTCTGTCTGAAAGGTCATATCTCTCTGTTTCTCCAGGATTGGTCCCTGGTGCTGTATTTAGTTGATTTGGTGAGATTATGTTTTCCTGAATGATCTTGATGCCTGTGGATGTTTGCTTGTGTCTGGGCATTGAACAGTTAAGTATTTACTATAGTCTTCACAGTCTAGGCTTGTTTATACTCATGCTTCTTGGGAGGACTTTTCAGTTATTTGAAAGGACTTGGGTGTTGTTACCTAAGCCATATTTACATATGGCACCCCAATCCAAGTCCAGTAATTCTGTGGTTCCTGAAGACTTGTAGAAGTACCTCCTTGATGGTCTTGGATAAGATCCAGAAGTATTCTCGGGATTACCAAGCAAAGACTCTTGTTCTCCTTCCTTACTTTCTCCAAACAGTTTCTCTGTTCTGGGCCATCTGGAGCTGGGAGTGGAGTGACACAAGCACCACTGTGTCTGTGCTGGGTCAGTCCTGTAGCCAGCACAGCACTTGATCTTGCCTAAAGCCCACTGTAATTACTACCTGGCTGCCACCTATGTTCGTGCAAGGCCCTGGGGCTCTACAATCATCAGCTGGCAAAGCCAGCTAGGCTTGTGTTCTGGCAAGTACCCCCAGGCCCTGGGCAGGTCCAGAGGTGCCATCCAGGAGCCAGGGACTACAGTCAAAAACCTTAGATGTCTACATGGTTTTCTATTGTACTGTGGCTGAGCTCACACCTCATACTCAAACAACAACACGCAGTCCCTTCTGCTCTTCCCTCCCCTTTCCACAGGCAGAGGAGCCTCACCCGGTGGCCACCAATACCACAGGCCCACATGGAGTATTGCCAGGTTACTGCCATGCTCTCTTAAGGCCTGAGGGCTCTTAAGTCAGCTTGTAGCTAATGCTGCCTGGCCTGCTACTCACCCTTCAGGGCAGTGGTCTTCCCTCTGTCCCAAGGGCAGGTCGAAGGATGCCATCCAAGAGCCAAGGCCTGTAATTGGTGACCCCAATAGCCTGCTTGGTGCTCTGTTTCTATGTGGCTGAACGAATACCTAATGTGCAAGACAAAGTTCCCTATAGACAAAGTGCTCTTTACTTTTCTTTCTGCATTTCTCAAGCAGAGATTCTCCTCATAACACCATAGCTGAGAATGTGCTTAGTCTCACCTGAAGACAGCTAATAACAGAGTCTTACTCAAGGCCCATGGTGTACTTTCTGGTTATCATTATTGGTTATTCAGGACCCAAGGGCTCTTTATTTAGCAGTTGATGATCTTGCCAGGACTGGCTCCTTCCCTTCAAGCCTGTAGGTTCTCTTCTGGCCCAGAATATGTCTAGAAATGTCATCCACAAGTAGAACCTGGAAAGTGGGCCTCACAACTCTCACTGGTACCCTATCCTGCTGTGGCTGAGCTGGTATACAGGTGAAAGACAAAGTCCTTTTTTCTCTTCCCTCTTCTCTACTCAAGAAGAAGGAGGAAGTCTCTTTCGGAGTCATGACCTGTGCAGCCTGGGGTTGCTGGAGAGGTGGAACAAGCACTCCCTTAGCTACCCTGGCTCGTGTCTCAGGAGGTCCTGTGCCCTTTAAGTCTACTGACTCAGAGCCTGATTCAGCACTAGGACTCAATTAGGAGTTGTAGTTCTTGTGGCCTACAATGCCTTTCAAGTTTATTTAGAGTCCCAGAGTACTTTAGCCTGCGATGATAAGGCTTGCAGGAACTCAAATTCCAACCACTGGGAGGACAATTCCTTTCTGGCTAGGGCTGGTTTAAATACTCCCTGTGTGGGTGGGCATCAGCTGAGCTTAGTCTGGTTTTGCTTTCTACTGTGACCAGGCAGCACTGAGTTCAATATACGTTGTCTCACAATTTCTGTGTGCTCCCACTTCCAAGTGCACAGATTCTCTCTCCACACCATGCAGCCACTGCTTGGGGATGGGGGAGGGGTGGTGTCAGCAATTCAAGACTGCTTTTCCTACCTCTCCAGTGCCTCTTTTAGTAACATGAAGTTAAAACATGGTACTATAAGTGCTCACCTGCTTTTTGGTTCTTATGATGGTGGTTTTTGTTTGGAGATAGTTGTTATCTTGGTGTTCTTCCTGGGCGGGTGGACGATTGGTGGAGCCTTCTATTTGTCTTGCTTCATCCCCTCCTACCCTAATTTTTTAGTTATAGAGGCTGCTTTAATGTTTTTTTCAAAGTATTTGCATAATTAATGCATGTGCATGGTACTCAGTTCAAAAGGTACTAAATGACACAGTAAAAATTCCATTTCTTATGCTGTATTCCATTTCCTAGTTCTCTCTCTGGAGGGAGCTGGGGTTACCAGCTGCTAGGCATATAAAATACTGTATTATTTCAACCATTAGATTTACATAATAGTCAATGTAAATTACTAAAAGTCGGAATATGCTTTATACTTTTAAAAGTATATAACTATATAAGCAGTTGATATTGAGAACAATAAGTGAATATCATAAAAGAAATCTTCTGCTTTAGAATTCCTTTCATTTTCCTTGTGTTACATTTCCATAATATATTTGTTGCATCTTCCATGTTCTCTGTCAAGTAATTAATTTCATTGACTCTAAGATGAACTTTTTATTTCACATTTTTAACATTTCAAAAATTAAAATACTTCTTAAAATTTTTGCTATCTTACAATTAATTGGCAATGTTTTTATGTCTTAATGGTGTAATAAGTAATGGTGTGACATGAAATAATTGCATATCTTAGATTAGGTAAAATCTGATATTTTGTCCTCAGATTATTTCTTAAAATAAATGATTATTAGAAGTATAGTGAATTAAATAAATGAGGAAGAAGTTGCTAGATCTCTACCTAGACTTCAAATGGAAGTTAAAAACATTTTAAAGTTTGTTCCCAATAATTTATTGCTTTTAGATTTGAGGCTACAGTGTGATAGAAATAGCTAACGTTTAAAAAATATAATATTCTGGCTTTCAAATGTCACTGCATGATGTAGATGAAGAAATACCATGGAAAGTTTTAAGCACAGTATTTAATAAAGTGATTAAATCCATGTACTTCTAAAATACTAGTGCTTGGGCATTTGTTCTAGATACAGTTCTGCTGAAGTTAACTTGAGAGCTGTCCTCTGGCATCACTCAAAAGGATTTAGTTATTGGGAAAGTATCCAGGAGCATTTCCATTGTAGCTACTTTGTTATACAAGGTACAGAAGTGGTATCCTCTTCTGTATTATCGTCTAGACATGAACTTCTTTTCTGTAAGGCATTACACATGGGAGTCCAGTGGATAGTTATATAGCGTGTGTGCACTTCTTTTAAAATATTTGTTGTATTCTTTCTATATTTGTGGCACTGCATTATATGCTGGAGTACAGGAAATACCAAGATAAGTTAGATGTGTATGTTTGCTCAGATTTTGGGTCTATTAACATACATCAACAAGGTATGAATAGAAAAACCAGCTAGAGAGTAATCAGTGCTATAAAAGGTACACAGATAAAGGGAGAGACATTACATCCATCAGAGAAAAATAAGGAAAGCTTCATGAAGAAAATATTCCTACAAAACTGATGAAAAATTAACTGCAGAGGCAACTAATTAGTTATTTGGTCTCAATATTTGGAAAAAAATATATTTCACTGACTTGTCATGTTCAATTCAGTTGAAACAGACCCTTCTCCAAGATAATAATTGTATTTTTTGCATATATGGTTTTCAGTGAAAAGTTCTGTCTATACCAAACATCTTTTTGGTTAATCTGACCTTGATATTTGATGAGCATCATGCAAATTTAAAATGGGTGAAATTCCTTTTGGGTTTGAGAATGTGAGCTATGTAAGCAACACTTGAGGTCAACCATAGGCTAATCTGGAAATAGATTTTTGGCTTAAAAATTAGGGTCTAAACTTGGTCATTCTGTATACCAGAAGCTGTGATAAAAGCTTTGTGAGACTCTGTACTTATTCATTTAAAGTCTTTGTTCTTCAGTATACCACCAAAGGGAACACACTATCATGATGTAATTTCCCCCAATTTAGTCCTGAATCAACAACTAGCTCATTTATGCTTCTACTTGTTTTCTTTGGAGAAAGCACTATCATCACTAGTTATGATAAACTACAAACAGATGCAAAATAGACAATGAACATTTCCAATAGAATTTAACTCATCATTTAAAGATTTATTAGTCATGGGAGATTTATAACTTTTGCATTATTGAATCAAAAAGGAGGCACAACTTTATTGTTAGTCAGAACCTTAGACATCTAAACATGTTTTAGGATCTTGTGTATTGCAGATTGTGTAGTGTCTCCAAATGAATCCTTCACATTATTAGTACCAGGAATTGACGCTTTCTTTTTCCCCATTACAAAATAAGTCCTCTCACATGGAGCCTACTACTGGGAAAGAGGGTT
Source organism: Homo sapiens (assembly GCF_000001405.40). Lineage (NCBI taxonomy): Eukaryota > Metazoa > Chordata > Mammalia > Primates > Hominidae > Homo > Homo sapiens. The sequence continues at coordinate 95,110,951 of NC_000005.10, read as the reverse complement.
GTTTTGCTGACATGATAACGAGTCCCAGGGAATTATCCTTGAATTTAATAGACTTACAGAGATGTAATTCACATTAGAAATTTGAAGTCAGGTACAATTGGAGTAAGCTTTATCATCCCCAATATTGGTAGACTCAAAAGTCCTTTAACATGCTTAGATTGGCCGTAAGAACTTCTGAATTTTAGCTGCACTTGGTGTAGCCTAGCCAGTGACTGGGATCCTGGGAACATGATAGAGGAAAAATGTAATAGTAAAATTGGTATACTCGATGCCACATTTATTAGCAGCTACTATCATCTGGATGGTACTACTTTGTCCATGGATATATCTAGCAAAAATCAATGTGTTAGTTAGGTTTTTGCAATGCGTATAAAAAATAAACCCCACAATTTCAGGAGCTTAACATAATAAAGGTTTATTTTAACTCACATAACATCCAATTTAGATATTTTTGAGCTTTCTGGGAACCCAAGTTCCTTCCATATTGGAACTGTGCTGCTTACTAGATATCTTGGAGTCTTCAGTGTTCAGGCAGAAAGAGAGAGACAGAATAGAGAAGACAGTCTCCTCCTATCCACCTTTGCTGGTAAGTGACACACATCTCTAATACTTACACTCCACTGATGAGAACCAGTCACATGGCCCCACCTAGATGCAAGAGGAAGTGTCGCTGGCTGGGTGGCTGCTTTCTAGCAATAGACAAAAAAAAGAGTGGGTAAGTAGGTTGGATTCACATTATCTATATTATGGCAGAGAGTCCATAAATCTTGTTAGAGAGTAAGCTGTTTCTGCACAAAGTTGATCACACTAGATCAGAGAATGTGCTGTGAAAAATCTCATTGTAATTTGTTTTGCAAGGCTGTGTTGTTTTGGGGAAAATATTTTATGCCCACCAACTGGGTATTTATAAATTTCTTGAGATAACTATGGGATATTGGTAATAAACACTCACCAGTCTACCACACACTAATTAGTTATTTACTTGTTATAGGCATAGTCTAGGAATTGTTCTGTTGGGTATTCCATGAGTCCAGCAAACTTATTCTTTAAAAAAAAGTTTTGCATATCCCTTCTAAAAGGAAATGGGAATTTATGCAAAAGCACTTATGACTTGTTTTGCTTGTTTGCAAACATTTGAGCTGATGAAGTATTGATATAAAGAAATTGCCTCCTGACAAAGATATAACCTACAGCAGAATGTAATAACTAAGAACTGCTGGACTCAGAGACATAAGGTAGGTGTCTAAAAAATAGCTCCCTCATGAAAGTCAATAGATTTGTCTTCTATATTATTTTCTGCGTCTGTGTAACACCAAGCAAGTCCTCATCATTCTTCATTATAAAATTAGACTTGAACTTGATGATCCAGCTCTGTCTCTTTCTGGTACGAAATTTTTTTTTTCAATTTATGGTTAGAAAACTCTGTAATTTAAAGGGACAGAAGTCATATTCTAAAGAGTTCAATATATAAGGAGTAGCCTGAAGGATGAAGAGAAAATTGCCAGCATATCAAGCGTTTCCTTGGTGAGCAACAAGTTTTCATCTTCTGAATTTAGATTCAGAGAAAGGATATTGAAAATCTAAGTAAATCTGAGAATAGAACTTTTAGAATTGTATTGTGTGTCTCAGCATTTATATTCACTAGTTTATACCATTCTTATTTTTACATTGATGCTCTACCTTGCTTTTGCTTAAATGGTGCATCCTCCTGCAATGGGAAATATAGGAGGTTTTTCTGGTGTAAGGGGAAAATCTAAATGGTCAAGTCTGTGTTGAATGTGAAATGCCTCAACTCTGGAAGGTCAATGGGAGCAACCAAATCTGAAGGAAAAATGTCATTGACCTCAGCCTAACTGCATGATTAGTCTAGACTCTTGGTAAACTTGTAAATGCAGGAATATGCCTTTATCAGGTAACCTTCATGTGCCAGGCATCTATCAGTCTTACAATGAAAATAATTTTACTTCTATTTAATACTACTTTTGTGATTTCTTTGAATGGCATAGTAAGCATTATTTTAATTAAAAAATATAACATCTGGTATATAGTAGATACTGAACAATAAGTAGCTACCTATTGTTACTACCTATTAATATTTTCCCCAGACCTTCATCCTTTTAAGGCTGTGTGGATTCTTTTGGATTTCTTTCAACCCATTCTAAGACCTCTTTACAAATGTTTATCAGCATCCACTAGGTATGAGGTAACTTATTATGGGTATTGATGGATATTACGACACATAAGTGACAGTATCGATGTTGCAAAACGCAAAGGTGTCTAGCTAAGGGTGACTTACCAATTGTTAGCAAGGCCAGCTTTCCTTTATAATAGATGGAATAAATGTTATGAAGTTGATTTGACTTGAAGGGTGCAGGGGTGCCTTATTGGTCTAAAGACTTTGAGAGCTGCCTAGGTCTGATACTCCATTGCAATTTCCATCCCCTCGGCTTTGTAGTTACCACTTTTAAAATATATTAGTGGCTTGTGTTTGAGCCTGCAACACATTAAGCTGGTTATTAATCACTAACATCTTGCTGTTCATTACTTTGTGAGGTTGCTCTGTGACAGTGAATAAGATGTGTCAAGGTCTAGGACCCAGCAGGAAGGAGCTGCCCTGACACAGCAAATGTTCTTGGTTTCCATCTGGTCCTCCTCATGGGCTAGCCACTCTTGTAACGCACCTGGAATGAAGAGCACTTGAAGGGAGATTGACAAAATCCCTTTCCTTTAGGGCAGCTAAGGTAAGGCTTGGTCTTTTAGAGAAACTGTTACTAGGAGAATGGGGAAACAGGCAAATAAACTCCAGTGTATGGAGATAAAGGAGAATGCCGAGCACAGATTTTTAATCTTTCTTAACTGTAATCCATACTAAAATTGGCTTGACTGCTTCCTGCACCTTGATGTAACCACATTATTGGAAACTAAACCCCAAGTTCACTTTTGATACAGCCATGTCATAGTGCTTCAGAATGGTGAGACTGCTGGGCTTAATACCTAGGTGATGGGTTGATAGGTGCAGCAAACCACCATGGCAGACGTTTACCTATGTAACAAACCTGCACATCCTGGACATGTATCCTGGAACTTAAAATAAAAACATAGAAGGAAATCCAAACTTGAAAAACAATTGAAGTTTTCATAGCTTTATCCCAACTAAAGGAAATAGCTTTTCCCCTATACACCAGCATATCATTCCTCTCTGCTTCAGAAGTATGAATGGCCAATACTTGGACAAAAAGAAAGGAATACTTTTAGAATTCGTAGAACTTTATAGATTAATATTTGTGGACACATGGCACCTGAGGAATGGTATTTAAAAACTGAGAGACTCAGAAAAGTGGAGGCTGAGGCAGAACTTTATTTACTTTTTAGCTTTACTTAGGCTTGCTGTACCTCTTAACCTTGGCATTCCTGTCAGATTTATTTCCATAAAAGTTATATGCTAATTCTTATTTTATCTTTGTAGTATGATCTGCTTTAAAAAACTTTTATAATAAAATGTTACTTTATTTATAAATGGTGAATAATACTAATATGACATCTTTGGGAAATGTCTCTTTTTTGACTCATCTAGTTTTATGAAGGGTGTTGCCATGCAACTTTTCATTTATTAAAAGCAAATGCCCTGAAGCATTTCAGTACTATGTCCCCCAGAGTACCCGATTCATTATGTGAACTAAGTACATCTATTTCCATTTGGAAAGGTAATCTGTTTCCTCATATATTTTCGGATTGAAAATGAGTAGTGATTAATGACATCAAAATAAATTATTTAAAATACAAAACTATTTAAATGAACTCCTAAATTATTATGTACCCAAGTTTCATGCTGTCTCTGGATTCATTTGTTTATCTCTATCATAATTAACACTCAACTAAATTTAGTATGAGTTTATTTTTCTACATTGTTATTTTCAGTACAGTAGGCTTTGAATAAAGTATTTATTATTGTGCTCTAGAATACTAATTTTAGATAAGATTCTGATTCTCATTGAATAGCTTCTCAAAGATAATTTTATTCTTCACTTATTAGCTTGTAAAAATATACTGCCAGTTTTATGTTCTCTAAGCATGTTTACCAATTGGGTATTACTCCATTTCCTTGCCCTTTAAAATGACTGTTCTGGATCAGTTAGATGGAGTCAACGCAGACATCTGTGAACCATGCTTTCAAAACAGCATGTGGCCTGCTAACCTTTAGAGATCCCCTAAATTGCAGGTTTACTCCCAGGAGGTCAGCAACTATGCTTTATTCATACATGCAGCCCCAGAACCTAGTGCAGTGCCTGGCCCTCAGTAGGTCTTCAATTCATGTTTGTTGAATTGAAGCGAATGGAAATACAGGCAAATTAGTCAGGATTATTTGGTTTTCAGGTGATAGAATGACCAGTACAAACCAGCCTGAACAAAACAGGAATTTGTTGACTCAAGTATCTGAGATATTCCAGAGATAAACATGGCTTCAGACTCAACAGGATCCAAGGGTCTCCCCAGTGTCATCAGAACATTGTACTTCTCCCTTTCTCTTTCTGCTCTGGGGTCTGCTCTCCTCTGAGTAGTGGGCTCCCTGCATGTGCCAGCAAAGACGACCACCAGCAGCTCCAGACTTCTGTTGCCCTGTCAGCTAGCCTTTTCTGGAACAGAAGGGTCTCTGCAAATAGCTTCAGCACAAGTCTTGGTCTGAACCGTTTAGTATCAGTGGCCTGAGGTGACCTTGTCATGCCTGAAACCATCACTTTGTGCAAGACAAAAGTGTATTCTGCGATGGCCCATCTGTGATCAGCTCTATCCAAATCACATGCTTAAGAATGTGGTGTGATGGTTCCCCAGAAAGATACCAGCAGATGATCACCATGTCAGGGAAATGTTACAAAATAAGGAATGGCAGCTGCTGGCATCAGAGCACAGACACAGAACATACCATAAGTTTGAAACAAGATTAACCTCCTTTCCTTGGGATCTTTGGTCCTGGTAGACTTGATGTTTTTAGGAACTCAGTAATAGGTAAAGTCTCCACTTGGAGTTTCTGAGCCTCGAAACCTATAACACATGGTGAGAAAAAGATGTATTCTCAATCCTTGGAGTAGGGAATATTAAAAGGCTTAATCATCATATTTTTCCTGGATGGTGTGCCCATTTGGGACTGAATTCCTTTTCTTTTAAAGACAAGTCTTGCTGGAATGGATACCTCCTAGCACAGGTTTTGTTTAGTGTAACATTTCCTCCTGCTACTCCTAATGAAGCTCTAATAAGGGACAATTCCTGGACTTCCCCTCAGCAGTATTCCTAGGGCTCCAACCTTCTCTGCATGTTCCATTCCTCTCAAGAGGAGTCTCCTGGAATATAGAGATGGTACAGAGATGTGATATCCTCTTCCCTGCATCCAAGCCCAAGTCCCTAGGGGACTTGGCAAAAGTTCCTAGGACCCTTTTAAAATGTACTCCTATGGGTTACAAGTGCCCATGTGTAAACTGATTCTTGGGAATAGTTTTCTAGTACTGGAATTTCCCCAGGAGAAGATAGATAAATGAGTCCCTAATAATGACCCCAATTCCATGAAAAATTTAGTTTCTAAGTTAACACTATTCTGGAGTCTCCTTACAAGATACTGTTAGGTTCATGAGGTCAGGCCAAGTAGAAGCTGAAACTTGCTCTAGAGTCATGTCAAACACCTTGAAACCTGAACAGTGCACTTCCCTTTATTCCCCTTCATTTGCAAATATAAGATGTACTTGCAAATATAAGTTTTCTGGAGCTAGACTGGCTGGGTTCAATCCCAGCTCTACAGTTTACTAACTGGCTCAGAGCTGCTAAAGTAGCTTTCCTTCATTGGCACTATCCTGAGTATGAGAATTACACAAAATATATACAGCATGCTATGGATTGTTATAGGCCTACTTTTAGGAAACTTGTTCAGCACCACTTGGAGTAGCATTAAATGGGGCACACAAATATGTAGAAATAAATAATTTTTTACAGAACAGATAATGATAAAGGAAGAACTTAGGGAATTTCAGTCATCCAAAGAAACATTATTTTATATCAATGTCACCTATAGTCCCAGCCATTTAAATGTGCAGTTGAGGAGAAAGGCTTTAGAAAAGTAAGGAAGGGTCACTCAGTGTTGAAGATGATGGCTTTGTAGTTCCCAATGGAGTCAGAAATTTGATAAGTGCTGAAAACTGTCTTTTGTTATGAGAAATTTCATAATACTATTTAGTATATATTAATATATGTTCTTGCAGTAGACTTTGGTATTGCAGCTAAATTTAAAACAGTAAACATAATAAAAATGCACATTGTATTGTAGAAGAACACAAATATAAAGCTTTAAAATATGGATCCATAGGCAAGGGTCCCTGGCAAGAAGGGTCCTATGTGCCACCATCTATCGTCATTGCTTATGCCTATGGATTGGAGAGGTGGTCAGTAATCATGCCTGCTAAACTAGGTATAGTAACCCATAAAATAACAAAAGCATTACTTAGACATTTTTCATGTTGGCTTTTGCTTTTTCAGATTTTTACTGTGGATTTCCCTTTTTCCAAAAATTCAAATTTTATGGGGTAAATCATAACAAAGTTTCTAATGTATGACCTGACATTGAATAAAACCTCAAACTTAGGAAAATGAAAACCACAAAGGTTCAAAATAACCAACTTAGATTATTGCTGAGCTGTATAGTTTGTTAACTGCGTTTAGACAGCTATTTTAAGTTCAGGTCCCATTAGTAATAAGGAAAAGTTGCTAAATTTCACTTCTGAAACTTGGGAGGGGGGGTAAGTCTAAATATGCCGTGCTTATGATTTAATTCTGTTGGGCTCAGGTTATAGAATAAGTAATTGTATTATTTCTTTCATAATTGATACGTAAGGCATTCCTGTTGGCAATCACAGGCTGTAGATGCAGGGATAGTAATGGTACTCTGATATGATGGAGAGTTGTGGGAATGCGTAAGAGAGAGAAACTGGAAATCACAGGAATGGACAGGCACTGGGGTCATAATTTTGTTCAGTACACCCCCAAATCTTACACGTTTAACCTTTGTCTGCAACCCTCCTGCTTCTCCCCGTCTCCCACAATTTGAACTTCAAGCCATTGTGCTCATAGAACTTCTTTCTTTTCCCTGTTACAGTGTACCATATTGAGTTGTAGCAATTTGCTTTCAAGGCCATTTTACCCACCAGCATGGAAACTGTTTGAGAGCACCTGGATTTTATTACTTGGAATCCCCTACATTGGAGACATGCTGATCGAAAGGCACTCGAAAATTGTTGAATAAAGTGCAGTAGGTGAAATGATGTCATCTCACCCCTACTTAAAAAGCAACTGTACATTTTGATTGCTTTCCAAGAAAATTGCTACATACATTAATTCCAAATGAGAGGTAGCAATGGCTCCTCACTGACTTTTAGATAAACTCCAAACTCTTTGCTTTATATATGAGGTCCTTTATGATGTGGCTCTGCTATTTTCTCTGCCTCATCTATCACAGTCCTATCCCTTGCACATCATATTTTGGTCAGAATTGGCATTTGCAGTCTCCCATATATGCCATACAGTTGTTCACCACCCTATCTTTATACTTGCTGTTTCTGCCTGGAAACCTTTTTCTCCACTTTAAAAAAAATATATAATTTCATTTATTACAGAAGCACAGAATATAAAAATTCAGGTAAAGAATTTACTTCTTTCCAAAGCTTACGTATATATTTGTGATGTTCATTGATTTCTGATTAGGCTTTATTTTCTACTTTGTTGAAATGCTTTTAAATTCAAATACATATGTGCTTATGGTAACAAGACAATAATAATATAATAATAAATAATAAATATTAATAAAACAATAATAACAGTCTTTGTTAAGTATATATTAAATGATGGCATTATGCTAACACTTTACATAGATTATTTTATTTAGTCCTCAGAGCAACTCCCTGAGTTGAGTACTATTCCCATCCTATTTTGCTAAGGAAACTAAGACTTAGAGAAGTGGTTATTGCTGAGCTTTGCATAGCTGGTGAGTAGAGCAACCACTAAAAGTTAATCATCTTCCCCTGTCTTACTCCGGTTCCAGTTTCCCAAGCAGTTTGTTAATAAGTGCACACTTACCTACACATTGCCACTTCATCTAGTTACTTTTGCCCATTTCTGAGAAGTCTTAGCTAATGTATCACCTCCTTAAGGGGCTTCCTGTGATCCCTACCCTTAATCTGGGTCCTGGGTATCCCTCACACTATTCTGAACATACTGTAATCATGGATTGTTACAATACCTTGTATAAATACCACCTAATTGTCTCTTCTGCTAGTCCCTGGGTTCTTTGATATCTCTGTATCCTAGTATTTAGCACAGAACTGCCCCACATTTGGGCATTATATGAGATGGGTTAGTTTATTCCTCAATTCCAACTTCCGACGTGCAACTTCTAAATGCCTGGTACTGTGGTAATCACTAGGGATAATGGTGTGTCTGTTAGCTTTTGCTGAATAACAAACCACCCTTCAACTTTGTGGCTTAAAACAACAGCCATTGATATAGCTCATAGTCCTGCAGGTTGGCACTGTGTCTGGAGTGAGCTGGGTTTTTCTTCTGCTGTTGGCCTGGCTCACTCATGCAGCCGCAGTGAGCTTTGGGTCAGCTGAGACTGGCTGGACTGGAGTGGCCTCAGCTGCTTGTCCTGATTGAAGTGGCTTACCATCCTCCAGCTGGCTTGCTCAGCTGGTTCACATAGGCAAGTTTTCAAGAGCATTAACAACCTCTTGAGGCCTCTGCTTGGAACTAGCACAGTATTACTTTTGATGAGTCCTATCATTCAAGGCAAGCCACAAGCCCAGCCTCCATTCAAGGGGAGGGAAAGTAAATTCCACCTCTTAACATGAGGAGCTGCAAAGACACGTTGCTTTATATGTAATACAGAAAAATTAATATGATAAATTGTGGCTACATTCACAATTTACCACAAGTGGTGAGGAAAAAAACACAGACCTTGCCCTAGGAGAGCATCTGATCTAGTGGATGAAATACAGTATTACTTGTAAGGTTGCAAAGAACAGCTATGTTTTTCATCAATCACCTGGATATTGGAAAGCACTGAAGCTCTTTATTTTGTCTTTGAAAGGAGTTTCCTTAGTTTAACTATTTAGCCTGTTTGTGAATAATTCAGGTTCTTCATTTCATTCTCTCCATTGAACCTGTGACCAGCAGAAGGCATTCCACACAGGAACCCTGGAAACTGCAGAAAGAGTGGGATCACTAACTAATGCAGTGTTGGAGTGACTCTCTACGTTCTTTCTGTCTGCCAGGTGAACATGTGCCTGCAGCCCCCTTTCCCTGGGCACACATACTGCCTGCCACACACAGCCAGGCCCCACCTGATTGATTGACTGGAGTATTGGTGGGGCAGGCAGTGAATCACTCACACTTCTGGTTCTGGTTCAGAATCCACGTTAGGTTGATGGCACCAACTACCGAAAGTAAATACATGAAAATTGTTACTTTGGCTAAGAGTAGAGGCTCTATGTACATACTCTGTATTGCTCTTCACTCAATGGAACCAACAGGAAACAAGATGTTTTCTTCCCTGTATGTTATTCTGTATCTCAACAGGAAATATTACCTATTTTGAAAAAAAGATGGTTTTGTTTCAGGATGTACAAATTTTGAGGTTTTTTCTGTTTGTACAACTTTATTGGGTAGGAATCTTTTGTTTATATTTTAATTTTTTAAAATGTGGATTCTGTCATTCCCTCTGTGCTTACTAGCTGAAATTCTTTTGCAAAAAAGAACTTTCCTCTAACTCCCCTTGTCTTATTCCATCAAACAGCAATATAGAGTCATAGTTTGTTTGGTTTTTTTTTTACTTTCTTTCTAATTAGAGCCTGCTCAGGCTGGATCTTGTATTCTTACAGCGTAAGTCATGACATTGTCACTGGCATAAAACGTTCAAACTTGTCTTGTGTTTTCCCTGCAACAGACCTGGAGTCAGACATTTATTTAGGAATCCCTGGTTCCTTTTGGGGGAAATAATTGGAATAAATATTTTCTCTATGTGAACTATTTGATAAACTGTTAGTTTGTTTTGTTTGAATTTGTATTCAGTTTTAGTCCTTGGTCTTCTTATTGCTTAGTTGGTTTTGTTTTGCTTTCACCCCTACTGAGTGAATTTGATATTTTGAATTGATTTGATGATATCATCGCTGGGATATGTAGCAATCAAATTACAACATCACTAGTTAAGGGGTGCTAGGTGCTGTGGCCTCTCAGGGGTGTCAGCTGTGAAAATCCTGAAACAGAGCACTCAAAAACAGAAGTGTCAGGGATAATGCAGTTATTCTTGAGTTTTGGGATTTTTAAAAAGATATACAGTATTCTTTATACAAATTCTTATCATATAGATGACTTACAAATATTTTCTTGTGGTTTGTGACTTGTATTTTCATTTCCTTAACAGTTAACTTATTTTTTTATTGATTTTTGAGATTTTTAAAAATAATGCAGCTATAAGAAGAGGACCAAGTCCCTAGGATCCAATCCCATGAAAACCTCATTTTCTGAATGACTGATTTACTCTCAGATGGGCTGAAAAAGTAAATGTAGGTAAATATTTAGCTGATATAGCACTAAAAGCACAACAAAATATCATGAAGCAAATATTTTTTTTTAATTTTTTTTTATTATTATACTTTAAGTTTTAGGGTACATGTGCACAATGTGCAGGTTAGTTACATATGTATACATGAGCCATGCTGGTGCGCTGCACCCACTAACTCGTCATCTAGCATTAGGTATATCTCCCAATGCTATCCCTCCCCCCTCCCCCCACCCCACAACAGTCCCCAGAGTGTGATGTTCCCCTTCCTGTGTCCACGTGTTCTCATTGTTCAGTTCCCACCTATGAGTGAGAATATGCGGTGTTTGGTTTTTTGTTCTTGCGATAGTTTACTGAGAATGATGATTTCCAATTTCATCCATGTCCCTACAAAGGACATGAACTCATCATTTTTTATGACTGCATGGTATTCCATGGTGTATATGTGCCACATTTTCTTAATCCAGTCTATCATTGTTGGACATTTGGGTTGGTTCCAAGTCTTTGCTATTGTGAATAGTGCCGCAATAAACATACGTGTGCATGTGTCTTTATAGCAGCATGATTTATAGTCCTTTGGGTATATACCCAGTAATGGGATGGCTGGGTCAAATGGTATTTCTAGTTCTAGATCCCTGAGGAATCGCCGCACTGACTTCCACAATGGTCGAACTAGTTTACAGTCCCACCAACAGTGTAAAAGTGTTCCTATTTCTCCACATCCTTTCCAGCACCTGTTGTTTCCTGACTTTTTAATGATTGCCATTCTAACTGGTGTGAGATGATATCTCATTGTGGTTTTGATTTGTATTTCTCTGATGGCCAGTGATGGCGAGCATTTTTTCATGTGTTTTTTGGCTGCATAAATATCTTCTTTTGAGAAATGTCTGTTCATGTCCTTCGCCCACTTTTTGATGGGGTTGTTTGTTTTTTTCTTGTAAATTTGTTTGAGTTCATTGCAGATTCTGGCTATTAGCCCTTTGTCAGATGAGTAGGTTGCGAAAATTTTCTCCCATTTTGTGGGTTGCCTGTTCACTCTGATGGTAGTTTCTTTTGCTGTGCAGAAGCTCTTTAGTTTCATTAGATCCCATTTGTCAATTTTGTCTTTTGTTGCCATTGCTTTTGGTGTTTTAGACATGAAGTCCTTGCCCGTGCCTATGTCCTGTATGGTAATGCCTAGGTTTTCTTCTAGGGTTTTTATGGATTTAGGTCTAACGTTTAAGTCTTTAATCCATCTTGAATTGATTTTTGTATAAGGTGTAAGGAAGGGATCCAGTTTCAGCTTTCTACATATGGCTAGCCAGTTTTCCCAGCACCATTTATTAAATAGGGAATCCTTTCCCCATTGCTTGTTTTTCTCAGGTTTGTCAAAGATCAGATAGTTGCAGATATGCGGCGTTATTTCTGAGGGCTCTGTTCTGTTCCATTAATCTATATCTCTGTTTTGGTACCAGTACCATGCTGTTTTGGTTACTGTAGCCTTGTGGTATAGTTTGAAGTCAGGTAGTGTGATGCCTCCAGCTTTGTTCTTTTGGCTTAGGATTGACTTGGCAATGTGGGCTCTTTTTTGGTTCCATATGAACTTTAAAGTAGTTTTTTCCAATTCTGTGAAGAAAATCATTGGTAGCTTGATGGGGATGGCATTGAATCTATAAATTACCTTGGGCAGTATGGCCATTTTCACGATATTGATTCTTCCTACCCATGAGCATGGAATGTTCTTCCATTTGTTTGTATCCTCTTTTATTTCCTTGAGCAGTGGTTTGTAGTTCTCCTTGAAGAGGTCCTTCACATCCCTTGTAAGGTGGATTCCTAGGTATTTTATTCTCTTTGAAGCAATTGTGAATGGGAGTTCACTCATGATTTGGCTCTCTGTTTGTCTGTTATTGGTGTATAAGAATGCTTGTGATTTTTGTACATTGATTATTGATAAGTTGTGTAAAAATTAAATACTTTATGTATATCAGAAAACACTAAAACAAAATTGAAAGACAAATGACACATCAAGATTGCATACAGATTAAGGGTTAATATTCTTTCTATAAAAAGAAGTTTGTTTAAATCATTGGGAAAAACAGCTCACCCCTACCCCACAACATACACACACTAAAAAATAGGCAAAGTATCCAACTCACCTGTAACAAGAGAAGAAATGAAGGTGACTCATATGTGTAAATATGGTTCAGTCTCAGGATCTAGGGTTGCTTGGTTGGGAATATATTTATCTTCATTTATTATATTATTTTAAAACTAAACTTACCGTTGATCTATGAAACAGGAACTTAAGTAAACAAAAACACGTTGAAAGATCAGAAATCATTGAGTTGAATAGAGAAAAATATGTCAGAAACTTCTGGTACTAATTATTATTACTCAAAGCTAATTGTATCTCTGAGGTCCTTAGTAGCTAACCAAAAATGGAAAACATTTTAATAATGTATTTCTTACTGTGTGAAAAAAGGAACTTTAGCTATGACATTTCATTACTGAGTAAATACAACTACCATGACCCCAGTTGTTGGACCAAAAACCTAAGAATCATGCTGGATCTTTTTCTTTTCTTCGTGCTTTGATCTATCTATTATTAGATCACCTTTACCCAAAATACATCCTGAATCTTACCACACCTTCATCCAGGCTACCTGGATTCCCGGAACAAGCTCTTGACAGGTGGGCTCGCATTCACTCTTGTCTCCAGTGATCTAAGCTGTAGACAGAAGTTCTTTCTAAAAGAGATGAGAAACTTCCCATGATGGAAACCAACAAAATGAAATCCAAATTATTTGCTCTTGCAGTGCATTGAAGGTGTTTCCAAGACCCTAGGTGATTAAGCTCCTGCCCACCTCTCCAGCCTCCTTTCTCAGTGCTCTGGCCACACTGGCCTTCTTTCTGTCTCTTCTGTACCAGGTCTTTCCTATCCCAAGGCCCTTGCATGTGTTAGTTTATGTTCCTGAATCAATCTTACAATCTTCCCCTGGTTCTCGCCATATCCGCTTCTTTCTCATTAATCAGGACACCTTGTCAAAGTGACCCGCCCTTCTATCCTAGCCCAAGCTATTCTCTGTCCTCATGTGTCACTCCCTCATTATCACATTAACCTATCTTATTTTTTTCATAGTATTTTTAGTGCTTAATATTATTTATTTGTTTATAGGCTTGTTTTTGCTCTATTTAAGAACATGAATACATTAACATTGATTATTTTTAGAATTGATATCATAGGCAGTATTTATTTTCTTATCTATATTTTTAAAAATTTAATATATACAAATAGGCATTGCTGATATAATCAGGGGAAAAAGTTATAAAAAATATTGATTCACTTTCATGATAGAATAGGAATCTCTGTGTTTGAACAACTACAGTGAGTAATGTATTTAAACATCATGAAAATGCAAAGACATAATGGAATCACACAAAATTGTGTAGCTGGGGCTCCCGTCTAAGCTATTTAGAACAATGTGATATATAATATATATTTCAGAATGATAGACTATTCATTGATGGCTTGGGAGCTATTTTGAAAATTTAACTTATTTCCTCTCTTGGCCCCATTTAATATTCATGAGAAAACTTCTCAGTTAAAATCCTGCCCTTTCAGGCATAAAAGGCATTTCAGGCCTTTTATGGTAGTTTTTGTTCGTAAGGTTCAGCTCCCATTTGTTTCATGTAGCTCTGTAAGATGCTAAAAGCTTTTGTGCTCTAAGAATACTGCACGAATTAGAGCTTCTTCCATTTATGGCACATCTTTTCAAACAGACCCATTTTCTCAAGCAAATTTTGAAGCGACTCTTTGCTTTCCCCTTTCTCTTGCTTTTCTCTCTTGCTTCACATGCACTCTATCCCTTCCCATTTTTTCACTACTTTTAAGACTCAGCCAAGTAGAAGGTAGGTAGCCTATAATCACTCTTCCTTAGAGACTCTAAGGAAGTCTCTCTGTCCTTACCAACTGAAGCTGTATTGGTTATAAGAGGTTTATTCCTTTTGTGAATATGTCAGTGTCTCAAACAGAACAAGCAATTAAAAACTCTGTTTTGTCTGCCTGAGGACGAAATGGTTATTTAGAGCTTTGTGCACCAAATATAATGGGGTCATTAATATCCTCTTAAGGAGGCTGTTGAAATGCTTTTTATCCACCACCATCAAAAATTTCTCTCAAGAAGTCAGTCTCCACAGTGGATATATTGAGTACTCTTATGTGGCACAGGTGGAATTGGTGTGCGCTTTTCAAATATTGTTTGGCTGAATTTGGCACTTCTGAATGAGTCTATGCCTACAAAATCACTTATGTCATTAGTATCACATTTTTTCATTGTCATTGCGTTAGCTTAGTTCTAACTCTGAGTCTCCATTCAGAGTGTGGAACTCCCATCTCCCTAATAATAACATGCCAGCCATCTCCTTGGAGGTCTCGTTTCCCCCTCAGGGCCAGGAAACCACTGGCCTTTTTTCACTGCCTTCTGGGCCTCCCCTCATTTCAAATACACGGTCACCGCCTACTCCTTCGTCCTATGTATCAGTTCGTTTCTTTGATGGGTTTAGATGTAGTGAAGGTCAAATTGAGTCATGTACTTCAGTCTGCTTCAGGCATTCACTTTGCCCAAATTCAACATAAGGTACAAAGAGCAGGGACTACTATTCAATTTTTAATCAGTTATCTTGACACAAATATAAGTGACTGAAAGAATCAGTGTAGCCTGGAACCAGGGTTCCTGAAATCAACTTAAAAAGGAAAAGACCAGAACACCTTCTTTTCGTAAAGGTAGCACCGTAAACTTGAGCGTGGTTTGGATGCAGTTATTTTTGTAATCCCCTGAGTTCTTGCTGCTCTGCAAATAAACCAACCCCTATTGACTTCTGACCCTGCTGCTCTGTTCTTTACCCTGTGATCTCTTCCTTCCAACTTGGTTGTTGTTCACTTCTTTGCTATTGCAATGCATTGAAGATGTTCATTAAAGCAAACCATAAAAAATGCCCTCTGTTTACTAAGCACCTTAAACTCCTTGGAGGAAATAGTTGTTATAAAAATCTAACATAAGGCCGGGCGCGGTGGCTCACGCCTGTAATCCCAGCACTTTGGGAGGCCGAGGCGGGTGGATCACGAGGTCAGGAGATCGAGACCATCCTGGCTAACATGGTGAAACCCCGTCTCTACTAAAAATACAAAAAATTAGCCGGGCGTGGTAGCGGGCGCCTGTAGTCCCAGCTACTCGGGAGGCTGAGGCAGGAGAATGGCGTGAACCCGGGAGGCAGAGCTTGCAGTGAGCCTAGATCGCGCCACTGCACTCCAGCCTGGGCGACAGAGCGAGACTCCGTCTCAAAAAAAAAAAAAAAAAAAAAAAAAAAAAAAAAAATCTAACATAACAAATAAAAGAAAAAATAGCTTGCCTTGGGCAGAAGTAATCACTAGGAAGCAAAACAAAAAATGTGCAAATACCATGAATTTATTATAGGAGGCATTTAGGAGTGTTTGTATACTACAGAAAGAATAAAGGAATATTCAGAAAAAAAATCTGGTATATTAACAGAAAATCTTGAAATTCTCAGAAATTATAATAGCTAATAGTATACTCAGGATAAATGAGAATTGCTTGTTATTTTATGCTTTCATGTGATAAAGCAGAACTATGTTTTTATTTATAGTTTGGTATTTATCAAAATCAGATTATTAAAGTTTAGGCAAGACAGTATGTTATCCGCTTATGAAGAAATGTGTGGTGAATTTCACACCATATTTCCTTAGTCAAAGGTGTTTTCTTCAAGGACATCTCTCAATTTGTAAGTGAAAATCCTTTTAACATCTGAAAATGAATGAGTTATTTAAAATTTTTTTCTCTTAGATTCCTAAAGGGAAAAAAGCAGTATTGTTAATTTGCTTATTCATTTTCACAGAATTTACATCTTATGAGTCAAGATTCCATTATAGATCCTATTACAGTTCCAGGAACAAAATATTTAGCAGTTGATTTATTCAATAAATTTTTAATGCTACTAAAATGTTTAGAAATCATTCATGACCTCAAGGTGCTTACAGTTGAGTGATAGAGATCCAAATGGAAAAAAAGAGAAAGATCTTGGACATGACCTGATCAGTTTTATCTTCTAAAAAATTCAGAGGGAATGAGGAGAAATAGAAGACAGTAGGAAAGGAAAGCATTAAAAAGGTACTCCAGTTACCTATTGCTGCATAACGTATTATCCAAAGCTTAGTGGCTTAAGTCACATCAGTCATTTATTTTGTACCTCAATCTTCACGTCAGGCAGGGCTTGACAAGGGCAGCTAATCTCTGCTCTGCACAGCATCACTCAACTGGGGGCTTGAGGATCCATGCTCAAGATTTGTTCAAACACCTGAAAAGTGGTGCTGGCCATTGGCCTGGAGCTCAGCTTGGCTGTAGCCTGGGGGCCTAGATTTTTCTCCACGTAGACCTCTCCATGAGCTTGCTTGGGTTTCCTTGTGGTATGGCAGCTGGATTCTCAGTGCAAGCCCTCAAGGGAATGAGAGAAATGCTGTGCCAGCTTTTGTGACCTAGTCTCAGAAATCACATAGCCTCACTTTTGCTATAGTCACAATCCTGTCTAGATTCAGAGGGAAGGCACTTAGTCCTCACCTGCTGATGGGAGGAATGTCACATTGTGAGAACAGCATGTGGAACAAAAGAGATTTTGAGGACTCCCTTTCTTTGGAAAAATGCAATCTTTTGTGAATTACCATGCAGCTAAACTCAAATTCTTCTTACATGAAAAATATATTTATCCTCTCCCCCAAGACCCTCAAATCTAAACATCTGCTTGAAACATAGTATCATCTAAGGTCCAAATGAAGTTTAGACTCCTCAAATGCAGTAATTTGGGTACAGCTCCTTAATCTGAGGAACTGTGAAGTGAAGAAACAAGTTATCTGCCCCCTCCCCCGACATACCTAAATTTCAGTGGCACAACAGGCAAAGGTAAACTGCTGTAGACCCACTCACTTAAAAGGAGGAAAACAGGAGGCACACAGCAATCACTGGCCCTTAGCAGTCATGAAATGCAGGAAGTTCATGTTGCCAGTTTCTTCATTAGGGTGTAATCCTACTGCTAGGAATTGTCTTTTTTCAGCTCTTGGTTCCACTCTCAGTGTTTGGCCCTTTGAGTCAGCCTTTGTCTTCCATTAAAAAACAACAACAATAACCAAACAACGACCTTTGCAACTAAATAGCCTAATCAGACTTTTTACTGCCCATAGAATGCTACGTGTCCAAAGCCCACTTTTAATTTTGTAGTGTTCCCATCTATTTTACTCCAAATTGGTGTTTCTTATAGCAAAACAATTATCTCAAATAGTTTGTGGGTTTTCTATGAATCCAAACCATAGATATTCTCAAGGTAAGTGCTTCTTTACTTTCAGCTCCCTATGAGGTGTCTTAAGATAACATCCTTAAGATACCTGGAAGACCAGTTTTATGGAGAGAATTTGTGAAGCATACTCCTAAGATTCTTAGAGGTCCACTGTCTGCCTAAAAAAATTTGAGGAGCCACTGCCTTAGATTTTTCTGAAACTTTAGTAAAGGATATTATTTCAACCTGGATTGTTATTTGGCCTAAAGCCTTTCTTTTTATTTATTATTTTTGAAAATGGTATATTCACAGTGTTCTTTCTTTCACCTTTTCTTTTTCTTTCTTTTTTTCTTTTTCTTTCATTATTAATTTTAATTGACTCATAATAATTGTATATGTTTATGGAGTACAGTGTGATATTTTGATACATCTATACAATGTGTAATGATCAAATCAGGGCAATTAACATATCCGTCACCTCAAACATTCATCATTTCTTTGTGTTGGGAACATTCAAAATCCATGATTCTAGCTATTTGCAAATATACAATAAATTGTTGCTAATTTTAGTCACCCTGTAGTACTACAGAATACTAGAACGTAGTACTACAGAATACTAGAACGTATTCCTCCTATCTAGCTGGATTTGGTATCTGTTAACCTCTGGCTATATCTCCAAGTGTTTTCTTAAGTTGGGAATTACTTGCTGTTTAGAGAGGCTGAGAATAAGAAACAGTTTCTTTTAGTTGTTGTTTTTTAACCCAGCAAGTTCTAACTTATTTATATTTTAACAGTTTTTTCTTTAGCTCATCTCTTTCCTCTTGCATTTTATTATAGGCAGCTAAACAAAACAAAATAAAACAACAACAACAAAAAAAACCATAAAACCACATGAATATCTCCTTAGCTAGATCACCAAATTCATTAGGTGTATTTCTAATTTCCACATTATCAGAAATGATAGTTTTGTGAAATGTTCTGCTTCTACATAATAAGAGACCCCTTTCTTTAACTTCCAGCAACATTTTTCTCACTTCCCTTTGAGCCTTTGCTGACAGCTTCTTGAAGCCTTTAACTAATTTCTACCAACTTCTTCTCATAAGACTTTCCTTGTGGGCCTTTCAGCCTCCACTTACTGCCTGTCTCAGTCTTAATGACATATATTTCAGGTTTCTGTTATGGTAAACCCCACTTCTGTACTGGCTACTATTGTTATGTAACAAATTAGCTGAAACCTAGCAGCTTAAAACTACCATTTTATTTTATTCAAAATCTTGTGAGTCAGGAATGTGTGAAAGGTTTGCTTGGAAGATTCTGGTCAATGTCCTTCATGTCGTTGCAGTCAGATAGATGTTAGAGTTGAAACAGTTGTGGGACAAACTGTGAAAGCTCAGGACTGTCCAGACTCCTCCCTCTCTTCTTGTGGTCTCAGGGCTAGTTGGGCTTCCTCACAGCAAGGCAGCCCCCAGGCAGTCAGGGCATCTAAAGGCTTTAAGAGAGACTGTTCCACTGAGCAAGGGGGTAGCTGCACAACCTTTTATGTTCTAGCCTCAGAAGTCACATGGCATCACCTCTGTCATACTTTATTGGTTAAAACAGTCACAAAAGTCATCTGAGTTTCAAGGGGAGAGAAGACATAGATCCCACCTCTTGAGGAAAGGAATGTCATAAAAATTTCAAATATGTTTCAAAAATTGCCACAAAGGGTAATTGCAGTAGTTCCTGCAATGAATTATGAGTAGAGAAGTATTATAAAGGATGGAAAGTCATGCCTGGGAATGAGAGGTGGACAGGGCATTGAAGGGGAAAGCCTCGGAGAACAATTGGCTCTTAGCAGTAAGAGAGGGTTTCTGGATGAATTTTCTGTCTCTGGTTTGGGTGACAGCCTTCTGTAGAAATAAGGAGGGAGACACCAGGGTGAGTAGGTTTGGGGTTGGGGGGAAGGTGTGGAATGGGATGGCAGTGTTAGTTTGAGGTACCAGGAGCATCTCCAGATGGAGGTGTCTACGAAGTAATTTGATTGATAGACTGTAAACCCCTTGTGGGCAGGGGCTACATTTGTATTAGGTTGGTGCAAAAGTAATTGCGTTTTTTGCCATCACTTTTGCACCAACCTAGTATATCAGTCATCTTTGGTGTCCCAGTGTCTTGTGCAGAGGGCTCAATGACTTTGTTAATATATACAGGTGAGAGCTCAGATATGGGCTAAAGACAGAGATGTGGGAGCACTCTGACTAGGGATAGTGATGAGTGTCATGGACCTGGATAAGATTATTTTGTGAGAATATAAAGCAGATGTCATCCTAGGTTGGGTTTTTCAGGTTGAATCTGGACAGCCAAAGCATTATGGCAATATTTTTTAAACTAAGTATTTTACATGGTCTTGAAAATTAGAAAATCTGGTCCTGCAATACCAAGTAGCAGCGATGAGTAGAGAGGAGCAACGTCAGTGCCCTTCTAATGGTCATGTGATTGCCTGTGTGCCGCACAACTCCACGTGTATCTGTGCACTGCATACCTGCTCTGCCTTGTGAAGTCTGGGACCTCTTCTCTCTAGCAAAAAAAGCCAAGGACCGAGGACTGATTCCTCTGGAGCAGCAGCATTTAAGCGGCAGGAGAAGAAAACAAGATTGAGAAGGATCAGCTCACAGATATTCAAGAGTGTGCATAAAATGAAATAGCTAATTGATTTGCTGACAGAATTAGCACCAATTTTTTTTAATTGAAGTATTGGCCAAAAAGAAAGCTAACTAATTTTTATTTACAAATTTTAAAAACTATGCTTTATTTCTCACCTCAACGTTAAGTGATTCAAAATTAAACATACAATGTTGATGGTAATAACAAACACAGTAGGTAACTGACAGAGACATAATTTATGCCTAGGTTGTCCGATTTTAAAACATGCTCTCTTAACTGCCATGCAATATTGCCTCAGACATTTGCTTAACAATCCCTAAAATTGTTTCATGATGTGGAGAGGAATGAAAGGAGCAGCAAGAAAGAATGAGAAGAGACCTGAAGATGGAACCAGATGGGGCCCTGGGGAGAGGCCTGAGTGTGGGGCTGTGTCGAGAATTCAATCAACAATGAGACCAGGAAAGTCACATCACTAGGGCACTAAGCTACATTTTGATAACCAGACTATACAAATTGTGTTGAGCAAAAATGATTGGACTGTTTGTGGAGAAGAGAGGCTGAAAGAAGGGAAGTATTATAGGTATTATTTTTCATGGTGACAGTTTGTGAGCTAGTTCTGCAACATGCTGTATCTCTCAGGATGGCAGTTTCTGGAAAGAGTTCATGAACTACATTAAACTGGAGGGGAACAAAACAGCAGATTAAGGACTTAAAAAGAGAGACCCTCTGGATTCAGGTTTAAGTTAACTTTTTAGACCCTGGCTGGAAGGGTCTACACTGGATTCTTTAAGTAGTATAGAAACCACTGAAGGCCTTTCCTCACTATTTAAATAGAAAACTTCGCTTCACATTTAAAATATGAGTCATAAGGTGTTATTTTTACCCAATCAATTCCAAAGTATTATTCTTAATAAAAGTTGACAATTTATGGATCCAAAAGTTCCATTTTAAGTTTAACTGAAAGTTTGGTTCAAAGTAGGAGGTATCCACATCTACTTCTTTATGTTCAGTGCATTTTGATTCTGAAATTAAACTTGCTTTGTTTCCAGGAGAAAATGACTTTCAAATTAAACTCTGGAATATGTGCTTCATTTCAGATTTCTCAAAAGTATTCCAATGTTTACCTCCTAGGATTTATAAATGCAGAAATAAAAAAGTCTCCTTTCATTTCCCCTGCAACAGTGAGGGGAAAAAAAGATGCAAACTAAAATTTGTCACCCTCCTCAGATGTATCGCCTAAGAATAACTATCTCCAGACCTATAGTATTTTATGGTGGTTACTTGCTCTGTAGTTCTTAAATCCAGAAGAATTGCAGTTTTTCTAATTGGTATATAATAAAGAGGAATGATATGACATAAATGATTTCTTTTCCTTGGGTTGCCATCCATCCTCCTGAAAAATCGTGCCTACAATAGCACTGAAATTATTTAAAATTGGAATCTTTATCAACTCTTCCTTGGGAACATTGTGCGGAGTTTCACAGGGACTGATAATGCGTACTCTGGAGCCCAAATGATGGAGTTTGAATCCTGATTATGTCCCCTCCTGGTTGTATAATCCTGGGCAAGTTGCTTAACCTTTCTTTGCCTCAGTTTCCTTATCAGAATGGGGCAAATTGTAGTGTTATTTCACAGGCTTATTATGAGGAATACATGAGTTAATGTTGGTAAAGTAGTTAGAACAGTATCTAGCAAATAGTAATGCAAAATGCATGTTTGGTGTAAAAATAGTGAAATAAAGTACCATTTACACAAAACAAGTCGTAGTGTTTGAGGATGCAGGTTCTAATCCCAACTCCGCTACTTGTTAGCTGGGTACATATGGTCAAATTACTTCACCTCCGTAAGCATCAGTTTGTAAAATAGAATAATTGCTCCGAGTAGTACCTGCTTCACAGAGTTTCTGTGAGGATTAAGTGGGATGGTCTATGGCAAGCACAGAGCAGAGTGCTGCTCCATGGTGCCAATGATTACAAACATATTTTTTAGTTGCTGTGAGTTCTCTGCCCTTTTCCTTAAGGCGTATCTTCAATTCTTAACTTCATATTTCAAGGTCATTTCTGGACATCTAGAGACCTGGGTAAGGATGCTTTGAAATGAATGGCCACGGGGTTAGAGTGAGAGTAAGTGAGAAGTTAGATCAATTACTTAAGATCCCAACGGGCCTTGCAGGTTGGCCTTGTGTTAGGGATTTTCCCACTGTCTGTGGTCTGGCCCAAAGCCCCGTGGGCCCAGAAACCACACTTGTCAGCAGCTTCAGAGCACATCTGTCCTCCAGAACTGGACTCATATTAATGAAACTCTTACAACTAATGTGTGAGATCAGAATGCCAATGTTTCCATTTAGAATGAGAAGTGAAACAGCTGAAGATGGGCGGCTCATCTTCCCACCCAGCGCATTTTGCTCCTGTAGGCAGACTACATGGGGAGCAAATCGCTAACCCGGCTGTCAGTTTATTAATTTATAAGGAGAGACCTAGCTGCTGAGTTGCTCCTCAACTCCCTCAAGTTTTAAGCAAGGTCTCCCTAAAGACATGCCAGACAGGATCCCATATTTGTGTCAGAAAGCAGCTTGATGAGCATGGAATCAGAAGGGCAAGCTGTTCTCAGACCCATGGGTATAATGAAATGAGAGAGGCAGAGCCACAAAAGGGAAGGCCACCAGCCTCTAGCACCCTACCCCAGTGTTTCAGTGGCTACTGCCTGTGCTTACTTCCAAGGCTGCTTTTTGCCTACTTCCTGGTCTGAGACGGACTGTCCATGGGACACTTCTGGCCTTTAAAAGCTTTTGTTTGTCTCATATTGTGTAGAGGCTAAGATTTAAACATCAGGAATATTCATGTAACAACCCAGAGCTGTAGCCTTTCTTGAAAAAATCCAGAGATCTAGCCCCTTCCCACATCTGGTCAACCATCTGGAGCTGAGCAGAGACTGTCTCCTTTAAAGGAAGCTTGAGTGCTGCCTTCATTCAGTTCACTGTGGTCTCTGCCAGGTCCAAGACGCTGATCAGCATTACCTACTGGTAATGTGTGTGCCTTCAGGCATTTGAGTTTGCATCCTTCTGACAATTGAAGTTGCCTTTATCTATCTATGTGCTGGCCTGCTATATATTTATTTCAAAGTTTAATTCTTAGATGCAGTCTTATTTTCTCATTTTCAAATTTACTGTCACCCCTAAGCAGGGGAAACACATCTTGGTTTGCAAGTCCTAGAGGGTTACAGTGATATGAAGGCTGAAGTGTAAACCTCATAGCCTCAAGGAAGTGGGATACCCTTAATCTGCCTCAGGAAATGTGTGACGCTGCTGGCCACGCTTCTCTATTTCTAGATCAGGAGCCCTTTCGTCCTCCTGGCTGAAGAATATTAAGCCCTCTCATTTTATGAACTTTTTGTAGAGCTACAGATATAACCTTCAGTGAGAGAAACGTGAACATCTGTATTTACAAAAGAGATACATTTGGATGCATTGTTTGCAAATGTACTTACCATGAGGTTTCTTTAAGGAACAAGAGTTTATTTTAACTTTGATGTTATAAATTAATAATCAGATATAGGAAGGTATATGCACCATTTGTTAGGATTCCTAAGAACTATAGGCTTTTTAAATTTTCACCATCTCTAATAAATGGAGAAAATATCATTATGTGATTGGATCATTGATTGTAAAAAATGAACTTGTCTTCCAAAAAAGCATTTTTTTCTTCAAATGAATAACTTGTTCCCACTTTAATTCTTATTAATATTCTAAATAAATGAAGGTTAATCTCTGAGTTATTGGTTTGGGAAAATAGATTGACTTGAGAAGATAGAAATGTCAGTTCAAGGTCTTACTATATCTCACAGGTTCATACTACCTCAAATTTGACCACTTTATATCTTGAATGATCTTTGGGATGCAAGGTTATAACATATTCTATCCACAGGATTTTGTATGTATTTCTTACACTAACATTTACTCCATCTTATTACACTACTGTAAAATTAAATAATGCCTCAGCACAACCTCTGGCACATGGTTACTTCTCCATTTCATCATCATCATCATCATCAGTCTGCCTCCAAGTATTTTTCTTCAATTAGTCTGTAAATGTGTATGTATTGACTCTATGGTCTCCTTCATGTTTGAAACCTCTAATACTGTACGGGGGTACATAGCCGATACCCTGTAAGGATTAATTGAACTACTCAGAAGAAATAGAAATTTTTCTCAGTTCCCCTTTAGATATGCAATCTAACATTATTGTTGGTAATGCTTCATGAAAAATGACCAAAGAACATTTAATTTTTATATTTTTGACTCAATTACAGGTAAATAACAGAAAAAAATAAATTTTTAAATTAAACCACAAATTAAATAAAAAACAGCAAAGGACATTATAAACAATAGTAAAAAAATACACAGAAGAGTGATATCTATAACTCTCATAATTGACAAAGGAATAGAACAATAATATATAAAGACCTCCTAAATATTTCTCAGGAAAAGGCAAATAACACAATAGAAAAAAAGGCCAATAATAAGGTAAAATACTCAACTTTGGTAGTAATCAGGGAAATCCAAATTAAAACATTGAGACTTCATACCAATCAAAAACAAAAAACAAAAAGATCAAGACTCTTGGTATTTCAGCATCGTGGATCTCTGGAGATCGTTTACAAGAGTTTGGTGTGACAAAAATTCTTATACACTGTTGGTTGAATTGTAAACTAGCCTAGTTTTGTTGGGATGCAGTTTGGAAATACCTAGTAAAGGTGAAGGTGTGCATATCGTATGACCCCACGATTCCATTCCTAGGTATTCATCTTTAAACAAATACATGCACATGTACAAGAATTATAATAGTTTGATAATAGCAATAAATTAGAACCAACTTAAATGTCCATTAATAGGAGAGTGGATACATAAATTGCAATGCTGTACAGCAGTTAAAATGAATAAACTAAGCAGAACCACATGTAAATCTTAAGAAGATAATGCTAAGCAAAAAAAAAAAAATTTAAAGGATCTATACACTATTATATTTGTATAAAGCTTAAAGCATGCAAATTAATATCTTGTTTATGGATATTATGTTATATAATATGTTGTACTTGTTATGGATATGTGCATATCTAATAAAAAGTATTATAAAAGATATACAGTAATGATATAAGCCAACTCAGGAGGGCGTTTACTTTTGGAGAGAGAAGAAGGGATGGGATAGGTAATGGGATAGGTAAAGACATATGGAGGCTTCAGATGTGTCTATTAATATAATGGTTTACTTCTTCCAGAAAATCAGAATCAAATTTGGCATAATTTTAAATAGAGGCAAGGAGAATGGAAGGAGGGTGTCAACAGAGTAGGAGGTTTAAGTTACTAGGATCAGTGGGCTTAGAGAATAAAATAGAGCCAAACAGACATCAGTTTGTCAACACTGTATAAATTCAGATCCTCATTAGTCATACTAAAAGTCAAACAGCCCTTACTCTTGCTTCAGACTCTAAGCACCTTCAGCTGTGTCATTTTTAAAAAGGGGTTGAAACTGTGGAAATCTAAGGGAATACAAAAGCAGGAGATGTGATGAGCATACCTAAGATAATGTGAAGATTTTGAAGACTAGAGCAAGCCAAAAAAAGCAACAAAAGGTTTAGATTTTGAGTTAATTAGGAAAGCAATTGTTATGCCCAATTCAGAAGCCTGAAATGTTTCAATGAGATGTTAATAAACAAGTTTGTTTACTCTGATCCAAGACTAAATTAATGTAAAGCATATTATTATAAACATTGGACTGTTGATATATTTGCAGTTGAATAAATCCAAGCTGTATTTTATAAAGCCAATAAAATTGCTTGCAGGAGGCCAAGAGGAAAAAAAAAAAAAACACCCAAAGACCTTGGCCAGTTTTAGAAGGTACATTGGAGATTCTAATGCAGCTTCCTCTCTCTGTCTCTCTCTGCCCTTTCTTTTTCTCTTTTCTGTCTTTGGCATTCACTTTAACCAGACTGAAAAACTGGAGTATTCATTAAAAAATTGGGGCTGGTAAAGAATGGAGAGTGGGACAGAAAAGAGCATCATCATTTCCATTACATTGTTTTAAAAAATAATAAAGGAGAGTAGTCCACTTAGAGTGAGTACAATGTACCAAAATATGGAAATAAAAAATATTAAAATTTTTTTTAAATGTAACATGTTCTTTTCAAATTACCTAAAGAATACATTAATTCATTTTTATTTTACAAGATTTATGCAGGAGGTAATAAACTGAGCAAAACATTGATCTCTCTTTGTCCCCCATCACTTCCTTCAGATCCCTTTCCCAGACCTAACCACGTGTCCACAGTTGGTGTGCAGTTTTCTGGGCCCTTTTCTGTGAATATGCATATAAAAAATGTATATACTCATAACTGGGATAATATATTTTTCTGCAATATGTTATTTCTGCTTAACATCTTTTAGGGAGCTATGCATCTCAGTGCATCTAGATAACCTGATTCTTTAAAAGAAAATAACTAGGTAGTATTCCTTAGTATGATTAACCCATTATTTATTTAACGCTTCCACCGTTTATGGTTCCTTACATGGTTTCCTGTTTTGACTACTGTAATTCTCCAGTGAACATTCCAGTATATTCATCATTGCAGTAGAGGGCAAATGTGACTTAATGCATAACAGTATCTGGTAATTACAGTAGTATTATCAGGAATCTGCCTTTCACGTATTTGGCTTTGTTTTTCTCTTCATCAGCCTCATTTTTAGGCAACCTCTTTTAGACAAGTTTTAGACCACCACTTTTAGACAATGTGGTAGCAGATACAACAACCAACAGTTCTACTCTTAACATTCTACAAACTTAACCTCTTTCTCAATGTTAGCAAAAGTGGAGAGGTTGGCATGCTTACTAGACCAGCGTGGGTCACATGCCCATCCTTGACCCCTGCGTTGTAGCTCTGTGCATAGTATGCATTGATTTTATGTTTTTGTAAATAGGAGATAAATAGACATCCTAATAGTGTCCAAATTTACATCACTGGGATTAAAGTGTTCTAAGTATTTGCTAGAGTAATGAAATAAGTATGTTGTTTCATAGCATTGCATATGAGAATGAAACATGTTATACATGGAAGATCATTAATATTCTAAAAAGTGGACAATTTCTCAATTCAAGAAAGTGTTGCCCAGTGTATTTGCTGGAAATTCAGTGATATGAGAAACACATTTCTTAATTTTATATTATTTGCCAAACCATAACAAAAAAATCCATATTTTATTCATTTATTAAATAATTTTTTGATTAAATTCTGCTATGTATTGATGACCATGTCAATAGCCTCCTGAAAGAAAATTCCTGCCCTCGGGTTTCTTACATTCTTGTTAGAGACCACAGACTATAAATAGGTAAACAAATGAATAAAGAAGAACATTTCAAACTGTGATGTACTATAAAGGAAATAAAAAAGATCATCCGATAGAAAGTAATTGGAGAAGGTTACTTCAGGGGAGGTAGTCAGGGAAGACCTTCCTAAATGTTCTGAAAAGAGAATATTTGAACCACCACCTGAAGACTGAAAATGAGCCTTGAACCCTAGGCCTATGCTATTCAATATGGTAGCCACTAGCCATGTGTGGCTATTGAACACTTGCATATAGCTAGCTCAAGTGGAAATGTCACACAAGTGCAAAACATACACTAGATCTCCAACACTAGTACCAAAATGATAAAATATTTAATAATTTTATTATGATTACATATTGAAATGATGATGTTTTAGACATACTAGGGTAACCATTACTAAAATTAATGTTTCTTTACTTTTTTAATGTGACTACTAAAATATTTTAAATTACATATATGCTTCACCTTATATGTCTATTTAACAGCCCTGTTCTAGTTAGTTTCAGCCTACTTACTGTTATTAACATGGGCTTTTTCAGCTTTTTTTCCTTGATGAGGCTGATGGCAAGTGAATTTATGTAGTAGACTTTTCTCCAAGCATCTATGTCTATATTTATTGACTGAGGTATCTAAATATAATAATTCAATATTTGATCAAGCTTAATACAGCTCAGTGTTAAGGGATAACATGTGGTGGAGAAAGCATGTAAAATTGCCACATTTACTAGAGGAGTTGTATCATTAGTCATGTTCCTTTAGAAGGGCTCACAGAACAGATAAAAGGGGACCCTGAGTTGGTGAGGTAGGCAGAGCTAGAAGCACAAGGTAATGACAGCGTAGGAAAGGATTTCTGTGGGAAACAGCAACAGCAAAGCACGAAGATCTATTTCCATTCTCTACTTAGTGAAGGAGATTCTATTGTGTTGTAAAGCATGCCACTTCTTGCATGTTAAAATGGAATTTTTTTCTACACATTGTTTTTATACCGATGGGAATGTTAGTGACTTTAGTGTTCCTTTTTTTTTTAGATGTCTTTCTGGGAGATGTTGGCAAGTTCTCACATCCTTAATAACATTAAATTAATTCACTGCAGAGAACAAGCAGAATAGTTTTCTTTGTGCAGTGTTGTTATTCTCATTTCCTGTTGTGGCTTTTGCCATGAGGAAGAGGTTGACTACTAACACTGCATGTTTGATTTAGCAGGTGAAGTTTTTAGTATTTAATGTGAGTATTTTAGAACCCCAGATATGATGTTTGTTATGTAATCTGTACTAACAGTTTTGCAATGGGAAACTCTTCCCTTACTGGTTTGAGAGTTGAGTCATATCCTGTGAATCTAAAGCTACGTTATTTAAACATCACGGGTTCTTCTTACTTTCATTCCAAGTCGCTGCTGTGCAGAGCAGCAAGTGCTCCGTGCAGGGCTGTTGCTATCACTTGGAGGTGAACAGCCTCTTTTGCCGGTATTCAGTGAAGAAAGCAAGTCTAAATATGCAGTTCTCTCACTGGAGTGAAAGATGTTTTGTTCATTTCTAATCAACTATGCTAGACAGCTGCAAGCTGAAAAGTGCCTGCAATTTGCCATTTATTTGTAATAAGGTAAGTAACATTTTGGTTTACTCACTGGATTGTGGTAGCCTTAAATTAATGTGGCAGTTTAGGTATATGATTGTTCCTTAGAAAAATGCCTTCTCACGGGGTATTGAAGGTTGCATTTGAGATTCTAATACAGATAATTTTTAATTTACAGTATAACCTACTTGTGAGATACATAGTGTAATACATTGATATTCCTTTTATGATCATTTTTTATGAAAAATATAGTGCCTGAGAAATGGAAACATTGTGGTAGCTTTATATTGGTTTGTTTTTTTTGTTTTGTTTTGTTTTCTTGAAGGATTTAGTAGTTACCAGGTTCTTAGTTTCTTATATTTCTTTTGCTACCCTCTGATCTCAGTTAAAGGTGAAACATATATCAGATTTATATGATTATCTTTGAATAATTATAGCTCAATCATTATATTTTTCAATTGAAATAAAAAGTAGTCTTAGTAATTATTAGAAAATTTAAAGTGGAAAATTAGTGAAAGCCTCTGGACCTTTCATATTTGGCTTTCTATTTAAGTGAAAGACTAGCATACTTAGAAACTTCTGATTATTCTGTTTGTTTTAAAATTGTATGAGTTTGTTTATCACTGCCTACTTTCTCACTTGCTGTTGGAGGCAGTCATACAAATTGCATGGCTAGAGAAACCTGTGGATAGAGAATGAATGAGAGGTTTATTTTTCAAATTCTTTAAGCTTGCTTAAAGCTAATTCAAAGGTTGGGTGACACAGGAATGTTGTCTTGGCTTCATATTGGTTGAAGCAATAACATCAAATCAGTGTTTAAAGTGGTATTGGGTATCCACAGAACTTTGCATACTCATATTTAAGGCCTTTAAATTCCTTTCAGCTAGAAAAGGTTAATTTGATTTCGAGAGCTATAACTGAATTAGTAAGATATTAACGACTTGAGGTTTTCAAAAATGTGTCTGCTAACGGTTGGCATTATGAATACTTTCGTACTTCTTAATTGACTTACTATCATGCTTGGAGATTGTTTCATTATTTCAACTTCCAAACATATTTGAAGGCAGTATTTTAAATTGGAGAATACTGTATTCCAAATTGGAGAATACTGCTTCCTTTGCAGGTTTTTTGGTCTAGTTTGATGGAGCATGGATTTGTGGAATGATTATCAAAATGTAACATCTGACTTTTGCAATTTCTTAGCCATTGCCACAGCACAAATGTCCAAATCCTTACTCTGGGAAGTGAGCCATAAAAGTACACATGCCTAAAGGACAGGGGTAGATTTTGTATCTTTCAAAATTGGAGGTGGTGTGGTAGATTGTTTTGATACACTGTATTTGTTGAAAGTGGTTAGCAAAAAGAGATTCCTCCAAAGCTTATCTTTGAAAAAGAGAAAAGAAAAATGTAAACAACCAATGAACTTCCAACCCTTTCTGTTAGAATTGATCTGCTATTTTATATTTATATAACTGTACTCTTTTTTAGGCTATGAGAAGAGAAAAAAGATGACTTTTCACAATTAGAGGAGTTAATGACTTATGTCCTACTATACCAGTGAACATGATAGATTTGAAAACAAAACTTCGCTTTAAAACCTCTTAACTCTTAAGATTTAGAAGACAATTAATTAAAAGTTTTCTTGTGCTGGTGATATTAATAAAAGTTATTCCTTCTAAAAATTCAAAACATGATCACCATTTATTTTAATAAAAAATATAAAATATTTTTTATTAAATATGAAAAGTGTATGCTATCTTCATATCCTGTGCTGCAATGTATAGTTTCAAGAGATAAGTGGAATTTATCATCATGCTATCTTATGAATAAATCCTAGCTCTGCTTTGTAATAAAGTTCATGTTTGCTTTGATTCCAAGAACTATACAAATCAGCTATATGACCATTAAGAGATGAAGGTAAACAGATGGAATTAATAGGCATATATCTTTTAAAATTTTTGCTAAATATAAATGCAGTGAGATAGCATGTGGTCTATGTGACAAAACCCTGGGCTATAGGAGTGCAGTGGGAAGAATCAACACTTCTTTGTAATATCAGAGAAAACCTCTAGTTTTGGAGGTGACAATGAAGCCCTTGTCTTCTTTTGATTTTGTTTTTCTATCTACAGAGTTTGGAAACACTGTAATGCTAGATGACAGTCCCATACTTCCCATAGGTGCTTAGTATATGTTAGTGATCCTGTGAACATTAAGGTAGATGAAGCATTTTGAACTCACCAGGAGAGTCTGTTGTTATAAGTGCTGAGATTTGTAATGCTTATCCCCCCTGAGATAAACCCAAGTAGGAAAGCTATGGAGATGGTTTGTTGGGTTTTAATTCCATCTTAATTTAGTTGAGATACTCAAATTAGTCATTTAGTCTCCCTTTGCTTGAGTCATTTCACTAGTGGGATAGGATTAGTAGTATTTATTCGCGGCAATTTACAGCATACTGAAATATAACAAATCAAGTTCCAAATCTCACTCTACAGGGATTTCTCTCCAAGATGAAAATAATAATAATGCCTAGCATTTAAATCAGACTGTATAATAACTATTTATGAACTATCTGTTTTTCTTACAGCAACTTTATTAGGTATGGGTTCTATTATTATTATTATTATTTCCTTTTTATGATGGAGACACTGAAGTACAAGGAAATTAAATGAGTTATTCCTGACATCACACAATTAGTAGTAGAATGACCAGAATTGAACCTAGGTAGGCTGCAGAACCAAGATGCTTAATTACATTCTGTGCCACCTTCTGTTAGAATCCTTTGGTCTTAGTAATTTGAAATGACTGCTATAAAGTACTACAGAGAGGAAAATACGTCTTTTTAATGTTACTACATTTAATCATTTTAATGACTGCAACATTCTTATTCTTAGTGAAACCCAGGCCTTTATGAACCAGAAATATGCTGAAGTTGTTCGTGAATTTACATAAGATGGGGGCTTTTATTAACGCAAAATATGTCTGGAATGAGCATACATAACTGAGAGCTCTCCTAGGTGATCATAGTCTTTGGTGATACAACAAGATTTCCCTTTTTTGTTGTTGTTTTTGATGTGCAGGTGGGGCAGAAACAATTTTCAGTCTATATTTAGTTATCTGATACAGTCCCAGGAAAGCTTTAGGGAATTTTGTGTTTTGATAGAAGATTAATGTAATGTCTGCCTTTTTTCTGTTCATTCCCTAAACATTTCCTGGTGAAAGTCATCATTTGGGAAGGAGCACATTGAACGAATTGTAGAATGGAGAAGTTTAGGTCTGTTATACAACTAGGTCCATTTTGATTTGCTTTCCCCAGAGACTCCACAAATTATCTTTGAAATTCTTGGGTAACTTTCAAACCTTCATGTTTCCTCGGGTCTTGCAAACAAGATGGATGGATGGATGGATGGATGGATGGATGGATAGATGGATGATAGGGATAAATGAAGGTGTTCCCATATCTGTTGAGTCATGACTCATGTACCTGACACTGGATTGGGACCAGACTAGAGAATGTGGGCCCAGAGGAATGATGTATGAGATGTGAAAGAGTTTTCCTAAATTCATCTCATATTTTCTTGTCTGATAGTTTTCAATGTGGAATGAACATAGCTATAAGCCATTTCTTGCCACAAGCCTTTCCTCCTATTTCATGTTAGTTTTTAAAATTATATATAACGAACTGGCCAGGCGCAGTGGCTCACGCCTGTAATCCCAGCACTTTGGGAGGCCGAGGTGGGCGGATCACGAGGTCAGGAGATCGAGACCATCTTGGCTAACACAGTGAAAACCTGTCTCTACTAAAAATACAAACAATTAGCTGGGCGTGGTGGCGAGCGCCTGTAGTCCCAGCTACTCGGCAGGCTGAGGCAGGAGAATGGCGTGAACCCAGGAAGTGGAGCTTGCAGTGAGCCGAGATTGCGCCACTGCACTCCAGCCTGGGCGACAGAGTGGGACTCCGTCTCAAAAAAAAAAAAAGTATATATAATGAACCATAATTGCTTACTTCCTTGATTCAAAAGCTAAATGTGTGCAGATATATACATATATATTTACACACATTATTCATATGCAGAGAAAAAAAGAGACAGATAGAGGTGGGATAAAATTAAAAGGTCAAAATAAATTTGAACACCTAAATTAATGAGAATTGTTAAACTTTGACTATTTTATAATTTATTATGAAGAAAATAACCAAGATGCAGAAGAAACAGTCATGGCAGAATATCAAAAAAGAAAGGTACTCTTAAGATCATTTTTAAATGCTTGTTTACAAAAGTATATAGCATCTCTTTTCATTTTGGAATGGGAGCTTTCTTCCCCACAATATTTCATTAGAGAACTCAAACTAAGAGTCTGGGAATCAAAATTTATTTGGCACAATTAGTCAATTGTGAGTGATCATTTCCAAAATAAGGAAGGTGACTAAAGGCTTGAGTTAGGAAATTCTGCAAGTTTCAGAGATGGTATTAAGATGTTATTGTTTCAAGTTTACAAGGCGGGGAGGGAATACAGAAAATATTTTCCTGTAAAAATACTTGATCAAGCACAACTAAATAGGGTGAAAAGTTTTAAACAATGGAAACAACTGTACTGGGGTAATTACACATTTGGCTTTGACCCAAAGGAGTCATTAAAAACAAAAAGAAAAAAGAAAAAAACCAATTATCGTATAGATTTTTCCCCCACCCCTAAACAAAATAGCATATTTTCACGGTTTGAGGACATTCTATTCCTTTATGTACAGATGCGTTGTGTTATTTGAAATACATTTGATTTCTGTGGCTCACTGTTTTCTGGTGGTGATTTCCCTCGCTTAGAAATAGCGTGTTCTAAGTCAGCAATCAGTGGACAGCATTACCCTGGCCCACTGGAAACCTTAACTCCATGTAACTGCAGTCTGAGACTCAGTTTCAACATTCGTCAATGAAGGACTCGTTCTCATATTTCCCAGCAGTCTTTGAACTATTTTAAGATAGGGATTCCTTTTTTTTTTTTTTTTTCCTTTTTCAGCTTAATGGTTCCTGTGAATCTTGAAATCAATTCTGAAACAATTACTTCTAAGTTTAATCCACCTGGAAAATTTTCACTAAGCTCATACCTGGAGTTTGAAAAATGCTATGCTTAATGTAAACAAATGAATGTTCATGGCAAATGTGTACAGTAGTCATTACCCCTTTATCTACAGTTTTGCTTTTCAAGGTTTCAGTTACCCATGGTACTGTATGATATTTTGAGAGACAGAGAGAGAGGCCACATTCATATAACTTTTATCATAATATATCATTATAATTTTCTATTTTATTATTGTTACTGTTATCTCTTACTGTGCCTAATTGATAAGTTAAACTTTATCATAGGTATATATGTATAGAAAAAAATAGCATATATAGGGTTCAGTACAATCCACTGTTTCAGGCGTCCACTGGGGGTGTTCTAACATATTTCCTGAGGACAAGGGGACTACTGTACTTTAAATGTGTAAATAGCTGCAAAGAATCATTAATACACCAGACAGAGGAAGTCTCTGTAGCCTTATTACTGGTTTTAAATTATTGAAAAATAACACAGCATATGAATATTCAAGAGTTTTTGAAAGCTATATAACAATTCCACAAGTATCCAGATTACCACTAGGAA
Source organism: Homo sapiens (assembly GCF_000001405.40). Classification (NCBI taxonomy): domain Eukaryota; kingdom Metazoa; phylum Chordata; class Mammalia; order Primates; family Hominidae; genus Homo; species Homo sapiens. The sequence continues at coordinate 95,075,815 of NC_000005.10, read as the reverse complement.
GCCACTGATAATGGGAATAGTCACTTCTGAGAGAAAGTGTTAAGAAAGTTATTGTTTCAAGTTTTCTAAGGGGTAGAAACAAAGATAAAACTTTTACGTAAAATTATCTGATCAAATATAACTAAATAAGGTAAAAATATACACAAGTTTTAGACCACATGGCAGGAGCTTTAAAACAAAGAGCAGCGTCTCCATCTAGGTGTTTTTTTATATATCAGACATTAATTTTTTTTCAGAAATTAAGGACTGAAAACTATATTTGCTGCATTAAAATATTCTTCCCATTATATTCTGACCTCTTCCTCATTGTATCTATTATTTTTGCAAGTTTTCGTGAGAGATTATTTTTACATTTTACAATTTTAATTGAAGTTTTATAAACCAAAATTAAGGAGAAGGTTAACTAAAAACCAAACATCACTTTGATAAGTTAACTAAAAACCAAACATCATTATAGAGAGAATAAAAGGGGAAGTTAACTTATATTTATAGGCTCAGAGAAGTCCTCTGTGAGAAAGTGACTTTTAAGCTGAGACCAAGGATATGTAGAGTTACTTTTGGTTTCCCTGCTGTTTGAAAGTTTGTGAGGATTAGAGAAAATGTATGTAAAGTACCCATTTGATTTTAAAAGTTCAGTTCAATGAGTCAAAGCAGTTCAAAGTGTTGTACCAGCTGTAAAATGTCCATGATCTCTTTCTTTACCTGAATAGTGTATAATTCATATTTACAAAATGTTGATAGTACAAGGTGCCTTAGAGATCAACTAGCTCAACCCTCTCATTTTGCAAATAAAAAATATTCTGCCACAGGCAAATTAAATGACTTTTCCAAAATTATACAGCCAGCTCCCGACAGAGCCAAGCTGGGCATGGGGTTGCTGTCATGTACCTCTGCAATCTTTTTACAACATCAGTCAACAGGATCATCCCTATCTGAATTTAGTATTTAAATTCTGCATTCAATTTTCCTGCTTATTAAAATGTTAATTGTGCACAGCATAAATCAATTTAAGCTTGACCTAATTTCCTTGTGGCCACGAAACATTTTTTTGAGCCATATTTTTTGGAAGGACATATTTTACGCCCTACGTAGAACCATAGATTCTACCTAGAAGCTTTTCCGCATACCTGAAAGTCTGCCTTCATTTTTATTCACTTGGCACTGCACATATACTTGTAATCACACAGATAGGTCCACATTTAACCACTTGTGCACACCTAAGATTGGTTATACTTCACCCGCTCCAACTTTCCAGATCCTAAAAATAAATGCGTGTTCAAACTTCATAAATACAAATTATTGTATTAGCAAAAATGTATACACCTATCCAAATCATTTAGCAAAACAAATGACAATTGATTACTAAACAATACTCTATAACTATTAATTATACCTTTGTCATCAAAGTAGTAATGCCCTAGGAGTTGCCAGCCATCTCTCTTAGTGGCCCCTCCAGAAGTTGGGTGGCCACACCCAAGCAACAGCACTTCAAAGTGCTCAGTCCTCTACACCTTCAAGTGGATGGTGCTAAGGGGCTTGGCCTTCACCTTACGGGATAGTGACTCTTCAACTGCATGGTATAGCAGATTCACCAGGGAATCTTGCTCAAACTACATGTACCCAGGCCTACGCCTGAGAGATTCTGAATCATTAGGTCATGGGTAGAGCCCAAGAGTGTAATTTTTTTTCTTTTTTTTCTTGAGACGGAGTCTCACTCTGTCGCCCAGGCTGGAGTGCAGTGGCACCATCTCTGCTCACTGCAACCTCCACCTCCCAGGTTCAAGCGATTCTTCTGCCTCAGCCTCCTGAGTAGCTGGGATTATAGGCACCCGCCACCACGCCCGGCCAAATTTTTTTTTGTATTTTCAGTAGAGACGGGGTTTCACTATGTTGGCCAGCCTGGTCTTGAACTCCTGACCTCGTGATTCACCCGCCTCGGCCTCCCAAAGTGCTGGGATTACAGGCATGAGCAAGAGTATAAATTTTAAGAAAAGCCCAGGTAATTCTAACACACACTCCAAGTTAAGAAAACCTGGGGCACCAAGAATGCTTCAAGGAGAGGGTCTGATGATGCCAACAACCAGGGTATCAACCAGGAAACACTGAAGGGAGGCACCTGAGCTCCTGTGTGTTCCATATTCCTGCCCTTCCCTCTCAACTTTACCTTTTTGTAGCATATCCAGTGTGCTCCCACCTCCTAGCACTGTCATCTTCTTCCATATCTTGGGGAAACCTTTTGAGTATGGGCATAACCACTTGGAAAGATATAGGTGAACAACAGATCTTTGTAGGTGAACTCACAGAACACCCTATGCTGGGAGTCTAGTCAGGGTGCAGTCAGTTACTTCCCCACTCCATACTCAGTAAGGTTGAGGAGATGGTGGGGGACAGTGTCGAGGGAGAGCAGTCACAAAATGCAGCAATGAATGGGTACCCTTAGTCTTAAGCCAAAGGATCCTAGCCAAGCCTCAGCAGCAAAGAGAAGTTGAGCCATGAGTCTGGATGAGAGAAATCTAATGAGGTGAGGAAGCTGAGATTCTGCTAACCAAAGGATAGCTTTGGCAAGTGCCACAATGTGGACGCCGTCTCTCCTATGCCCAAGACTGACAAAAAATTAAGACTAACTCCCTAAAAAAGAGAACAATCAGCTGTTCAGGATAGCTGGGCTGCTGAAAGAAGGCCTTGCAAGCTTCATTGTGACCATGGGCTAGTGTGATGAGCTGTAACAAGGAGCAAAGTGGACCATGTGGCACAGGGCTTGAGAAAGAGGTCCTCCATATCTCCAGTGAAAATAGTTGCTAAGCGCACTTTGGGAGGCCAAGGCGAACGGATCACGAGGTCAGGAGATCGAGACCATCCTGGCTAACACGGTGAAACCTCATCTCTACTAAAAATACAAAAAATTAGCCAGGTATGGTGGCCGGCACCTGTAGTCCCAGCTAATCGGGAGGCTGAGGCAGGAGAAAGGCGTGAACCCGGGAGGCAGAGCTTGCAGTGAGCCGAGATCTCGCCATTGCACTCCAGCCTGGGCGACAGAGCGAGACTCCATCTCAAAAAAAAAAAAAAAAAAAAAAATAGTTGCTAAGCAGAGTCCAAATTTGGAGCTAGAACAGTTGAGGTTGAATCTAGCTCCAAACATATATTGTGACTTTGAGAATATTATTTGACATCTATGGGCTTTAGTTTCCTCCTCCTAACATGAGAATGAAAACATCTTCTTTGGAGCTAGTAACCATAGGTCTAGATGCAGAGTATAATATTGGCCCCTTTGTGCTGCAATATTTTCACATGATCAATGCACAAGCCTTTTTCACATGATCATAATTCAAGCCAACACTAGTGTAATGTCTGTAGAGCCATCAATTCATGTGAGACAGTCTTTGGCAAAAATTGAAAAAGCTTGTACTATGTAGGGTGAATGTTACAAGTAGAGTGATTTATTGGAGTCTTTACAAGCTCTTGTTTGCTCTTGTTTATATTCCCCCAGCCTTATGTAATTTGTTTTGTTTAGTGTTTATCCAATTAGGGTTAAGAGGGTAGGACTTACTGTACTCCAGAACCAACAGAATGCTTCTTGATCCTGATTTTACTGGAATACAGGAGCAGCTTGTCAAACTCTCTGGATAGGAGGTGGGGTACATTGGTTCTTCCAGAACCAAAGCCAAATATGCTTTAGCATCAATTTGCCAACAAACCTCCAATCACACACACACACACACACACACACACACACAGGAAAATTGGCATTGTTTCATATTAGAATCTGAGAAATCTAATAGTTAAGAAACCTGTACATCACAGCTAAACTTGTTTACTCTAAAGGAAAATTTATTTTTCTCATGGATCTATTAAAATTCCTCTAGATGGACTTTTACATGTATATATTTCTACCTGTTGTTTACTTGGAAGCCTAGCAGAGAAGTAAAATATATCACTCACCTCTAGCATATGATTGCCAGATTTTAACAAAAATCTAGTCAGTGGTAAGTTGTATTTAAGACAATCTCATTCATGTGAGTATGAGTGCCATTCTGGTTCTTAGATACATTAGTCTGTGCAGTGGCCACAGTTTCACAGAGTGAAACTTTCAATCTACAACATCTCTATGTTTACATGCAATACACTGGTTATTTCACTGCATTTCCCCACTTGCATTCAGGGATACAGAAATATTTTTAAGAGCTTGTGCCCCCAGAAACTATGGAGGAGAAATGGACACAATGTTTGTTAACAAATCATCATGAATATCACTCATATCAAATTATAAGCTATACTGAGGGACATCAGTAAAAGTAGAATATTATATAGAGAATAAAAGGGGAAGTTAACTTATATTTATAGGCTCAGAGAAGTCCTCTGTGAGAAAGTGACTTTTAAGCTGAGACCAAGGATATGTAGAGTTACTTTTTGTTTCCCCGCTGTTTGAAAGTTTGTGAGGATTAGAGAAAATGTATGTAAAGTACCCAGCACAGCATCTGGCAGCACCAAAATTCTCCAGAAGATTCTGATCCAGCCTGTCTCCTAATCAGTGACTACGAAGCCAGCGGGTACCTCAGACAGACGCTCTTGGGCTGCACGTGCTGCCTCAGGCTCCGGATCTGGTGTCATAGGTATGCCCAGGTTAGCTGAGGATCCCTGTGGCTACAGCCTTCCTGGTTAGCCTTCACAGTTAGCCTTCACAAGTATGCTCTGTATGTGAATTGCTGCTCAGATGTGCTTTGTTCAACATTTCTCTCCAGGGATGAACACCCTTCCTCTCGCTTCCCCTTTGTTCCAGTCCATTTGGCTTGGCTCTGATTTCCTGCCTCCTCATCTTGGGAACAGGTTCATCCCATGGTACCCTAATCCCACGGAACTTCCCTTGAACCAATACATTGCCACCTCCCCACTGAGAGATGCCAGACTCTTCTCCCAACTCTCCCAACCACCTTAACCAAGTCAGCCCCTCCCACATAGTCCCTAGTTAAGATCAGAATGAGCTTTATCTGCTTCTTAAACTTTGTTGTTCCTACCTCTGCAATCCCTCTTAGGCTATGGAACTACTGCGGGATGAATTCACCAAGCCGCAGCTGGGACTGCCTTTGTACTCCTCTCTCTAGACAGTCTGCCCCAGTCTCACACATGGCCAAAGTCTGGTAGGTAGTTGCTGAGTTCCTGAGTGTTGCTCTCTGGGCCAAGGCAGTACAGGGCAACTTCCCAAGGCAGAGCAGACAGGAGTAGTGCTTGGATTTGGATCAGACCACACTGGGCTTTGCTGAGAGGAACTGGGCCAGCATACAGAATGGTTTTTAATGGACTGGGTTTGAAACAGTTCTCAGAGTGTTGAGAGCAATTATGAAGGAATCAGAGTGGCTGTGGAAGCTGAGAGGTTTGGAGGTCCCTAAAGGTATCCCCCAATCTGTACTGCAGAATTGGAACCCCGTTGACAAGAAGAGAACTAGAGGAGGCTGGAGCAGGTGTTGCACTCAAGTGCAAGGTGTTGCACTCAGCAGTGCTGAGGCTGCAGAAAGCAGGGACACTGCCAGCAGCAACACTGCAGCTCCTGCTCCTTCCTCAGAGGGTGAGAGGCAAGCTGGGCTCAGGGTAGCCTGACTGCAGATGTGGCCTGGGACTTTGGCCTAGTAGGCCTTCCATGGACCTGGTGCTGATAGATGGGTAAGGAGAGAACCTAGATAACAACACAACAGAGTGCCTTGACAAGGGCGGGAAAATTCCAGACTCCACCACAAACAGGAAGATAGTTCTTCCCCTATTGTGGTTTCTAAAGTTTGTAATTTCCAAGCTGCTGGCAGCACTTACAGAAAGGGAGGGTCGGCCGGGCACGATGGCTCTCGCTTGTAATCCCAGCACTTTGGGAGGCTGAGGTGGGTGGATCACAAGGTCAGGAGATCAAGACCATCCTGGCTAACACGGTGAAACCCCATCTCTACTAAAAATAAAAATAAAAAAAATAGCCGGGCGTGGTAGTGGGTGCCTGTAGTCCCAGCTACTCAGGAGGCTGAGGCAGGAGAATAGCTTGAACCCGGGAGGCAGAGCTTGCAGTGAGCAGAGATTGCACCACTGCACTCCAGCCTGGGCGACAAAGCAAGACTTTGTCTCAAAAAAAAAAAAAAAAGGGCAGAAGGGTCATTTGTTTTTGTGTCTGAAGCACCCCAACTTGACATCCCTGTGAGCCTAAGGACAAGGAGCTCAAAGAAGAGTGTGCTCTGAGAACGGGTGCCTTCGTTATACTTGTATGCTTTCTATTTTCACACACATACATAGACAAGCATATCAGATTCTGCACCCTTGCGGGTAAGTCACCTGGCCTGTGTCATCAAAATGTAGCATATTTCTGTACACTGTATGTTATTCTGAAAAAAAAAAAAAATGCTATGCTCCCAAAGGCTGGGTTGACAAAGGAAAGGTGCTTGTAAGCAGTTACTTTATTATGTTTGAATTACTTTATTATGTTTGATACAATAAACTTGGCTTCTGTCATGAAAGACCCCAATGAAAACTGTCATCTGCAAAGTTAGGAGTACGTACAAATGTTTATGCTATGTAGATAGTTTATGGTCAATTTCACTCATCACTGTTTCCACTCCCTGACTTACCAATAATTTGACAGTCCTTGCAGCTGCATTGTAACTCACCATCACCCCACCCTTTGTTTCTGAGCAGTCATAGTGGGTGAGGAGAAAAATAGGGCACATTTGAGAGAAAATATGTGGCTCTACAAAAGACAAGCACATTTCTTTGGCTGTCATAATTAGCTATAAAAATTAAGATTGAGAACATCTGTTTTAATTACGTATGTAGCACAGGCTGTTCTGTTGTTTCACAGCTTCTCTCAGGAAAGGAAAAAAAAAAAAAAAAAGATACCTGCTCACAATCTTCCCCTGGAACTAAGCCTAATTCGCTTTTAGCTATAAAAAACTACTATTGATATTAAATAATGTCCCTAGGTACAATATTACGTAAAATTTTTATAATTTCTTTGGCAGACCCTGTATGGTAAGATTGGAAAGGACAGACTAAATGCAGTAAACGTAAGTTTCAAAGTGGAAATGACTGACAAAGTGTGTTAGCTCGGTGTTTAATTAGGCATAAAAGCTTTATTTTTTGACCGAATTGTGAAAACCATAGTAATGCAAACCGACATGGAGAAAGCTACTGGGAACAGCAAAGGAAATGGAAGTGAACTAAGTAGAAAACAGATCCCGGCCAATCAGGTCCTTGACAGCTTAAAACATTTACTGTTCCCCAAGTGTCCCAGAGTGTTAGACACTATAGAAAATTAACCCATAAAGCTGCAAGGTATCTTCACATCTGTCATCTGCCTCTGAGGAAGTTGACGTATTAGACTAGACTGTCCCTGGGTTTTGGTTTTGTTTTGTTTTCATTTCCTTTTTAAAAATAATTGTGATCAGATTCCTATGTTTACTGTCTGTTGGAATTAAGTATTTTACCCTTCTATTAACATATCTTCATACCCCACCAACTCTGACTCTCTTTCTCTGTCTCCTCTCTTCTCTCTGTCTCTCTCTTTCTCCTCTGTGAATCAAATCTATTTTCTCTCATTGGATATTTCTTAGAGAAAACCCTACCCAAGACATTATCTTGCCCTTGAGAAATTTGGAGTCAAATGTGTCTTGGTTCATTTTCTATTCTTGCTGAATAAAGTATTAATTTTAACTTGATTTAAATAGGATAATGATAAATTTAATAGAATAGAATAATTGCCTCTCTTTCTTTATCAAAAAAGAACGACCTTGTTGAAAGATCAAGTTAATTTAATGATTTATATTTCAAATTTAGTTTAAGAAATAGATTGTTTGACAGAGAGTGGAAAAGTGGTTACCAGAGACTGAGAGGAGGGTGCCAGAGGGATGGGGAAAGGGTCGATGTTGATGAAAAGTACAAATTTTCAGTTAGGAGGAATAAGTTGTAGTGATCTATTGCACTGCATAGTGACATTAATAATAATGTATTGTATATTTCCAAATTGTCAAAGGAATAAATTTTTAATATTCTCACCACAAAAAAGATAGGTTAGTGAGGTGATGGAAAGCTTAGTTTGACTGAATCTTTCCACAGTGTATATGTAGATCAAAACATCACTGTGTATCCCATAAATACATACAATTATTATTCATCAATTAAACTAATTTTAAAAACATTGAAGTATGTCCTAACAAAATATATATTTAAAATATTTAAAAATATAAGTATATTTTGTAGGTTAATAGTAAATGTATCTTAGTTTATTTCTGTTTAGAAATTGTATTTTTCTATTTATTCTTTTAATATATTAGTTGTAAATCCCTTTGGATTTTCTATAGAGACAATCTATGAATAATGCCAATTTTTTCATTTCTAAATCATTTATTTTCATGTTGTATTTTATTTTTGACACATAATCATTACACACATTTACGTGATAGAATGTGAGGTTTCAATACATGTATGCATTGTGTAATGATCAAATCAGGGTAATTAGCTAATGCATAACCCCAAATATTTGTCACTTCTTTGTGGTGAGAACATTCAAAATCCCCTCCTTTCGATATTTTGAAATATATGATACATTATTGTTAATTATACTCACCCTGCTGTGCAATAGAATTCCAGAAGTTATTCCAGCTGTGTATAACTTTGTATCCATTAACCAGCCTCTTCCGATCCCCCCACTCCCACCCCTCCCCAGCATCTGGTAACCACTATTCTCCTCTCTACTTCAAGAGTCCCCCATCCCAGGCCTTGGATTGGTACCGGTCCATGGTCTCTCAGGAACGGGGCAGCACAGCAAGAGGTGAATGGTCAGTGAGAGAGAATTACCCCTAAGCTCCGCCTCCTGTCAGATCAACAGCGGCCGTAGATTCTCATAGAAGTGCGAACCCTATTGTGAACTGCGCATGTGAGGGATCTAGATCGCACATTATTTACGAGCATCTAATGCCTGATGATCTGAGGTGGAACAGTTTCATTTCAAAACCATCCCCGCTCCGCCCCCGGTCCCCACTGCACTTTCTATGGGATCAACTTTTTAGATTCCACACATAAGTGAGATCATGCAATATTTGTTTTTCTGTGTCTGACTTATTTTACTTAATATAATGCCCTCCAGGTTTGTCCATCTTGTCACAAATGACAGGATTTCATTCTTTTTTATAACTGAAAAGTATTCCATTATGTATGTATATATATTAAATTTTCTTTATAAGTTTATCTGTTGACGGACACTTAGGTTGATTTCATGTCTTGGCGATTGTAAATAGTACTGCAATAAACAGATATCCCTTTGACACACTGATTTCATTTCCTTTGGATATATACCCAGTAGTGAGATTGCTGGATCATATAATAGTTCTGTTTTTAATTTTTTGAGGAACCTCTGTACTGTTTTCTCTAATGGCTGTGCTAATTTACATTCCCATCAACAGTGTGTATGGGTTCTCATTTCTTCACATCCTTGCCAACACTAGTTATCTCTTGTCTTTTTGGTAATAGCCATTCTAACTGAAGTGAGATGATCTTATTGTAATTTTGATTCACATTCCCTTGATGTTTAGTGGTGTTGAGCATTTTTTCATATACTTGTTGATCATTTCTATGTCTTTTCAGGAAGATCTATTCAGGTCTTTGTCATTTTTAAGTTTGATTATTTGGTTTCTTGTTACTAAGCTGTTTGAGTTCCTTCTACATTCTGGATATTAATCCCTTGTTAGTTATATACTTTGTAAACATTTTCTCCCGTTCAGTAGATTGTTCACTCTGTTGATGTTTGCATTGTTGTGCAGAGCTTTTTAGTTTGATGTAATCCCATTTCTTTATTTTTGCTTTTGTTGCTTGTGCTTTTGAGGTCTTATCCAAAAAACACTTGCCCACACCGATATAAAAAAGCATTTTTCTTATGTTGTCTTCTAGTAGTTTGGAATTTCCAGTCTTACATTTAAGACTTTAATCCATTTTCAGTTGATTTTTGTATATGCTGAGAAATTGGGGTCTAGTTTCATTCTTCTGCGTGTGGATACTCAATTTCCCAGCATCATTTATTGAAACATGTATTTTGTATTTTATCCATACTGTGGTTAAAACCTCTAGAAAAATATTGAATTGAAGTGATGATAGTAGGTATCCTGTTCTTTTCTCAATCTCAAAGGAAAAGCTTTTAATGCTTTACCATAAAATACAAATATTTGTTAATTGCTTTTATCGGATTAAGAGAGTTCTCGTCTATCCCTGCCTTGCTAGATTTTCTTAAAATTAATGAGTATTGAATTCTATCAAATGTTTTCCCTATATCTTTTCAGATAATCATATAAATTTTGCCTTTAATCTACTAATTGATGAGTTACATTAATTGATTTTCTAACGGTAACCCATATTTTAATACATGGAATAAACCCATATTGGTCATACTGTTTTATCATTTATATATGTTTCTGGATTTAGTTTGCTAACATTTTGTTTGGAATATTTACATATATATTTGTGATTGAGATTTGCCAGTTTTTTTTTCTTTTCTTGCAATCTTCATGTCAAATTTTGATATTCAATTATTGGCCTTAAAGAATTAATGATAAATTTTTATGCTACATAATAATTTGTATAATTTTGAAATGATTTCTTAGGTGTAGGAAGATTTTAACTACTGATAACAGTTCTTAATAATTAATTAATTAATAATAATTTTAGTAGTGTTCAAGTTTTCTAATTATTCTTGAAATAGTTTTAATAGTTATTATTTTCAGATGTATGTTCAGTTATATAAATTTTAAATGAATTGGCAAAATTTATCTTTTTTTGTACAAAATGCAGAAGCATTGAATTTTTAGCAGAAACATGATATAATGTCCAGGGTTGTTACACAAGATCAGTTGGATCAGGGTGGAAAAAATAGAACTCTTCATAGGTCAGCTATTTAAATGGCACCTGCCAAATCATTTTTGAAGTGGTTATATGCAGCTTCATCAACATCTAAATCAGTTTGGAAAATTATTGAATACTTTATTAACTCTGTAAAATATCATTTTCTTCCAAGTGGTCTGTTGGTTTGGTTAATGGTCAATTCTACATCAAAGGGAACTTCTATGGATCATCCATATCCCATTCTTACATGTTATACTGGTACACCTATGGGCCTTTATCAGTGAGTGTACCCCAGAATTTCTCTGAGTAGAGTCCACTGCACCTCTGGTGGACCTCAAATATCCTCATGGACTGAGAACTCATCCAAAATACTATTAGATTATTGTTGTCCTTAGAGCCAAATAACTTGTAACTATATAGACATTTCATTTTTATGTCTACAAATGGGATATTTACTATTAATAGTATCCTACTAAGTGAGTTATTAAGGGTTACTAAAATTGGGTATTTGTAAATAAAGTTACCATGTCACCAGATTGTGAGTATGCAAAATTAGTAGACTCCCAAGAAGTCCAGCTGTCACACCACAACTGGCAGCACTGCATAGCTCCTACTGTATACATGAGCACACAGAGAAAGAGTCTCCACGGATTTCTGGATTGAGGGTGGTTATTGGTGTATCATTAGTGTCCATTTTAATTTTTAGTTTGGTTTAGATTGTAGTTGTCAGTTGCAGCTGTTCTTACATAAACTTTTGCCATTAGTTGTGCTTGATTATCAATTCGTTTCTAATGGATTGTCTGTCAACCCTAAAGCATGTACTTGTATAAACAGTTCTTGGGAGCCTATAATTTTCCAATAGCTAGACTTTAAGACACGAATTATAGTTTGGATATGAACTATTCGTGCATTTAGTGCTAAAGCAGGTGTTTACATAATTTGATCCCACAGTAAGCTTTCATTGTCATCACACAGTGTTCCTTGTAATTCTATCTCCCTGCCTCCCACTGGAAGATGGAGATAAGGAGAATAGGATGGGTGTGGAGTTATTTGACTTGTTATAATTGGGCTGAGGTAACAACTTTTGTGGATTACACTTTAGAGGACTCTAGGGGTAAATATTCTATAATAAAAAATATAAAAAATGACCAGCCTAGGCAACATGGCAAAACCTCATCTCTACAAAAAAATACAAAAATTAGCCAGGTGTGGTGCTGCATGCCTGTAGTCCCAGCTACTGAGGTGGCTGAGGCAGAAGGATCTCTCGCATCCAGGGAGGTTAAAGCTGCAGTGAGCCGAGAATGCACCACTGCCCTCCAGCCTAGATGATAGAATAAGACCCTGTCTGAATAAAGAGTGTGCTGTAGTGAACATCCTGCATCAAACAATCCTTTTCTATCTTCTTTTTAAAAATGCAGATTAAATAAATGTTTCCTTGTGAGCTATCTCAAAAAGTAAGGCAAATCCTGGAATTAGCTTCTGTGTTAACGTGTAACATTTTGGCTTTGGCTAAGAAGGAGAGAATTCTGCAGCTTACATGTTCTTTAAGAAAATAGTCACGTCACCACCATGGATTTGTTTACTGTAATAGAAACATTTCACAGGAGAGAGACATAGTACAATGAAGGGGAACTAGAAATGGAAATTAAAATTAAAAGATCCCTGAGTTCTGGTGTTTGAGGTTGGAAGGTTTGGCTTTCCCCGGCACAGTCACATTCCACAAGATCACCATGTAAACATGCCTTCTTTTTTCATCTGTAGGAGAGCTAATTTCTCTATCAGTGTTGGGGAAATTTGTTTTAAAAATTATTCAGAGAAAGTTTAATTTTAAAAGATCAGTTTCTGCCTGAGAGCAGTGGCTCACATCTGTATCCCCAGCACTTTGGGAGGCCGAGGCGGGAGGATCGCTTGAACACAGGAGTTCCAGACCAGCCTGGGCAACATAGGGAGACCCTATCTCTACAAAAAATAAAAAATTAGCTGGGCGAGGTGGCACATGCTTATAGTCTCAGCTACTTGGGTGGCTGAGGTAGGAGGATCTCTTGAGCCCAGGGAGGTAGAAGCTGCAGTGAGCTATGATCATGCCACTGCAGTCCAGCCTGAGCCACAGAGCAAGACCCTATTTCAAAAAAAACAAAACAACAAAAAAAACAAAAAAACAATAAAACAGAGATCAGTTCCTGGACCCAGCAATCATAAGAAAACATTGTCTGGATAATCGCCATCATTTGCAGTACACCTTGGAATGTATTTCTGTGTGCCTATTGAATGTGGGTGATTGTTCTGGCTTGGAGGGTTGTAATCACTGAAATTAAATAATGCAGATACCAGAAGGATATGTGGGGACTGTTCAGTTCCTTTGCCCCAATCCCATGCTGAGGGGACTCTGGAATGCGTTCAAAATACCATCCTCTTAATCTTATTGTGCTGCCTGTCTGATTTTCACATCTATAAAGGAAGCTGAAGCTTAATGCAGGGAGGGAATTATAAAGCTCTTTTCCTTATAGCCTCAACTGGACTTCATGCTGCTTGAACCAAAAAAAATAGAGATACAGACACCAAGAGTTGAGAGTTAGAATAAAGTTTGGGGTGAAATAAGCCATAATACTTCAAGGCATTAAATGTGATGGGTTTTCCCAGCATCTAATTCTTTTTTACCAAAATACACATCTTTCAATAGAAAATATAAAGAATGCACATAGATTCTCTTAAATCTTGCCTGAGTAAAGTTTTGATTCTATAAAGACATCAGAGGCTAAAAAAACTCAGTTATTGTAAAGAATTAAATAGTGTTGAATCAATACTATGACCAAATCCCATTCATTGATCAAAGTAATGGAAATAATTCTTGAATTCAAATTTCATTTCTACCAATTGCTTTGCTTTCCATTTTTAAGTTTGAAGTTGCTAACTACTAGCTTGGATAAGAACCATTACCTCTCTGAATCTCAAGTTCTTCCTCAGAAAACAGGGTTAGTACAGTGAAGAAGTACACAGGCTCCAGAGTCAGCCTGTAATCAAAGCCCAGGCCCTAACCCTTCACTTGTAGCTCTTTAACCTGAGGCATATATGCCTGTGACTCAGTGTCCTTATGTATTGAGCAGTGATCACCATAAAACTGCATCCTGGTGCTGTCATGAGTTTCAGATGAGTCAGTGAATGTGAAGCACTTAACACAGTGCCTTCCACAAAGACATAATAAATATTAGTTATTAAAAACAACCCTTGGCCGGGCGCGGTGGCTCACGCCTGTAATCCCAGCACTTTGGGAGGCCGAGGCGGGCGGATCACGAGGTCAGGAGATCGAGACCATCCCGGCTAACACGGTGAAACCCCGTCTCTACTAAAAATACAAAAAATTAGCCGGGCGTAGTGGCGGGCGCCTGTAGTCCCAGCTACTTTGGAGGCTGAGGCAGGAGAATGGCGTGAACCCGGGAGGCGGAGCTTGCAGTGAGCCGAGATCCCGCCACTGCACTCCAGCCTGGGAGACAGAGCGAGACTCCGTCTCAAAAAAAAAAAAAAAAAAAAAAAAAAAAAAAAAAAAAAAAAAAAACCCTTAAGGGGTTTGTGAAAATTGATATGAAAGTACATTGAAAACAAAAAAAAACATGTATAAAGACAATCTTTTTACTAATATGACTCTGGAAACTTACTCCATTTTTAATAACTCCTTTTTCAATTATTATGTTTTTCCCTTATTTATCTCTTTTGCTAGTAGTTATTCCCTCTGTGTGTTTATTTGGTTCCTTAAGTCTTTTCTTTGTCTGTATTTGGCATAAAAGAGAAAAAGAAAGATGTCATAGAGTCATAGGTTATACTCATGTCAATGCATCTCCCATGACCAGCATGTCCCCATCACAACCACAGGGCATTGCCAGATGCTGAGAAGGACCAACAAAGGCCTAATGGCTTCATGGCTTCATGCTGGGAATTAAGAATGCAAAAAAAAAAAAAAAAAATGTACATTTGAGGACAGATTCTTCATTATTTTCTTTTCTTTTCTTTTCTTTTTTTTTTTTTTGTGGAGTGGCATGCTCTCTGCCCACTACAACCTCTGCCTTCCAGGTTGAAGCGATTTTCTCCTGCCTCAGCCTCCTGAGTAGCTGGGATTACAGGTGTGCACCACCACGCTTGGCTAATTTTTGTATTTTTAGTAGAGACAGGGTTTTGCCATATTGGCCAGGCTGTTCTCAAACTCCTAACCTCAGGTGATCCACCCACCTCAGCCTCCCAAAGTGCTGGGATTACAGGCGTGAGCCACCGTGCCCGGCCAGATTCTTCTTTAAATTCTGTTTTAATATGTCATCTAAAATTCTGAGTGGAACAAAGTCAATTTAGATAGACTCATAAACTAGCAACAGACGATGATAATTTTTTAGTTATTACAGAAAGGAAAAAGATTCATATTACTCCTTTCTTTGGTATATCTGCAAAAGTGGCCTTTTTTAAAAAAACTTTTTTCATCTTCTCAAGTTTAGAAGTAAATTATGCTCTGCAAGGTGTTTACTAGAAGTTGGGATGCATCTTCCAACATGAATAATTTTATGAATGATGGCCAGCTTCCTAGGGAAGCCCATATCCTGTTTAACCCACTGATTTTCAAAAGTGTGCCGGGTTCTAACAGCTCTACAGAAGCTAGTCACCCAGAATGCCAGAACAGCCCTGCTAACACAGAGCCAGGTGCTTCCTTTCTTCACTTCCCCTGTAGCACAGATTATGTTCCCCTCTAGCTCCAGGTACCTGGAGTAGCTGTCCCAAAGAGGCAGAGATCTCATCTCAGAGATGAGAAGAGTGTGCTCATGGCTCTAGAGACTATCATACTAAAGAGACCAGAGAGCTAGAGGGCACGTGAGGTATAAGCAAAGAATAGCCCCAGGCTTGGGATCTGTGACCTTCGAAAAACACTTATTTCCAAAATGACTCCTTGAATGTCTCTTTTCTGTCCCACCAAAGACCCTTGGGGCTGAGCTGCCTACTTTCCCATTCCATTACCTTAATTTCTTGCTTCTTATTGGGTTTCTCTCCATCCTGGGTTTATGGACTAGAACAGCATCTCAAGTTCCCTTTTCCCTTGCCTTAGAAAACATAGTTCCTTTTGAGAAAGTGTGAGGGGTTTTACTCAGTGATGAAAGAAAGCTGCCTAGAGATAGAAAGTATCCTACTTATGCTTCTCCTTCCCTCACCCATCCCATGACCACTGTCACCACCCTGCACATTTTCTTTTTCTTCTCCTCTCCTCTCTACTCTTCTCCTCTTATTTCTGATCTTGGGAAGATAAGGTTTCTAAGATATAACTAAGGGTATGAAACTGACTCAACTGAGATTTCTACGTACATTTCAGAGGATAGTCTTTTTTTTGTATTTGACCTGTTTTTCCTTCATTTTTTTTTCAACTTTCATGTTAGATTCAGGGGTGCATGTGCAGGTTTATTACTTGGGTATATTGCATAATGCTGAGATTTGAGTACAAATAATCCCATTACCTAGGTAGTGAGCATAATATCCAATAGTTAGTTTTTCAACCTTTGCTCTCCTTCCTCTCTCCCCACTCTAGTAGTCCCGTTTCTATTGCTGCTACGATCTTTATGTCACTGAGTACCCACAGTTTAGCTCCAATTTACAAGTGACAACATGCAATACTTGGTTTTTTGTTCCTGGATTAATTCACTTAGGATAATGGCCACCAGCTGCATCCATGTTGCTGCAAAGGACATGATTACTTTCTGTTTTATAGTGTATATATATATATATATGCCACATTTTCCTTATCCAATCCACCATTGATAGGCACCTAGGTTGATTCTGTGTCTTTGCTATTGTGAATAGCACTGTGATGGACCTACAAGTGCATATATCATTATAGTAGAAAGATTTGTTTTCTTTTGGGGAATATACCCAGGAATGGGATTGCTGGGTTGAATGGTGGTTAAGAGGATAGTCTTAACTCAATTCTTGCATGTATATGCTTGTCACTAGAATGGCAAGAGCTTCTAAGTCCCTGGGCCTGGGTGAAAAGGGTGGTCCTGGACACAGGATCTGAGATGGGAGCTGGAGGCATTGTTGAGTAGACCCAGCTCTGGAGTCAAGGAATTGTGGATCTTTAAAAAGAGAATGTCAAACCCTAGAGCATATCATCGCTCTTTTTGTCCCCTGAAAACCCTGTTTGCAATTATCCCTTCAGTGAGGTAAAAGGAAAAAATTGTCCTGTGTAGCAGGAAGATCTACAATAATGAAAGGCACAGGAAGGGAAGAGAAAATTCTCACAATTTTCCCTCCATGGACACCTTTATCCATACCTCTTCCATTTATTTTTTCATTTAATTCTATGTTGAAGTGGTATAGTTTAAGTTTGTAGAAGGCTTAACAATTTCCAAAATGATTTCCCATACAGCGTTTCATTTGAACCCCGTAACAGTTCTGGAAAGTAGGCAATGGAGGGCTTAGAAGCATTGTTTCATTGAAGAAAGAGTCCAGAAAGATTGAGTTGCCAAAGGTCGTAAGGTGTGTGGTACAGACCCAGGACTGGAATTCACTTATTTCTTCACTCTTTTTCCTGCATATTAGAATTCTTCCTCATAATTCTGGTTTTGACTCATGGGATTAGCAAAAGTGCAATAATGTGAATCCATTTAAATGTTTTATGTTTTAAACATCTATGCAACAGTTTACACAAAAGCAGGAATGTATTCTTCTGCAGTATTTCTTCTTTAACATTGTAATATCACATTAAATTCTAGCTTTGTTCCAAGAATCAATCATAAATAATTTATGTATTTGAATTATTGGGAAGGGTGTTAATAGACTAAGAGCAACGAGCCGAAGCATCAGCTATTTTATCCCATTAGAATATGAATAGCAATAAGGCTGTAAAAATTCCTGAGTTGAAAAGGATTTCAGTCAGAGCACTGATTATCTTGAGAAGCCTGGTTAGGTTTTTTGTTGTTGTTGTTGTTGTAATTTAATTAAAATAGGCCCAATTAATGGAAATAAAGTTAGTCTTTTATTATAAATAAGGCTTCAGTTGTTGGAATAAGTTCTATGAAATGGAGACGGAGAGTAAATGTTGTTCAGAGGATGCTTATCTAGGTCTCATCATGTCCACCATTAACCCCCATTCTTCCGGTTTGACATTTTGCGGATCATTGGTGATCCACTGAGGTTGAAAAGAGGAAATACATGAAACAGAGCTCAGAGAGCTGCATTTGTCACTGCATTGACTGCTCTCGGAAAAATCTGGGTACGAAATGCCATCTAAAGGTATTTACCAAGGTAAAGCTGGGGGTGAGCTTATAAAGGGAGACTATTCCTGTCCCAAATTATCAGGAAGTTTGGAAGCTATTTGCTGAATAAAAGAGAATTATTGTCTTCTAAGAGGCAATCTTAGTCACTATTTAAGTATTTTAAAATAATCTTGAGATGAATGAATTTCGGCTGAATGCCTTTCTTATTTGCTAAGTGGCTTGTGTGTACTATAATCAGATGTTAAATTTTTTAGTAAATTATATCTAATATGGAAAGTAAAGTGTATCTAATACTAATTCATAAAAACAAAAAATTATATTTACTGGCCTTTATGATTCCAAATGATTCATTTTCCCACTGCATTACACTGCAGGAAAAATAAGAATTTTCAAAATAAAAAGAACTTTTTTTCTCAAAATGGCTTGTACTGCCCATTTAAAGGTTTTTACATCCAGTCATTTCTGTGACATAATTTTGCTACTTTGGATGGTAGTTATGTTAATATTTTTATGATTTTTTTAAAGTACAGAAAACATAAAGTTTAACATACACCTCTGTTTCCATTCTCTATAATTAATGTTACTATTTTATGATATTTGCTTCTAGTCTTATTTTTCCCCTGAAAATAGAATATAGATAAAATTAAAGACTCTATGGCTGTGAAGCTGGTATTTTTCAATCCCCTTTTAATCTTATATGAATATGTATATATCTATAAGCAAAACATAGTGTATTTTTATTTATATAAATGAAATCATACTACATATTTCTCTAACTTTCTTTTCATACTCACTATTTGAGAGATCAATTCTTAGAAATACGTATGTATTTGCGTGTGTTTGTGTGTGTGTGTGTATTGGGATGAAGGAGTTCATTCTTTTTCAGGAAAATCCAGGAGCAAGACTATGGGGGAATTTAGAAAGTGGTACTTCCCCCAGAGAACTGACGAGAGTAACATCACTAAGATAGGAATTATTACCGTCAAAGCAGGACACAAAATATGGACCACAATAATGGTACTGGAATACTCAGTGAGTCCGCTATTCCACAAACAATGCAGAAATACACTTAGTAGAGACTCAGAGAGCAAAAGATCAGTTTCTGCACATCCCACTCACTATTAAGAAGTTAATAGCCTAAATACTAAGATAAGGTGAAAATTACATCTATAGTATGAATTAATCCTTGATAATTCATTTAAGTCAGAATATCATTGTATCCATTGTTTTATGTTTTAAAATGTCATTCAGATAGCATACATTTTACCTAGATTATATACTTGTAAATCTTAGGTAGATAAGCAACCTGTGAAATATAATTTCAAAACCACTAAAAGCTTAACTACCGTGATCTGATTACCCAGCACCTGTTTCTTAAGCATATTTCTACCCACCCTGTCTATATAAAGTTTCATGTTAGCAAGATATGCCTACAATGGGAGAATTGTGAAAGATGTATTAATGATATTTTAAGTATAAGCACTCTTCAAGTGGATGTATTAAGAGCTAATAATTTCCTCTAGTTAGAATATTAAATGTGTGGAAATTCAAGCCAACAAAGAACTCATTACATTCACAATTTTATAAAGTATTCCAAGTCATGTATAATTTGCTTCTACTCTTTTGTTGCATAATACTTTTATATTTTGATTGGTGTCAAATATGTACTCTGAATTACATAGTGTGCATGTGTGGACAGATACATAGAAGTTTCTTATTTTTATCTTGCATAATTTATATTGCATTAAAAGTACATGTATAGCATACTAGCCTTAAGTCAAGTCAAAATATTGATTTTTATTATAGACGATCATGGTAGCTAACTAATGTTTATTCATTGCTTATAAGCCAGGTATTGTTTTAATATTTTTTTTCACACATTGCTTCTAATTATCTCCAAAACCCTGCCCAGTAGATATTATTGATCCTACTTTACAGGTGAGGAAACTGAGGCCTAATGATATTAAGCCTGTACCCAGGGGGATATAGCTAGTATGCAACACAGGCAAGATCTGAATCTACATCCATTAGACTCCAAAGACAGCCCTTTCTATCACACCACATTACTTCTTAGGAGCATGCAAAAGCTTAATAGACTACTACTAGCTGTGAAATGCACTTTTAGTTGGATTGTCTGAGCTGAAGCACAAACTTACTAATTACGTGGGCTTGGACATGTTGCTTAACCTCTCCTTGTCTCAGTCTCTTTCTAGAGCTGTTTATAAAGATTAAATCAGTTAATATTTTTTAAATGCTTAGAAAAGTGCCTGGCACATAGTAAGTATTCAACAGATGTCAATTATTAGTAATACTATTAAATATTTTTCCCAATCTTCAATATTCTTGGAGTCATCAAGAATGTTTTAGGTAGCTGAATGTGTAAAGAATAAATAAATGCCTGTATATATTCTATAGAAAATAAGGATTGGTAATAATCTTGATTAGCTCGGAAGAGGAACTACAAAAAGGGAGGATCCAGTAAATACAGTTAAAAAGATCCACAAAATAGGAAACACTCCATTGGAAAACTTAATTTTCCAAACCAATAGCAAAGAACCCATCTGAGCAACCATGATTACTTTATTGGTAGTGAACTACCCATTAAGATACACCAAAAGAAAGAAATATTATAGCTCCAGCTTGTGTATTATAGCCGCTGAGGCAGGTGATCACTTGAGACCAGGAGTTTGAGACCAGCGTGGCCAACATAGCGAAACCATGTATTTTTCTACTAAAAATACAAAAATTAGCCAGGTGTGGTGGCGTATACCTGTGGTCCCAGCTACTCGGGAGGCTGAGGCAGGAGAATCGCTTGATCTTGGGAGGCGGAGGTTGCAGTGAGCTGAGATCCTGAGATTGCACCACTGCACTCCAGCCTGGGCAACAGAGCAAGACTGTTTCAAAAAACAAACAAACAAACAATAACAACAAAAAACACTGTGGATTCATATTTTTCCCTTTTTGTCTGTTAAGCCCAAGTAGATGGCCAGCTTTCTGATGGTCTATAACTTCTCTTTATTTTTTCACATTAATACCCATTATGGTCTTTTTCACATGGTGGGGATTCAGTTTATAGTTACTGACTGGTGTGTGTTGTAGGGGGGACCTCTGCTCCTGTAAAGCATGGAACATCAAAAATGAGTCTGATCCAGGAATCATTCTGTAAGGGGTGGAAGGGGAACCACTGTGGGTTCTAGCATCTTGATTGTATTTGTCAAGTGGGTGATACTCAGTCCTCAGACATCTCAGAACTGGAGAGATTTTTAATTCGTCCATTTTTATGTCTTCTGCAGGTCCTAATACAATGCCTTGCACAGAATAGCTAATGATTGCTAAATTGAATCATAGTTTATCTCTTTAAAATTTTTGAAGAAGGTAATCTTCCTGATTCCTGTTCTCTGCTTCAAAATGATTCTATTTAGTTTTATAGATACGATGTATTGCATTTGACCTCTAGAGAAATGAAGCTAGTCTTGGCTCCACTACTACAGTAACCGGGTAATCTTGGACAGGTCTCGGGCTGTGGGCCCTCACGGTTCTCTTCTATTCTATTGTGTTGTATTCCTTGGGCATATTGGAGCAGAATAAGATCACTTCAAGCTTTAAACATTTGAAATCCCTAAAAGCAAAACAGAATAAAAACCCAGTATTTTCCGAAGTCATAGATAAGAAGAATTGTGTGAATAACCTGGGTTCACTGAGCAGCTCAGTGTGGAACCTGGATACTTTTTTACCAAAAGCCCAAGGTTAATCTTATGATACGGCAAGTTTGGGACATTTAATCGTGGATGTAGAAGACACATGATTTGTATCCACTGCCTAATAGCCTTTTAAGCCTTAAATTCAATCTTATTACATAATACATTCCTTCTATCTTCCCTTCAAGGTTCTGCTTTTCAGCTTCCAACATTTTGTGAATTCTTGACTGTCTTCTGAGTTGTGGAGGTCGCATTTGGCCACAACGTCACTTTTAAAGGATTGTGTTGTAATTTTTGAGTCAGAGCCCCTCACCTACTGCTTGGTACCTGGTAGGTCAGGAAAGGAAACAAAAGAAAACATTGCTTTCCTTCTTTTTGAGTTTCCTTCGGTTTCTCCTTTCCTCATTTTCTTTCTAACACAAATAATATAGATTGGAGCTTTGCTTCTCAAATTGCGGTCTGTCAATAGCCTGCAATCGTGGTCTCTCAATAGTCGTGGAATCTCAATCTGTAGTTTAACTGGATCTCCAGGTGATTCCTGTGCGTATTAAGCTTGAAGTAGCAGCAATTAGAGGCTGTAGGTGGCAGTGCTCACACTCCTCCCCGCTATCCAAAAAAGAATCCCGAAGCTCATGGCCTGTGTTTAGCCATAGTTTTATATTCACATATGAACAGCACATTCATAAACCCCATGATACCTTGAGTTATGTCTACTTTGGAGTGCATGATTTTATAGGACTGAGCAGCTTGTCATTCTGATTTAAGTGGGGGTGGAGATATGCTTATTTAAAACCCATGAAAAGAGCTCATGCTTCATATGCTTTTGGTAATATCTGGAAATAATTGTCACTTCAAGCTTCCGTCTGTACTTCTCCAAAGTATGTTTTATTTCCTTGATTTTCATGTAAAAATATGGAACATTTACCAGTGTATCATTTTGTGCCAAAAATAGATTAATTGCTTTTTGAATAACAAACAGACTTATTTTAGTATTGAGAGTATTTCTTTGCCACATTTTACTTTGCTGTAGTAACTTTCCAAGGTAAAGGGGTATAAAGTGCTTTTCCCTGTTGAGATATTAATTTCTTTTCATTT
Organism: Homo sapiens; assembly: GCF_000001405.40. NCBI lineage: Eukaryota > Metazoa > Chordata > Mammalia > Primates > Hominidae > Homo > Homo sapiens. The sequence continues at coordinate 95,052,927 of NC_000005.10, read as the reverse complement.
AAATGTTGAACGGCCAGAATTGAGGAAAAGCTCCAGGATTTTCTTCTAGTACTAAAATTCAGGTTTAACTGGACGGCTACCCCAGTCTTATTTTTTAAAACAAGCTTAATGAAATTTAAACGTTTAGAAAACACACATTAAAATTATAGCCCAGGATCATAGGTTTAACCTGGAGCCCTTAAGCAAACAAGTTGAAAGCTTCCTTTGTTTATTACTAATTTTATCCCTGGATACCACCTCCTACCAACCAGGGCCACAGTCCTTCAGTCTGTGGCTCCCTCACTCCCCTGCTGCAATCAGAGGCATGGGGCTCTTTGAAAGGCTATAGGATGGCAACTGTAAATTTTAACATAGGAGCTATTGGGAAACTGGAAAACACAAATCAAACTTGTAAAAATGTAGAAAGGGAGTGGCAGGAGAGTACTTGGAGTTTTAGCCTTACATCCCTAGGAAATAAAGATTGCCAGATAAAATACAGGAATTCCAGTTAAATTGCCACCAAAACACTTTAAATTATATCAACTCTCAGTATAATAAGCATAAAAGTCTTTTTGAGCAAATTCCTGGGTCTTATCCCCCAAGAGTCTGAATGATTCACTAGCTCTAAAGTGGATCCCAGGACATTGCCATGGTAACAGGCTGATGAAGACGGTTTAGTGGACCACATTTTGAGAAATACCTGTTTAAATTGTTTAGAATTAATCTAACTCTATATTAAGACTTACCCAGAAAGCGGTGAATCCTATTTCAAAACTTCCTAAGACTGACTTAGAAAATAAACTACCTACTTGCCCAAAATTTCAGATAAAACTTATCTTAATATTACAAGCAATTGCTTTGCTTTTAGGATACCCTCTTGCAGCTCATTTTGTATTCTTTTTTTGTTTTTTAACTTTTAGGTACAGGTGTACATGGGCAGGTTTATCATATAGATGAATTGTGTGTCACGGGGGTTTGGTGTACAGATTATTTTGTGACCCCAGTAATAAGCATAGTACTGGATGGGTAGTTTTTCCATCCTTTCCTTCCTCCACCCTCCACCTTAAGTAGGTCCTGGTGTCTGTTGTTGCCTTCTTTGTGTCCTGTGTACTCAATGTTTAGCTCCCACTTATAAGTGAGAACATGTTGTGTTTGTTTTTTTGTTCCTGTATTAGTTTGCTTAGAATAATGGCCTCCAGCTCCATCTATGTTGCTGCAAAGGACATGATCTCATCATTTCTCATTCTTTCAATTTGTACTTTTAAAATAATGTGCAGTGGCATAGTATATCTCAAATATATATTTTATTATATTTCTACTTAAAAGTACAAAACACTTGGTCAAGTATAAGAGATGGCAGAGAACAAGAGCTCAGAGACCCTTCACGGAAAGAACAGAAATTTGGAGAGGTCAAACTTCCTATAACCTAAGGAGGAAGTCTTGGTAATTGAAGGAATGCCAGCAGAGTGTTCCCCTGGTAGGTGATCATCTCAGCAGGTAGACAGAATCACTGTCACAGATCTGGGTGACCACTAGGGACCCACTCTGGGTATCTGGATTTATGAGTTAGTCTGTAGTGTCTTAATGATTGGGGGTTCTATGGGACTTCATTCTTTGGGCATATGGAATACTGAGTAGGTGCAGAGCTTCGGGCCTGGGATGGAATTGGCTAAGACTGGGGTACAAGGCAGGCTTTGGCCAAAATAATTAGCCTAGAGCCCAGTTCTTATAACAAGAATAAAAGTTAAAATAAATAACTTTTAAGAATAAAGACAATGCTGACTTGTTGTATATATCAGTTTTCTAGGGCTGCCCTAACAGCATACCATGAACTGAGTGGTTTAAACAGCAGAAATTTATTGGCTCACAGTTTGGAAGCTGGAAGTCTCAGCTCAAAGTGTCTGCAGGGCTATGCTCCTTCTGAAGGCACCAAGGAAGGATCTGTCCCAGGCTTCTGTCCTAGCTTCTGGTAGTCCCTTGGCTTGTGGCAGTGTAACTCCAACCTACACGTGGTACTCTCCCTGTGTGTATGTTTGTCCTCATGTCCAAGTTTTCCCTTCTTATTAGGATACTAGTCATGTTGAATTAGGGGCCCATCCTACCCTAGGATGACCTCATCTTAACTAATTACATATACAACAACACTGTTTCCAAAAACATCACATGCTACAGTACTAGGAATTAGAACTTCCACACTGGTTTTTTGTGAGATATAATTTAACTCATAGCAAAGCATCTCTGCCAAGGTCTTAGGCCAGAAGGTCAAATATTAGCAGGCATGAATTTGGCAACTTTATGGGAAGATCCTGGTTCTTTGTGCTGTCAAAAGGAAGCATGGCTTGGGCCAGAGTAATGAGAAGCTATGATACCTGGGTTAAAATTGCATTATACACCCAGGCTGCTGCTACCAGAAGTGAATTTAGCAGTGCCCCCAACAAGCAAGTGTGAAACATCTGAATGTGACTGGTGATGTCCGATGGCTTCATTTCTACTCTCATCCCCACAGCCCCATCCAGGCAGATAAAGATGAAAGGAAGATTTTTTTCAGATTGTCAGATAAAAATACAGGAATCCCAGCTAAGTTATAATTTCAAATAAACAACAAATATTCTTTTTAGTAAAGATATTTTCCAAGTATTATCAGGAAATGCTTACACAAAAACGTTTTATTTATGGAATTGTATTTTATTTATCTGAAATTCAAAAATCCAAATTTCACTGGATATTCTGTGGTTTAATTTTTTTTTTTAATTTTCTGAATCTGTAGCACCTACCTTGATATCATGTCACTTATGTCTTCAGCTGTAAAAGAAGAATTTAACCCTAGTTAACCCTAAGCTATGGGACATGTTTCCCAGATGTTTCTTTGGTGGTGTGAGGACTGCCACATTATCTAGGTGGTTGCCTAACGGGGGTAGAGGTCACCTAACACATCAGCTGGGGTCCTACCTGCCCACCAATCTCCCTGAGGGCCTAAAGAGATAACAGTGAAGGTGTTAGTCAAATGTTAATTTTGATCTTGAGTATTTTTAGAACATATTTAATTGGGTTTTGATCTATGTGACTTAAGAGAGAAGACAGGTGATACGGAGCTATTTTAGACTGGCAGCCATGGCTAAGCTAACTTGCCCATTTTCAGGTGAGATAAGGGAAGTAGATTCTTTCCAGTTCTTTTGTTCTACCTGGTCCTAGCACTACAGTGCTGGTTTGATGAATTTGAAAATACTATGTCTGCGCATCATGGTAAAGGATGTGATCATTAGATAATTATTAACAAATTGTCAAACTATATAGAGGGCTAAGTGAGAGAATAATTTCTTTTTACCAGGGTAAACTATTTAAGTATGCAACAGATGATCACTTTCCTGGGTGTCAGGTCCTTTCATTATGATTATTTTGCATTTTAGACTTTTTTAGTTTATAGACGTTTTAGTTTCAGTGCCTCAGGATGCGATTTTGTTCTTTCATTTTCCCATGTGGTGGTACTTCACTTATTTGAACTATTTTAGCATAATGTTTTAGTCTTTATGATATTCTGAATTTTGATTTGTTCATGTGAGGCATCTGCTTGAACAAACTTTGCTCTTAACGGTGGGCGGTAATTCAGGCCTTCTCCAAAGACTTTTGGCACCAGACTAGGAGGTTGTTTTCCTTGAATGAGAGTGTTGTTCCTTGGGAGGCAAATGTTATAAAATTTAACGGGAAGTGCGAAACCCAGAAGTGCCTTGCTGGCATTTTTTGTTTTGCAGACAAAGAAGATGATGTTTAGAGTCAGCACTGTGGGCTCCTCACACTTCAGTTTGGTGAGGAAAGTAAGACTCTGGGGAATTCAGAAGCATAATTCTTCTTTAATTAAAGATGACGCCATTAAATAAAGTAGAAGCATGAGATCAAAATAATGCCAGAAAGTGGGAAGCTTTACTGCCAGTGCCTTTTAGTATCCAATATCTCTCAATATACACAAAAGCTTTCCATTAGTACAACTTTTTGACTCTTTTCCAATGGCTAGAATGGAGTTCTTTGGAAGTAAATTGAAGCACTGAAGCATCAAGAGCTCTTTGCTATAAAATTTGACTTCCCCTTTCTTTTCTACAAGGAGGAAGATGGTGGCATTGATCTTTTGTCACTTCCTTCCTCTCTCCAAATCCCCTGCCCCTGACTGATGATGAATCAAATTCTAGAACTCTATTAGTTATTCTAACTTGTTTTAATAAATATTCTTCTCAGCCAAGGAAACTCAGAATCGAGTCTTCCAGGCATTGAGCAAACAGCCATGGAACACCCATGTGCTTCAAGTCTACAGACCAGCAAGTTTGGTACTTGGGCTTCTTATTCCTGAGTATTTCTTTGGTGTCCTTTAGTTGCTTAATAAGTGGGAAATTAGTATGTGTTTTGGACAAGGGTGAACTGTTACCTTCTGACAAGATTTATCCATTTTAGTAGCTTCTCATCTTTCCTCAGGGGAGATAAGTAACATTTTAACTAGGTTCTGTAACAACATTTCATGATTATTTTGTATTCTCAGCAGGACAACAGTGGGCATAAATTCTTTATGAAATTAATCCCAGTGACAAATTGACATTATAATCCTCTGTTTCTCTCCTTCCATGGGGTGCAAGTTCTGGTAAAATATTAAGTCAGTCAAAAATACACTTCTCTTGTAACAATTTTATATAAGCCATATGTTATGCATTTTCCTTGCCATTTTTATTTTATGGTAGCAGTTTCAACTAATGGCTAAAAAAGATTAAAAAGACATCAGTAAATTACATTCTGACTCCTAAATAATCTAATTTTTAAAAAGCAACAAATTATATTCCTTTGCCTAACATGTTAGAGAGTAAAAGCAATTATGCAGCAGTTACGTTAGTCAGTTTGTGTTATTCAAACACAAGTATATCTAGCTCCTTGTACTTAACATATCTTAAATGCAATAATCATCAAATGATTCCTTTGGATGTATTATCTGATTTAATAACTTTTCTACTTAACACCTTATTACATTCCATGAAACAATGTATGTACCAAATTTATGAGTTAGCTAGTGGGTAGGAGCCACCTCTTAATCCATGTTTGAATATCTATTCCCTAGCCCAGTATAAGGATCGCTATAGAAACTCTAATGGTGAGTGGGTGGGTGTGTAGATGGATGGAAAATAGAGGTAGAGGGTGGGAGAAAGGGGAAGAAGAGATGAATAGGTGGGCTGTTTGGTACTCAGAATTCATTTTCCTTAGAAATAATGAAATAAATACCTTAGCTAGGCATTAGACTACTAAAATGCCACCATTTTTTAACTTCATAGGATTTACCTGTGAATGTTCATATGCTAGGAGGACATGATAATAATGGCCTTTCATCTTCTTTATTATTTAAAACTAGTTTTAAATTATTGAGTCAAACAGACCCACTAGTTTTTATTAAAAGAACAATATTACTAAAGTTCATTATTTTTATTAGTGCACTGACATAATTCAGTAGTGGTCAGGCAGTCATGACACACCATGTATTACCAATTAAGGGCTTAGGGAGCAAAAATCTCTTCCCAGGACTTGACTTTCAAAGAATAAATTGGCCATGAGAAACATTCAGCCAGGGAGCAGCATGAGTCTGTGCCATGGTGCCTGCTCAGTGCTCCGTGGTCCACTTAACCAGGATGACGTAAGACACTAGGATGAACAGATGTCACTAAGGCCATAGTGGTAGAGGCTCTATGTAGACAAAGTAGACAAAGTAGAGACTAGAGTACATGGGAAAGCAAACGGTCTTCAAGGACATCATCTACTTTCATGTGCTTGTTGCAACCTCTGATTCATCCTCAGGCCTGTTATGATACAAGAACTGTAAATAGCACTTTAGGTTATAAGATATCCTCTATTCACTCAATATTTGTAGAGTGCTCACCATGTCAGACATTGTTCTAGATCCATGGAGGAGTGAACCAAACAGTTAAAAATCATTGCTTTCAAAGAGCTTACCTTCCAATAGGAATGCTGTTTGAAATACTACATTAGATGCCAAATATTTAACATGAACGTAGTCTTTCATGAACTTCAAATCAATTTGATAGAGCCTCATCAGGGTATCAGCAAAGATGAGTCTGTCATGGCCCTGGCCTCTAGGAATTCACAGTCTAATAGGGTAAACAGATACGTGTGGTCAAGAGTTAAAATACAGTCAGACAAGTATAGAGGTGGGTGTCGATATGGTATGGAGTAGCGTGTAACTAACTGCAGGGAGAGGAAGGATCAGGATGAGAGGTTATTAGGCTAATAATGGTTAGGAAGTCTTCTCCTAGTGACTCTGTCTGGCGAACTCTTAATTATTCTGTAAAACACTGAGAACTTGATGTTGAAAGGTGAAAATGGTGAGGTAGAAGTAGTACTTATGCTGGTGCTCGTATTCATTTAATTTTTAGTCCTTGAATGTTTTACCAGTTCTCTTTGAGTCTTGACAAAAATGAAGAATAGAGTTGATCAATAGGGAGACTATTAGCATAATGAAGTAACATCCAAATAAAAGTTAATAGAAACATTTATTTCTAAGAGCTCTATCTCTAGAGGTATTGCAAGGCAGTCAAATTGTGAAATTAGCTGTTAGAGCTGATACAGATTTCACATTCATTTAGTTGACCATAGCTTTGTTCAAGGTTTCTGTGTATTTTCTAAAGGCTTGTATGTGTGGCTAATTAGCCTCTCAAATGAATTCTTTTTAAGGTAATAATAGCAATGAAATTATGGCATCTCTATCTGTACAAATTTTCATGAGTTCTCTCATGTGGTTGGATCCATGGAGTACTGGATTGCTGGGAAGCATGTTCTCAGAGTTCATCGGCTCACAATGCAAAGTTTCCTGGCATTTCTGGAAATATAGCACTCTTAGCTAACATTTCTATAGTGTTATAGTAAGTCCTTGACACTGTTATAAGCACTTTCAATTATGAACTCATTAAATTCTCAGAGCCCAATGAAGCATGACCCATTATTATCTCCATTTCACAGAAGGGAAAGCTGAGGTATGAAGAGGTTCAGCCACTTTCCCACTTTCTAAGAAAATATCAGAGCCAGGATTCAAACTCAAGCAGTCTGGCTACAGAGTGATATTCTTATCTACTGTAGTAAACTATTTCTGAAATACAGAAGGAGCACTCTTATCTTGAGGTTATTTTGAGAACTTTAAATGTCAGAAATTATGATGTAACCATATATCACATGTTTGGTATATGTTTGCATACTAAGTACAAATTCCGTATCCAATGATAAGGTCACCATAGCTTTTGACTCCCTTTGGCTCACACATAACCACTGACGCCAGACCCCTTTCACTGATTATATTGACTGACATGATTCAAGTTCACTAAATTCTGAGACACTTCACCAATTGCCTAGGCTTTTGTTCCCTTCTTAAACTATGTTTTCGTCTCTCTAAGCCGTAGGCCTCTAGCTTTCATCGACTCTAGGAACTGTTCTTCATTCATTTATTCAGCAAGTCAGTCAGTCAGCAAATGTTTATTGACTATCTTTGTGCCAAGCACTAGTCTAAAAGCAGAAGTTACCAGGTTGTACCACACAGACATAAAATTCATTAAAACCAAGTCAACTTATAAATATGGTATTTCCAAACTGTGATAAGGAAACAGCAGGTTGCTGTGGTAAAGAATAAACTAATGAAGAACTCTTTAGATGGGCATGAGGGAAGGCTTCTTGGAGGAGGTAACATGAGCTGAGAGCTCCAGGATGAGAAGGAGCTAGTCCTGCCAATAGCCTGGGTAAGAAGCTTCCAGATAAAAGTATAAAGTTCCTAGTGGACAAGAGTTTAGCACATTCAAGAAACTCACACAAGGCTGATGTGGCTAGTGTAGTGAGGGGGAAGGTAGCTGGAGGTGAAATTGGAGAAGTTGGTGATACAGATTGTGTAGGGCTTTGTGAGCTACAGTAGGGAGTTTTCAGTGTATGGAAGTTCACTAAAAAGTTTTAGGCAGGAGATTGACGTAGTCATTTTGATGCTTGACGATCACTTCAGCTGCTTGTGGGAGACTGAATTTAAGAGGAATAAGAGCAAAAGGAGGATCATCACTTAGAAGTCTGCTGCCCTGATTCACGTTAGGGATGACGGGGGCTCGGACTAGGGGGTCTGGGGATGGGTATGGGAAAAAGAGGACAGAGTGAAGACACGTTTTGCAAGTGTAGTTGAAGGGTACACTTCTGATGGGTCTCATGAGAAGGTTGAGGGGGAAAGGAAGAGGAAGATGGTGCTGAGCAACTGAATGGCTGGGGAATGCTTTGCCTGGGTTAAAGGACAGAGGGAGGTCAAAGTGGAAACAGATGTGGGGGCAAAAGAAGAGATTAGATCTGGACATGTTGAATTTAAGTTGCCTCTGAGACATCCAAGTAGAAAGGTCAAGTAAGCAGAGAGAAGCATCCCAGACCTAGAGAACAGGTGCTACCTAAAGCTCTGGAAATTGATCTACTCAATTGATCTACAGGGGCTAAGTGTGAAGATAAATGAGCAAAAGGACTGAAGATCACATCGTGGGAAATGGGCAACATTTAGAGAAAAAAGTCAGTGCCCTCTGTTCTGTTGAGCAGAACTGCTCTTCCTCTGCTGCCTGCCAGAAAGAGAGAAAAAGCCAGGACACTTGTCCTGCTTTTTTCCTGTGGCAGCACATGGCAGAATGCCAGCTGGATTTTATAGGTGAAAAGAAATTCGTTCCATTGCTTCTTCCATTCTCCTCTCTCTAGAGTCCCTTTCTGTGGACTTAACTTCTGAGGAGGTCCTCCTAGAACTTCATTCCATGACATACACCCTCAACAAGGACAACAAAGTACTTGGATGGGTTGTTTTCCCTGTAGGGCCCAGAACCATCTCACCCATGTGCAGAGAAGGATAGGAAGTCCATACTCCTACACCACATTCTTCTTTTTTTGAGAACACTAAATTTTATTGCACAGAAAAAAATCTAGCTAATTTGCTCCTGCAAAAAGACATTCCATGAAAAGCTGGTGTGTGAGCATACAGTGCTTAGCAGGCAGAGCTGGAAATGGAGAGAATGCCTGTCAGAAGCACTCCAAAGCTATACTCTCTGGTTCCTGCTCCATCCCCGTAGGCCAAGCCCTTTAGAATGCAGCCTTTACTAATCCCATTAATTTACAAAGGGCACGTACTAACCACTTAAAAATTGCTTAACATAAAATAAAAATGAGTTGAGAATATGCCCAGGCAGTTCACGGGAAATACAGATTAATGGCAAATAGACAGGAAAGACAGTCTCACTAGTAATTAAGGCATCTGTTTTATTCCATCAGAATGGCAAATGTTTTAAAATTTATATGGAAAGCAAATCAACAATGTTAAAGGTGTGAGTTTTCATGACTCCTCACCCTGGATTTGCAATATTTTCATGCTCCATTTCTCCCTCTTCTCTACAACTGCAGCAGAAAAGAGAAGGAAAAAAGGCTAAGCAGAATGATATAATCAGGGGATTGGGAGTCAGGGTGGGGTTAGGGAGGAAGTCACATGGGCTTCAAGAAAGAGGAAACCTTGCTGGCTGAGCTAGAGGACAGCCCTGGTCTTAGTGGGAAGTACTGCTTAGTAAGGGTTAACATATGAGAGGATCAGTGCAAAAGGAGTTTTGGAGGGAGAGAAAGGCAATTTTGAGAAGTGTTAATACCAGATTATAAATTGGACTAAATTCTAAAATGTTTTAGAAATGCAAATAATAAAATTTCTTGTTTAGATTTTGAACTATGCATTGTTAAATGTGACCCTCTGTGGAAGACTGACTTATTATAAATATCTGATAATATGTTCTTGGCAGCTGTATGGGAAACTCACTCACTGTCCGTAGGAATGTAAGCTGGTGGGATATTTTTGGAAGATTGGTGATTTGACAAGATCTCTCAAAATTGAAAACATAGAATCCTTTGGCCTAGCAAATTTAGTGATTAGAATTTACTCATTAGATACAGAAATGTACACCAAGATCTACATAAGACAAAATTCCTTGCCACATTGTTTATAATAGTATAAAAGGGGTGGGGGGACTAGAAATCTAAATGTAATGAAAATCAGATTAAATAAATTATGGTAGATATATACATTCAATAGAATACTAAGTGTCTTTTAGACAGTTTGAGGTAGAGCTGAATGTATTGACATCAGAAGATCACCAAGGTGTTACTAAATGAGAAAGGCAAGGTGATTGACAGTGTATACCGTATGTTCATTCCTATAGCTGTACATTCTGTAAAAGGGTATGTGCCTGTTAATGGTGGTTACCTTTGGAGACAAGCACTGGCATTTGAATGCAAGACTGAAAATCTTACTTTTCACTTTACTTTTGTATATTGTTTAGAGTATGCAGCCAATGCATGTATTTCAAAGAAATGACACCCTGATATAAACATTACTGGGAATTCTGCACATGACATTCCCAACTATATGTGTAAGCACTGGTTTTTAAGAAGATGATGTATCAGGCTATTGGTTTGTTAACGCCGTTGTTTTGCTTGCTTATCACTATCCATAAACCATGACAAAAAGACAATAACTTTCTGCATCTTCCGCTGTTTTCTGGTAGCATGTTTATTGCTCAGTCCTGATGGTTTCATATAGAGCAGTTTAAATTGCCAAGTGTTTGCACCCTCTTTAAAGTGTGTACTTGACACTCACTTCACTGTAACCTAATACATTCATTTGCCCGGTAAATATGCCTAATACTATTTGCTTTGGTTGTATAAATAAATACTTCCTTACCGGCATTGGAAAAACAGGCCACTGGCTATTAAAATGTGTGTGAATATGCCAATTATACATAACTGGGGACTTTTCAAACGACTACACTGAACCAGCAAAAGCAGCTGGTCTAACATTTCAGTGATGAAGCAGTAAGTTTGAGAAAACAAGATCCAAAGTCTTCAGACTTTTGCACTTTGAACTTGAATTTCTGTAGAAAGTGAGATGCTGAGCTCACAGGCAGAGTTCTGTCTTTTCAACTCACACTGAGAAACGGGGCAGATTCAGTTGAAGGATGCGGAGTTGGAAACAAGCTTCAATAAAAGAAATGAATAATATTCTCCTGTAAAATGAAGAAGTGTATGTTAATCTTTGGAATAACAAAACATTTTTACAATTAAAATATGCTACTTCCTTGGGGAATATTTTTCCTACAACTTCTGGGATGGAGAAAGCTATATATTATTTCCATATTACATTAACTGATATAAAGGCAGTATGTATGACTATATTCTATTTACTAATTATAAACCCCAGAGTTTTATATATGTTGAACAAGGCCTGTATCCTAAAATACTATCCAGCTAATTAGTTTTAGTTGATTACACCAAAGACATTTGATTAGAAGCCAAAAAATGCCCTCCAAATTACTTGAAGTAAGTAATACAACACAGGGAAATGTATCTTTCTCATGAGAAAGGTTCTAGATCGATGTGTGTTTAAAAACTTTTGATATTAAACGTTTAAAGTACTTTTTCCTTAACTACAATCAACCCTTTCTTTTTGATATGAACTTATAGCTAAGTGAAATTATATAATTAGGGCTGACAAGTTAAAATTACCATATAGTTTCAGGTACCTAATTTACTTTCTTTTTGTTTTTTCTTTTTTTTTTTTTTTTTTTTCAGAGCATGGGCTTTTGGCATTAGACAGAATAGTTTGAATCTCATTTCACTGTTTCCCAGCTGAAGGAAGTTATACAACCTCTCTAATCTTCAGTTTCCACATCTGTAAAAGTAGTATGATAAGCATAATTATTTCTTAGGTTTGTTGTGTGAAACAATTCAGACAAAATTTGTGTTCCATCAGTGTTAGCTATTTCATAATTGGGTTGCTTTGGGTTGCAAGTAACAAAAAAAAACTCGAACTGACTTAAATTATAAAGGGAATCTATTGGATCCTATAACCAGAAAATCCAGAGGCTAACTCAATAGCTCAACCAAAAGTCACAAGAATCTAGTGTACTTCTGTCTCTCCACCCAGCCTCCACTATTATTAGCCTTCTAAATTACCCCATTCTTAAACCCAAGATGGCTGCCAACTCCCACAGCTACCTACCTACATGTTTTCTCATTCTCACCCAGGAGGAAAGATTGAGCCCTTGTGTTCCAGCATTCTCAACCAAGTCCCAAGATTTACCCTGATTGAAAGAGCTTAGGTCACATACCCAACCCTGAATCAGTCACTGTGGCCAGGGGGTTAGATTGGCTTGATCTTTGTGCTGTTTTCCACCCCTCGAGCTAGGGGGCAAGTCAGCTTCCTCACAACCACATCAGTTATGAAGAGGAAACTGGGGTCTGTTTGGACATGGAAAGGTAGAAACACATGGATAGGAAGGTGTGTTACCACCTTGTTCATTTTATCCAGGCACTGTCAAGAGGGCTGTTTACTTCCCAGGCAGTTATCCGGAAGTTAATCTGTGCCCTTGGATGGGCTCAGGGAGCACTTAGCCCAAAAAATCTTCTTTAAAATTTCTTTCTTTTTTTTTTTTTTTGAGACAGAGTCATACATACTATGTCGCCAAGGCTGGAGTGCAGTAGCACCATCTCAGCTTGCTGCAACCTTCCGCCTCTCAGGTTCAAGCGATTCTGGTGTCTCAGTCTCCCAAGTAGCTGGAATTACAAGTGTGAACCACCATGCCTGGCTAATTTTTTTGTATATTTAGTAGAGACAGGGTTTCACCATGTTGGCCAGGCTTGTCTCAAACTCCTGACCTCAGGTGATCTGCCTGCCACGGCCTTCCAAAGTGCCAGGATTACAGGCATGAGCCATCATGCCCAGCCTTCTTTAAAATTTGTTAGAAGCAGAACAATTTCAGCAGGCAGGGGGGACCTCACATGCCAAGATGAATTGTATATTTTTCTGTAATTAATTAGATGAAGCTCCCAGAGTGAATACTGGTTACTAAGAAACATTTGACAATCTTATAGTAGCAGTTTAATGCTGTTATGAGGAAGTTTTAAAAAATTAGCAGTGACACCTAGTGTTATCTACTCGTGTGATAGTCCTCAAGTTTTGGCAGTTTAGATCTTTCTTTTTTTTTTTTTTTTTTTTTTTTGCAAACGGTACTGAGAAGACTCATAAACTCCTGTTCACTTTGTTCTAGCAATGTCTTTGGAATACTTAAACAATATCAGTTAACTGAATAAGCTAAGCATTTTTTTGCATTGTATTTGCTTAGCTCCTACGTCAACTTTTGATAATTTCTGGGACTTACATTTTATCTATAGCAGATCCTGCTTTCACATTTATTAATTCAATAGATTTTATTTATGTATGGAAAACCCTTGTGAGACACCTTTCTCTATCACAGACTTGTTTACTGAGTAAATAAAATTCTCATCCTGTGGTACAGATATTTTAGAATTTTAAATCTCACAAACAAGCATAAAAGCATATTTCAAAAGGAGTTACAAATGTATTTTTGATTTGTTGGCCTTCTTTAATCATTATTATTTATGCCTCAGCCCACAACCCCCTTCCCCCACTGTAAGTATGAATAATTAATGACACACTTTTCGCACACACTTGCACTCAGGTGAGAGCATTTCAGTTAATGGATGAAGAGTTCTAAAGAGCTGCAAAAATGAAGAAATGTCAATATTTATCCCTGAAAACCACTTCCAACAACTGTCCAGAACTTTTCTCCTTTAAAGCACTTCCTTTATGAACGTGTCTTAAAGTCTCAATTAGATACTAATCTGTTTTTTGAACAATCAAATTTAGGTTCTTATCTATAATTAGACTATCATTTTGAAAGTACAAAGGCAAGGTCTAAATATTTTATTTTTACCATAGGATACTAAGTGTTTCACATGTATTATTCTGTTTAATCTTCACAAAAATTCTGTTAGGTATGTGCTATTTTTATCCCCATTTTTAAGGGTGAGAACCCAAGCTACTGAGTGATGGATTTGAAGAGAAAAAAAAAAACTACCAGAACCTGCTTTCTTTTCTTTTGAAAGCAAGAAGGAAATGTGGAAGTATTATAGATCAGCCTCCTTTACTACAGATGAGGAATTGAGGGTCGAAGAGGGTAAGTTATTTGCTTGAGGCAGTAAAGTTAGTTTTACGAAGGTGTTGGAAGAAAATCTCAAGCCTCATGACTTATAGCCTAATGTGTGGTCACTGGTGACCACATCTTTCTCAGAGCTACCTGGAATTAAAAAGGTTTTATCAGCAGTACTAAAGAATTATTTTGGTTAAACGTAAACACTGCATAAATGTGTCCCTTAAATACATCACCTTCAGTTTTTTCATCTGTGAAATGGGGGAGGGAAAAGGGATGGTGAAGAGAGTTAGGCTCATTTATCACTAATATGCCTTCCATGATGTAGTTTGTCAGGTTTCTCTGGTTACTCTTTCCCTCTCCATCCACTGAACTCTGTTGAAGGAAATCATTACACACAGCCCACACTTGAGGATGGGGAGTGGTGCTCTCTCTCCTTGAGGAGGAGCATCTACACCAATTATTCTGAATTCTTCTGCACTATAGATTTGTCTGTTATCCCCTGTTTACTTATTTATGCATTCAAATTATTTATTTATATTGGTATATTATCATGGATATATATTTTATTCTTTGGGTTGTAATCCAATACTATGCTATTTATTTTGTTTCTTGAAAACTTTTTAATAACTTCTCCAACCAGAATTTACAAAAATGGTAAACAATGAAAATAAATCACAATATTCACTGAAGGATACTTTGTGCCAGGCTCCATGATTAATTCCATGTTCATGTTTTAGTTATACCTGGAAGGAATAACTTGCTATTCGCACAACTGAGTGTATGAGATCCTACTCCATCCACAGCTGTGCACCTGTGACCATGAGATTGTTCGAATGTTTGAAAGGATAAAATACACGTGAGTTTTGTTTTAAACTCATATGTAAATGAGAATGGCACATTGACATGCTATGCCCCATATGATGGTATTTGTAGAATCAAAGCAAGTTTCTGAAACTCTATTCCATAGTATCTTTAACACAGTCATCAAAGGATAGAAACAGCAGAGAATAAGTAGGTGGTGGTGGTTGTTGTTGTTTTGTTTTTGTTTTTGTTTTTTTGAGACAGAGTTTCACTCTTGTTGCCCAAAAGTGCAATGGCGTGAACTCTGCTCACTGCAACCTCCGCCTCATGGGTTCACGCGATTCTCCCTCAGCCTCAGCCTCCCGAGTAGCTGGGATTATAGGTGCCTGCCACTGTGCCCAGCTAATTTTCTGTATTGTTAGTAGAGATGGGGTTTCACTGTGTTTGCCAGGCCGATCTCAAACTCCTGACATCAAGTGATCCACCTGCCTTGGCCTCTCAAAGTGCTGGGATTACAGACGTTAGCCACTGCACCTGGCCATGTTATTTTTTATTTTTAAGTCTCTACATTATTAGACCAATATATACTACACATCTACAGAAAATTGGAAAACTTCTAAAAAGTAGGAAGAAAATAAAATTGCCCTTAATTTCCTTGTTATATAATAGCTCACGTTAACATGTTGTTATATTTCCTTCCTGTCTTTTTGGCAATGCATAGGTAGATTTAACCTGGTTAATATTATGTATGCAGTTTTGCATCCTACTTTTCACCTCGTTGCTTTTTCCTAAGCATTTGCCCACATCATTCGAAATACTCCATAAGAACCATTTTAAATGACTCAGTGAACAGTTAAAGAAATATTTCCAGAATATAATTGACAGGACTTGATGGCTACGCCCTGGGGGTCCAGGTGTAATTGTTGGGTTTTCTAGTCTAGGTGTATGATCATTCCAAAAGATGCTTCAAACCCAAATTCAGAACAAAAAGAAGAGGCAGGTTGAAGGAGGTGGAGGACTTCTGATTTACTGCCATGAAACTCCTGTTGTCATGTTTTTCCATGTTGGCATTTAAATGTCACATGCAAAACTGTCTCTATGATAGTCTTTGAAGGCAAAGAATGTATCCAAACATCTTTCTGTGTTTTCTGTAATATTAATTTGTGCTGGGTATCCAATATGGGATTAAAAAATGAGTGAGTGAGTGAGTGAAAGAATGAAATTCTGGATAAGGGTAGGGTAACCTTGAATATGGGAAGGAGTGTGCGAGGTTGGAAATTGATTTCTAAGATTTGCTAATTTCCTATTCAGAAAAACTATAATCCCCATGGTTTTCTCCAAAGAAAATCAAGTGTTGGAATAAAAGAAGTAGTACATTCATTCTATCTAGATATTTTTCACATTCTTTTTAAAGATACCTAATTAATTTTATGGGTAGGATTGATATGACATTTAAAAAGTTGATATGTGATAGAAACACTAAAATATTCCTTTGGTTCTTTGGGTTTTCCTGAAGTTACCTTTGAAATAAAGATTAGGGTTCTGACGAGGAAACTCAGATACAAAGCAATTTGTAATCCGCGGGGAAAAAGGGGAACACTATAGAGTTATTCCAAGAGAAGTAGAGCTATGTGCTTAAGTCTAATACAGAGGCTTCTTTGTTTCGGTTTCATAAGAGCTGTTGAGGATCTGTGGTTGCCTGTTTTGTAGACGTAAATCCATAGAAGCAGTAGAAGGATTCTTCAGCAAAATCCCAAATGTTTAGCATCAAGCAAAGCATCTGCTACACGAGCTTCCCTCTTTGAAATTGTTATAATCTCAAAAATTCAAGTATTAAATAAAATGTTTTCCCATATATGTTGCCCAAATTTTGGAAATACGACTGGTCTTGATCTATTGAAACATTTGTTAACAGAAGCATTTATGGCAAGGAAGGTAACAGCAACTAACAAGTTAGTGCAGTATGCCTATTTCTGACAAGACTATCCCTCTGAGAGTTGTTTTACTCACTGGTAGCTATGCACTTTTTCATGACATTTGAATTTCTTTGGGGAGAAACAGTATGTTTGGGAACTCACAAAAAGACAAAAGGTCAGATGAGTTAATACAAATAAAATCTGTCTTGTTCTCAGGTCCAATAAATACTATTTTGGTGAAATAGGAAAGATAACAGTCATTAAGTAATACAAGAGTACTAAAAGCCTACAAGTTAACCCAAGCATAATCTGTTATCTTCTTTCTAATGTCTGATTAACCATTAATGAACATTAGCAGTACTATATGCATAATATATGATTTGAAAAAAGCAGGAAGAACCTACTTTGTAAATCACTCAACTCTTTTATAAACACTTTCAATTACATTATTTCTTTAAATTTTCACAAGTATATATATATTTTTTAATTACACATTCAAGAGGTACATATGCAGGTTTGTTACATGATTGTATTGTATAATACTGGTGTTTGGGCTTCTAGTGAACCTATCACCCAAATAGTGAACATAGTACCCAATAAGTAGTTTTTCAGCCCTCACTCCTCTTTCTTCCTACATATTTTTGGAGTTCCTGTTGTCTGTTGTTCCCACCTATATGACCATGTGTAGCTATTATATTGCTCCCACTTATAAGTGAGAACATGTGGTATGTGGTTTTCTGTTTCTTCATTAGTTCACTTAAGATAATTGCCTCTAGCTGCATCCGTGTTGCTGCAAAGAACATGGTTTCATTCTTTTTATGGCTGCACAGTATTCCATGTAATATATGTACACATTTTCCTTATCCAATTCACTGCTGATGGACACTTAGGTTGATTCCATGCCTTTGCTATTGTAAACAGTGCTGTGATAAACATATAAATGCAGGTTTTTTTAAATATATAATTTATTTTTCCTTCGGGTAGATGGCCAGTAGTAAGATTGTTAGGTCAAATGGAAGCTTTATTTTTAGTTCTTTGAGAAATTTCCATGCTATTTTCCGTAGAGATTGTACTAATTTATATTCCCACCAACAGTGTATGAGTGTTCCCTTTTCTCCACGTCTTTGCCAACATCTGTTATTTTTTGACCTTTTAATAATAGTCATTCTGACTGGTGTGAGATGGCATCTTATTGTGATTTTAATTTGCATTTCTTTGATGATTAGTGATGTTGAGCATTTTTCAAATGGTTATTGGTCACTTGTATATCTTCCTTTGAGAAGTATCTGTTCATGTCTTTTGCCCACTTTTTAATGGAGTTATTTATATTTTTCTTGTTGATTTTTTAAAGTTCCTTATAGATTCTGGATATTAGTCTTTTGTTGGATGCATAAATTGCAAATATTTTCTCCCATTCCATAGGTTGTCTGTCTACTCTGTTGACTGTTTCTTTTGCCGTACAGAAGCTCTTTAGCTTAAGTCCCATTTGTCTATTTTTGTTTTTGTTGCATTTGCTTTTGAAGTCTTCACCTTAAATTATTTGCATAAGTCAATATCCAGAACAGTTTTTCCTAGGGTTTCTTCTAGGATTTTTCTAGTTTGAGGTTTTCCATTTAAGTCTTTAATCCATCTTGAATAAATTTTTATATATGATGAGAGATAAGGGTCCAGTTTCATTCTTCTGTATGTGGCTAGCCAGTTTTCCCAGCACTATTTATCAAATAGAGTGTTCTTTCCCCATTGCTTATTTTTGTTGAATTTTTTGAAGATCAGTTGGTTGTGGGTGTGTGGCTTTATTTCTGGGTTCTCTATTCTGTTCCATTGATCTATGTGTTTATTTTTGTAGCAGTGCCGTGCTGCTTTGGTTATTATAGCCTTGTAGTATAGTTGGAAGTCATGTAATGTGATACTTCCAGCTTTGTTCTTTTTGCTTAGGATTGCTTTGGATATTCAGGCTCTTTTTTGGTTCCATATACATTTTAGAATTTTTTTTTCTAATTCCATGAAAAATGACATTGGTAATTTGATAGGAATTGTGATGAATCTATAGATTGCTTTGGGCAGTATGGTCATTTTAATGATATTGATTCTTCCAAGTCATGAGCATGGAATGTTTTTCCATTCATTTATGTCATCTGTGACTTCTTTCAACAGTGTTTTGTAATTCTCCTTGTAGAGATCTTTTACCTCTTTGGTTAAATGTATTCCTAGGTATTTTGATTTTTTGTGTGTGGCTATTGTAAATGGGATTGAGTTCTTACTTTTGTTCCCAGCTTGAACATTATTGGTGTATAGAAATGCTACTGACTTGTGTACATTGATCTTCTATCCTGAAACTTCACTGAATTCATTTATCAGGTCTAGGAACCTTTTGCCAGAATCTTTAGGGCTTTCTAGCTATTGGATCACGTTGTCAGTGAATAGAGATAATTTGGCTTCCTTTTTTTCCTACTTGGATACTTTTTGTTTCTTTCTGTTGCCTGATTGCTCTGGCTAGGACTCCTATGTTGAATAGAAGTGGTAAGAGTGGACATCTGTCTTGTTCCAGTTTGTAGGGGAAATGCTTCTAACTGTGCCCATTCAGTGTGATGTTAGCTATGGGTTTGTCATAAATTTGTTTTGTTATTTTGAGATATGTTTCCTCAATGCCTGGTTTGTTGAGAGTTTTTATCATGAAAAAATGTTGGATTTTATGACGTGCTTTTTCTGCTTCTACTGAGATAATCATATGGTTTTTGTTCTTATTCTGTTTATGTGGTGCATCACACTTATTGATTCGTGTATGTGGAAATCATCTTTGCATCCCAGAAATAAAACCCAAATGGATTGTGATGAATTACCTTTTGTGGTGCTGCTGGATTTGGCTTGCTAGTATTTTGTTGACAGTTTTTGTGTCTATGTTCATTAGGGCTATTGACCTGTAGTTTTTATTGTTGTTGTTGTGTCCCTGTCAGATTTTGGTATCAGGATGACACTGGTTTTATAGAATGAATTAGATAGAAATACCTCCTACTCAATTTTATGGAATAGTTTTAGTAAAACTGGTATCAGCTCTTCTTTGAGCATCTGGTAGAATTGAGGGCTTTTATTTGGTTGGTAGATTTTTTATTACTGATTATATTTCATTACTCATTGTTTTGTAAGGGATTTCAATATCTTCCTGGTTCAGTCTTGGAAGGTTGCGTGTTTCCAGGAAATTATCTGTTTCCTCTGCATTTTCTAATTTGTGTGCATGGAGATGTTCATAATAGTCTCTGAGGAACTTTTGTATTCCTTTTGATCTTTTGTAGTTTCAGTTGTAATGTCACCCTGGTCATTTGATATTGTGCTTATTTGAACCTTCTCTCTTTTTTTCTTGGTTAATCTAGCTGCTGGTCTATCAATTCTGTTTATCCTTTTGAAGAAACAACTGTTCATTTTGTTGATCCTTTGCATAATTTTTTTGCTCTAAATTTCATTTAGTTCTGCTCTAACCTTTGTTATTTCTTTTCTTCTGCTAACTTTAGGTTTGGTTTGTTCTTGTTTTGCTTGTTTTGGGTGTCATGTTAGGTTGTTAATTGGGGACCTTTGTATCTTTCTGATGTAGGCATTTATTACTACAAACTTTCCTCTTACCACTGCTTTTGCTGTATTCCAGAGGTTCGGGTATGTTTTCTCTCTATTTTTATTTGTGTCAAAAATTTTTTTTATTTCCATCTTAACTTTGTTGTTTACCCAAAGTTCTTCGGAAACAAGACTTTTTAGTTTCCGTGTACTTGTATGGTTTTGAGAGTTCCTCTTGATATTTATTTCTAATTTAATTCCACTGTGGTCCCAGAAGATGCTTTATATGATTTCAGTTATTTTGAATTTATTGGGACTTGCTTTATGACGAAGCATGTGGTCAATTTTAGAAAATGTTCCATGCACAGATGAGAATGTATATCCTGTGGTTGTTGGGTGGATTATTCTGTAGATGTCTGGTAGGTCCATTTGGTCAAAAGTCCAATTTAAGTCCAGAGTTTCTTTGTTAGTTGTCTGCCTCAATGATCTATCTAGTGCTGTCAGTAGAGTGTTGAAGCCCCCTACTATTATTGTATGGCTGGTTATCTCTTTTCTTAGGTCTAGCAGTATTTGTTTTGTAAGTCTGGGTGCTCCAACATTGAGTGCATATATATTCAGGATAGGTAAGTCTTCTTGTTGGAGGAATCTTTTATCATTACATAATGCCCTTATTTGTCCTTTTTACTGTTGTTGATTTAAACTCTGTTTTATCTGATACAAGAATAGCAACCACAGTTCTTTATTGTTTTCCATTTGTGTGCTAGATCCTTCATTTTCCCTTTACTTTGAGCCTGCGGATGTCATTCCACATGAGATGTGCTCTTGAAGGCAACAAAAAATTGGATCTTTGTTGCTGTTGTCCCGTTTGCCACTCTATGTCTTTTTAGTGGAGCATTTAGGCTGTTTATGTTCAAGGTTAATGTTAATATATGAGATTTTGTTCCCGTCATAGTATTGTTAGCCGAGCCTTGTACTTAACTGTGTTTTTATGATAGCATATAACATTCTTTCTTTCCATGGTTAGAACTCCTTGACCATTTCTTGTAGGACCAGTCTTGTGGTGATGAATTCCCTTAGTGTTTGCTCATCTGGAAAAGACTTTATTTCTCCTTTGTTTATGAAACTTAATTTTTTTAGGAGGACGTGAAATTCTTGGCTGGCATTTTTCTCTTAAAGAAAGCTAAAAGCATGCCTCCAATCTCTTCTGGCTTGTAAGGTTTCTGCTGAGAAGTCCACTGTTAGTTTGATGGGATTTCCTTTATAGGTAATTTGGCTGTTTTGTCTATCTTCCTTTAAGATTTTTTTTTCTTTCATGTTGACCTTGGAAAATCAGACGACTCTATGTCTTGGGGGTGGTTATCTTGTATAGTGTTTTGCAGGTGTTCTCTGAGTTTCCTGTATCTGGATGTTGACCTCACTAGCAAGATTAGGAAAATTTTCTTGAACTAGTCCCTGAAATAAGTTTTCTGAGTTCCTACTTTTTTTTTCTCTCAGACTGCCATTAAATCATAGATTTGTTTGCTTTACATA
Organism: Homo sapiens; assembly: GCF_000001405.40. Classification (NCBI taxonomy): domain Eukaryota; kingdom Metazoa; phylum Chordata; class Mammalia; order Primates; family Hominidae; genus Homo; species Homo sapiens. The sequence continues at coordinate 95,031,134 of NC_000005.10, read as the reverse complement.
ATCTCATATTTCTTGAAAGCTTTGTTCATTTTTTAATTTTTTTTAAATTTTTGTCTGACTCAGATAATTTGAAAGACTGATCTTCAAACTCTGAAATTCATTCTTTTGCTTGGTTAGTCTATTGTTAAAGCATGTTTTTAGTGAACTTTTCTATTCTGGAGTTCTATTTTTTTTTTAATGTAGCTATCTTGTCTTTCATATCCTGAATTGTTTTTCTGGCTTCTTTGTGTTGGATATCTGCTTTCTATTGGATATCACTGAGTTTCCTTGCAACCTATATTTTGAGTTCTTTATCTGTTTTTTCAAACTATTTAATTTGGTTAGGATCCATTGCTAGAGAGTGAGAGTAGTCCTTTAAAAGTATCAAGACATTGTGGCTTTTTGTACTGCTGGAGTTTTTTGTGCTGATTCCTTCTCATCTGCTTCTTATTTTTGAATTCGCCATCATTTCTATGAGACTTTTTTAAAAATATCATTTTTCCCTTGAGGGTATGACTGTGGTGCATGTTGCATATAATCAGTTGACTTATTTTCTGGATACTTGCAGAGGGCTAAGGCTCTGGATGTGTCTCTTGGGTTGTATATAGCTTCTATGCTGTGGCTTTCTCAGATGCTGCTTGTTGTACTGGTGTATTGGATGCATGAGCCAACATATGACCTCCTGTGGGGCTGAGAGTGTGGAGTTTCAGGAAGCTTATCTCATGGACTAGCACTAAGCCCTCTGGTAGCAGGTTTTGTGTTGGGTGGTGCAGCTCAGGCTTCAGTCCAGTATATAGCAGTTAAGAATAGGAGCTGACTTGATCTTAGGTAGGCTGATGTTGAGTGGAAACACCCACCCTGAAGGGGTATTGGCAGGAAGAGATTGTGTTGTGGTACACTGAAGTCTTGGGGGAAAGTGGTGGAGCATGCATCAGCTCCTCATCTTGAGCCAACAGGTATGTGATCTGCTTCTCTATCACTTCCCTGTTGCAGGGTTCATGACTTCCGGTTCACAAAGACTTTGTCCTTTGGTTCCCCACTGCAGTGCAGGTACAGGCCATGGATATACCCCTCTGAGGGCTACCACCAAAATGGGCTCAGGCGAGAACCTCTTCCCCGGCCAGATCAGGCAACTCTGCAACTTATCTGTCCTCCCTTGCTAGAACGCTGCCGTTCTGTGTAGGGAGTGGGAGTTGGACCCTGCTCTTTGTGTAAGCTGTGCTTGCCAATGTCAGAGCAGGTTGTGGTGTATATTTGTGGGGGATTTGGTGGTGGAGTAACTCAAGGGCAGAGAAACCACATGCAAGGCAGTGGCACCACAAGTGTACAATCAGTATGGCACCTGATACCTAATTTCAAACCTGAGGGGAGTGCAACCATACTCGTGCAAACCGGCCACCAAGTTCTCTGTCTCCAGGAAGTTCCCAAATCACCACAGATAGCATTGCCCTGAGTCACAAGGTCAGAGGGGTTCCCCAACAGTCTGGCTGTCCGGAGATTGTCAGAGAGGTGAGAGGAGAGAGAAGTGCTCTCACCAAGTCTTTCCATGGGGTCTGAGTTCTTTGGGAGTCAATCTATGCCGGATTCTTGCTGCTTTCCTTGTTTGTGCCCCAGCTTCTTCCCATGGATTCTCCAAGAGGTCCTGGCTCTCTTCCCTCACTTTCCCATTTAGAACTTGTCTATTCACAGTCACTTTAATCTTTCTGAGGAGAACTAGCATCCAATGTCTCTGGTCAGCTATCTTGAGAAAAGGAAAGAAAATTCACAAGGACTTTTTTTAAAGAAATAGAAAATGAGGCTTCTAGAGCTCAAAATCTTTCCCTATGCCTCACAGCAATTTAATACCATAACTAGGCTTTGTGTCCATGTCTTTGTGCTCTGACTCCTGTAATATTTCCTCTATCTTATAATAGATCTCCTCATCACCTGCATCTAAATAACCACTTATATTTGAACAATTTCTTACAGTTACAAACACTTTTACATTTTTTTTTTTTTTTGAGATGGAGTCTCGCTCTGTCACCCAGGCTGTAGTGCAGTGGCCTGATCTCTGCTCCCTACAACCTCGGCCTCCGGGATCAAAATTCTCCTGCCTCAGTCTCCCGTATACCTGGGATTACAGGCACGCACCACCACACCTGGCTAATTTTTGTATTTTTAGTAGAGACTGGGTTTCACCATGTTGGTCAGGCTGGTCTCGAACTCCTGACCTCACGATCGCCCGCCTTGGTCTCCCAAAGTGCTGGGATTACAGGCGTGAGCCACCGTGCCCGGCCTACATATTTTATCTCATAATCAGAACAGTGTTTATGAGATATCTATTACCTATTTTAAAGATTAGAAAACAAATATCAGACAGGATAGTATTTTTGGCTGAAGTTAAATAATTGCTATCTCACCTGTGCTTTCTTCAACAAAATTTGTATCTTGCAACACAAAGTCTGTTTACATGGTCTAATTTAAAAAGAGAGTGGTCCATCTACATAAGGCTTAAGAAAAGAGAATTTTATTTGCTTTGGCTCAGGTTATTTTATATACTGTATGTGTAGGCGGAAAGGTTATTAGTGATAATGAAGCAATGCCACACAGAGCAGTCAATTTAGCAGACAATCCACGGGTGAGTAATCAGTGTTGTGGGAGTCCCAGAAAAGACATTCTGGGAGCACTGAATTTCATACTTTTTTAAACAGCAATAAATGTTGCCATTTATTGGGTCTGAGTATTTATTGGCCCATTTTGTTTAGTTTGGACCACCAGGAAACCAAAACCCCAGAATTAAACCTAGGGTTGTAGTTCAGTTCAAAAACAAAGTATAGTAAAGCTTTGTTATGACCAGAGGATTGGCCTTTTCTGCTTTCTGGTAATCTGAAGGCTAACTTACCATTATAACCATGCATTCTAGTTTACCTGGGACAGTTTTGTTTCTACCTGTTTCTACCGTATCATTATTAATAGCACTCCCTTTCACTCTCCAAAGTATCCTATTTTGAATGATCAGTTACATGGCCATCCTAACCATAGATTTTCTCCCAATTCTTGTTGAAATATTCATTTTAAAAAACATGAAGTTTTTCCTTACTTAGTAGCTGCAGAGCATTGACCTTATTTGGCCTTTGAGTGGTGAGCTAGTCCCTCAGGGGTGCTGTGCATGAGCATCACACAGAACTGTGGAGGAAGAAGGTGGATGCATGAAGTGATTTCTGTCTGCAGCCTCTCTCTGCAGCTCACTTTCCCTATATTACTGTATTCTGACACTCATGGATTTCCTGTGTTAACTGGTTGCTCTCTTGATCCTTGGCTTATTTTGCTCGGTCTCGTTCTTTTCGTATTATATTCTGTTGTAAGGGCCAAGGACTCATTGAAGCTGTCTCAAAGAAGGCCAGAAGAGGTAAGAAGGTCAGCAGGAACCACACAGACATTCAAGAGTACGGAGCAGTGGACCCTCAGCTCCCAGACGTACTTCAGGCTTTCAGCAGTGGGAGCTCATAGATCTTCACTCTCCTGTCCAATATTGTCATTACTGTGCTTTGGTTGCTTGGTCTGTGTCTGTATGCCCTGTTACAATGTCACACTCCACCCTCTACTATATGTAGTTTTCCACCCCATACTTCTGCTAATTATAGCATCTGTTTCCTGACTTGAGGTTACACGTGGCCTTCTGGCCTCTCCAGCTTCTTTATTATGACTCTTCAGCTTAGCAGCTACTGTTAACTTTTTCTTCTCTCTGAAATTCATTCTAATCATCTTTGCCTACTAATGCTCTCTGCTAAATAACAACCTGGCACCAGCCAGCCTGCTCACTGTCTGCCCTTAGTTTAGACACCCAGCTCATGTCTAATCAGCTATGAGCAAGGGGCAAGGGATTTACATTTACTTGGAACCAAGCATAAGCTTTTCTTTCCATTGCGGCTGTAAATTAGACACCACGGCTGACATACGTAGTGGGGTGCACCCATTATTTGCCATAATTTTTCCCATTCTGTGTAAGGTCTTTAAAGTCACTTAATCAATTGACTTCCAGATAATCATAGTGTTTCCTTGACAGATACTTGAGCTTCATTGAACTTTGAATATCTCTGTGGCTTTTGAATTCTGTTTTTGAAAATTAGGTTTTAAAAAGCTTTGATTTCCACTTAATGGATATTTCACTGTACAGGTTTTCAGTGTCATAGACTGTACACATGTTTTCAGTGTCATAGAAAGTAGAAGAGATGACTAAGTAGAAACTGGTCATGACTAAGTAGAAATCTTCAATGATATCTTTGACAACATTGCTAAATTTTAAAAGTCGAAAATTGAATATCTGTCACGAAGTTTTAACTTTAAGTGGGCTTTATTGACAGACAAAGTTAGATCTGCAGTGATCATGGCCTGAGTGTATGAAACATTTATGGAATAATGTAACCAATCTACAATCCACTTGGCATGGTAATACTAAGAGCACACCAGGAAATTCCCTAGAAGCCAGGCATACCCCTCCCCCACTGTACAGTGCTACAATAAACCTCCTGCTTTTTAATTGATAATAAGAATGAGATTCTGTGATTTGCAACAAAATGGAGGGAATTGGAGATCATTTTGTTAAGCGAAATAAGCCGGGCACAGAAAGACAAACTTTGCATGGTCTCACTTACTTGTGGGAGCTAAAAATTAAAACAATGGAGATAGAGAGTAGAAGGATGGTTACCAGAGAGTGGGAAGGGTAGTTGGGGGTTGAGGGGAAGAGCGGAGGGTTAATGGGTACAAAAAGTAGTTAGAAAGAATGAATAAGATCTAGAATTTGCCAGCACAACAGGGTGACTGTAGTAAAAAATAATTTAATTGTACATTTTAAAGTACTAAAGGTATATAATTGGATTGTATGTAACGCAAAGGGTAAATGCTTGAGGTGATGAGTATCCCATTTAACCTGATGAAATTATAATGCATTGCATGTCTGTATCAAAATATCTCATGAAACCCATAAATACATATATACTATGTACCCACAAAAATTAAAAATTAAAATTAAAAATTAAAAGAATCAATCATGCCAGCTAACAGAGTAAACCCTTTATTTTTTCCTGTAATGAAAATTTCAAAAAGGTCAGGAGGCATTCCCGACTTCGATTTTACCAGCACCTTTATATCTTCTGGTGGAAGCTCTCTTTATTTATATAAAAAGACCTCCCAAGCAGCAGAGCCTAAAGTCACTGGGACCCTTCTGTTGATTCCCACACATATTACTCAGGTGTTTCATGATATCTATAAGAAAAGTCTGGAGAATCTTTGTGCATAGTTTTCACAAAGACTTGCTTCTATAACTGGCACAAGGATCAAGCTAGTCTGCATATTGAAATTACTTGAGGGGCTGTTGGGAAAAGAAAAATTGATTATCAGGCTGGGTCCTACCCTCAGATTCCTGAAGTCCAGCCAGAGCCACTAGTCTATCTAAAATGAGGGAAGGAGGAGTTGAGCATAAGGAAATTTGGCATCACCATGTATGGTAATGACTCCAGTTCAAGCAAGACAAGAAGGCCTTCTGCAAAAATGGTGGCTTGCTGAGATAGAAGATGTGAATGCTCTTGTTATTAACTACTCTTCCATGATTTTTTCTGACTTTCCTGTAAGTGACCTGATAAGGCTGTGAATTTATCCTGTGTTATAATCTGCAACTTAAAACTTTGTACTTTGCATCTGATTTTTGGCTTTAGCCCCCAAACTTTTGAGTATTACCATAGAAACTTCTTAATTTTCAAACTGTGCCTAGAACTCTGAATTTTCAATTTTGAGCTTTTTTCATTGTCTGCAGGTGGATATATAGTTTTTCCAACTCCATTTATTAAAGAGACTGTACTTTCCCCATTGTGTATTCTTGACACCTCTATCAAAACTCAATTGATCATAAATGTATCAGTTTATTTCTGGGCTCTTTGTTTTATTTCATTTGTTAGTATGTCTATTTTTATGTCAGTACCTCGTTGTTTTGATTATTATCACTTTGTAATCGATTTTGAAATCTGATAGTGTGATGCCTCTAGCTTCGTTCTTTTCACTGAAGATGGCTTTGGTCATTCAGGGTTGTCTATGACTTCATACAAATTTTAGATTATTTATTCTATTTCTGTGAATAACGTCATTGAAATTATGATAGAGATTGCATTGAATCTGTAGATCCCATTGATTAGTATGGACATTTTAACAATACTAATTCTCCTAATCCATGAATATGTACAATCCTTCCTTTCTTGTGTGTCATCTTCAATATCTCCCATCAATGTTCTATAGTTTTTAATACACAGATCTTTCACCTTCTTGATTAACCTACTCCTAAGTATTTTTTATGATATTGTAAATAGGATTGTTTTCTTAATTTCTTTTTCAGATAGTTTGTTGTTGGCATATGGAAATACCACTGGTTTTTGTAAGTTGATTTTGTCTCCTGCAACTTTAATGAATTCCATTATCAATTCTAACAGTTTGGGATGGCATTTAGGGGTGTGTGTGTGTGTGTGTGTGTGTGTGTGTATTTGAATGCCTTTCATTTCTTTCTCTTGCCTAATTGCCTTGGCTAGGACTTCTAGTACTACGTTGAATAGGGGTGTTGAAAGTGGGTATCCTTGTCTTGTTTCTGATCTTAGAGGAAAAGCCTTCAAATTTTCAGTGTTGAGCATGATGTTAGCTATGGACTTGTCATATATGGTGTTTACTGTGTTGAGAAACAGTCCTTATATAACTAATTTGTTGAGAGCTTTTATCACAAAAGAATGTTGAATTTTGTCAAATGCTTTTCATATATCCATTGAGATTATAAGGTGGTTTTTGGCCTTGATTCTTTGAATATGGTGAGCCACATTTATTGATATGCCATATCGTTTTTAGACTCTTATCTCACTCTTTATACAAAAATCAACTCAAAATGGATTAAAGACTTAAGCATAAGACCTGAAATTGTAAAACTACCAGAAGAAAAAAATCAAGGAAAGCTCTGTGACATTGGTCTTGGAAGTGATTTCTTTGATAAGACCCCAAAAGCAGAGGCAACAAAAGCAAAAATAGACAAATGGGATTGCATCAAATTGAAAAGCTTCTGCACAACAAAGAAAACAATTAACAGGGAAAAGACCATCCGTAGATTAGGACAAAATATTTGCAAGTCATACATCCAACAAGGAACTAGTGTCCAAAATAGACGAAGGCACTAAAAATAACTGCACAGATCATTAACTTCTTATAACTGCTAAATTCTGTGAAAGTGCCATTTTCTTGGTTACAAAAAGCAGACCACAAGAGCAGACAACTTAGATATATCATTCAGGATATTTAAAATTTCAGAGGTGAACCAAGTTTGTTTTAGAGCTTTTAATATATGTGAGCCTAGCACTTCAGATACATATTTCCTAAGATATCTTTATGTTTGGAAGCTTCATGAACACTTTTTTAAAGATACTTTACAATAAAGAAATACACATTTATTTCTAGCATCCCTCCATAATCAGCCTGCTGATTTTCTTCTTGGAACCACTATAGTGGGCCTGAAAGGAGATGTCTCTCTAGATCCACTAAAGTTCTTGATGTTCTTTTATGGAGTTGGGCGATCCCTGGAGCTGACAGAGTGGTGGCCTGGAGTTGCTTCTCCTCTCATTTCTGCTGTCTACCGTGGGTGTCACCATCCTCCCAGGAGCGCAGCTCAAACTTCTGTGTGACTCACCCACTGTTTCCCACATCTTGTCAGTTGGCAAATTCAGTTGATAGAATCTCTTCAAACTCTCAAATCCATCTTTTGTTTTTGTTACCACTGGTCAGATCAAGCTCTTGTGACTTAAACTGAACAGTTGTAAATCCTTTTAAATAATTTCTAGAACCATGGGATTTCTCTACTCTCATCCCTCTTACAGAGGGAAAAGGCCAGGGTTTTGCTCATTGCTGAAATCTAAGCATTTGGCCCAGAGCATAAAACATGTAAGGCAGTAAGTGTGTGTTCACTGGAGCCTGGTTCTATTGTTTCTGTCTTCAAAAGCCTGTGATGGTTTCATGTTGCCCACAGAGTGAAACCTCCTTAGCTGGGCCTCACTGTATATCAGTCTTCCTTTCCACCTTATTTCTCATACAATCTAGTGATGCGCTTTTTGATGATTGCTTACCATCGGGCTCATGTTGATTTTTTCTGATGCTCCCTCCTTCCAAATCTTCACTTGTCAAAGTCCTGCACATATTTTCAGACCCTGCTCCATGGTTATCTTTATGAGGCCTCCTGAGAGTCTTCTCCCATCATAATTGATCCACTGTCCTTCTCTCCCAATGACTTCATACCTTCAGTATATTACAGTCAGTCTTTTATTATAGCTCCTGAATGGACAGGGTTTCATTTTAAGTGCTAATTTTTATCAGTTGGTAATGGCTGCCTAGAGCACTGTATTGAGAAGGATTCTAAGGGTATACCTGGGTTCCTCAAACAGGGTGCCAAAGCAGATTGGATGCATTACATGAGTGTAGGAGAAGAGAGAGAACAAACTGCCCATGGATTCGCCAACTTTATTTAGATTCCCATTGATGTTTCTACTCAGCTGGATCAGGTGCTCGTAAAGATATCTTTCTATCCTTGTAGCCTCTAGCATAATTCATTTTCAATTTGAAGCTTAAATACTCTATTCCATGATTTTAAAGGTTCATAATTTAAAATGACAAATATGACATTTGAGATAGAATGTGGTAATGGAAAATAAAGATATAAAGTGCTAGTGAAATGGTCCTTGAAGACTGGGTAGAAAGACACGGGAAACAAGAAGGGAAGGCAGCCCTGGTCAAGAGTGAAGGACGAAGATACAAGTTTTTAAAGTGTAAGTTCTATTCTGTTAAGGAAAAATGATCCAGAATTTGTGGAAGAGAAGTGAAGGCTCAGTTTATAATGATAGGCTTCAGTTAGGTTGGTGCAAAAGTAATTGCATTGAAAGTAATGGTAGAAACCACAATTGCTTTTGCACCAACCTAATATATCATGGGAGCTATGAGTGCCTTCCTAAGAAGTACGGGTATACTCAAGTATGCTGACATATGATAGATGGTTTTGAACATAATCATGATTGTACATTAGAGTGAACAAATTCACAGTGCCAAGTAGAGTCTACTCTGGAAATATGAAGATGATTCAATGTTACAAAAATCTATCAACCAAAAATTCTGTATGATCTTATTAACATATGCTGAAAATCTATTGATAAAATTCAGCAGTGCTTTTTTTAAAGCACAAGTAAATTAAGAGAAGAAAAAGCCTAAGCTTCATAAACATCATGTTAAATTGTGAAATACTAAAAGGCATGCACATTATAATCAAATCTAATTCAGAAATGTTCACTGTTTTCACCATTTTTCACAGTCTTTAGAAGATAACACAATAAGATTTAAAAATAAATAATTGAAGTATTAGAAAATAAGAGTCAAAAAGGCATTATATACAGACAATATGATTTCTATACACAGACAACCCAAAATATGACTTGAAAAGTGACAGAATATAAAGTCAGTATACAAAATAATATTTGTCCATTATACTAGAAATAACCTTATCAGAATGGAAATGGAAAAGAATTATTCCTTTTACAATAGAAACAAAACCCATAAAATACCCAAGAATAAATTAAGCTAGATAGAGACGAAAGAAGAAAAATAAGATTGTATTGAAGGGCATACAACAGAACCTGAAATGATGGAAAGTTCTATTTTCCTTAAAGGAAAATACTTAATATCATGAAATTATAAATTATTCCTGTTAATCTAGAAACTCAATGCAGTTCAAATCAAAATTTTGTACTTTTTGTTTCATTTTTGGAAACTGACAATAGCTAACATTTATTGAGTGCTTACTATGTGCCAAGCACTATTTGTTTTTATTTTTTATTTTTTCACCCAGTAGTAAATAACAAACCAGCCAGGCAATATTTTAACATCTTATATGCGTTAATGCTCACAACCTGACAAGGAGGTAGTAGTATTAGTTTAGTCCCACTTTACAGGTAAGAAAATGGAAGCAAAAATCAGTTATGTAATTTCTCAAGCTCACACAATTAGTAAGTGGCAGGATTCGAACCTAGATGGTCTGGCTCAGCTAAACCAGCAAGCTATTTTGGCTTCATCAGGAAGAATACAAATGCGATAATAATCAAGAAGCTTTTGAAAAACAAGAAAGAAGGGAGCTACATATTCTAACAAATATTAGAATTTAAAGTCATTGTAATCACATGGTATAGTATTGACACAGAAGTAAGCAGATCATGGGGACTTCAGAAACAGATCCAACTGTATATGGGAACTTAATGTATTATAAAGGGAAAAAGGGCTTATTTAATGGGCAGTGTTACAATTCCAGGTGAGAACTAAGAAAACACATAGGTTCCTATTTCACGCAGTACACTTAAAATATATTTCACATGATTAGAAGATACATAAAACTTAAAAATTATAAAAGGAATTTTAAAATATATGAGAATCAATACATATTGCCATGATATGGAAAACATTATCAGGCAAGATAAGAAATACAGAAGTCATTAGAGGGGAAAAAAGGACAGCTTTAACTGCTTAATAGTTTCTATATGACCACATATACCATCTACAAAGATCAAAGAAACAAGATGACACTGGGAGGAAATATTTGCAATAGATTTGGTAGAGAAACTGTTCTATATGCCATTTTAAAAAAGACTAACAACACAGCAGAAAAGAGAACAAAGGATATAAATTAGAAGTTTGTAGAAGAGGAAATGACTACAGCAAATAAATATAAGTCCGGAGAAGTTATGTCTTAACTAAATGTTAAATTCTGAAACTGCAGAAGTGAAAAATCTAGTGTAGTTAAAATTATCTTTGGAAATTCCTTAACCTGCACATAAAGTATAATACATATTTGAAAATATAAAACCTGATACTCTACAAATTCTATGCATGCTAAACTTCAAGAAGCACTGAACATAGCAATGAAGACTACAGAATATACAGCTGTCTGAGCCTTCAAATTTTTCTGGCTTTAGAATACCTGTCAAAACAGTAGAGGAAGATGCAGGGCATGTAGAAAATTCTCCTTTTCCTGCAGATTTTATTCCATTTTTTACGAAGTAGAAAACCTATATAAGCTTAATATTTATGAATAGATTTGTTTATTTGGAAACAATGTGTATAAAAGAACCTAATGAAAAGCTTGAAACACAATTGGACCTCAACAAAGTTTGCTGGGTCTGAATTTAAATCTTGCTTATTAATTAGACCCACGTATACACTGTTCTTTGAAAAGTTGTTTAGAAAATCTTGATTGGCTTCCTTTCTTTCCAAGTTGGAATCTTCTGTATGGCTTAGTGAACAGCTGTCACGCTCTTGTCCTTTACACTGGTTTCAAGACTCCTCACCCATAGTTCTGGAAATATGTGCTGAAGGAAGATAACATGTTTTGTGCCCTAAACTTGAAAAAAATTAGAACAATTAGTAACATCCTAGACTGACTAAGGTGTGGAAAATAGGCACTCTTGTACACTTTTGATAGAAGCGTGAATTATGTAAACCTTTTGGAAAACCTTTTGGAAAAATTCATTCTGTAAACTTTTTCAAGAGAAATGAAAGCACCAGTCCTCTGTGGCAAACAAAGAAACTAACACAAATGTCCATCAATAGGAAAATAATGGAAGAAATTATGCTATTCCTACACTGGGAAAAAATATTGTGTCTCAGAAAAAAAAGTGGTTACTAGGGGTGGGGGCGTGGAAGGAAAAGAGGAGATGTTGGCCAAAGAGTACAGACTTTCAGCTGTAAGATGAGTAAGTTCAGGGGATCCAATACACAGCGTGGTGACTATGGTTAACAGTACTGAATTGTATACTTGAAATTCGCTTCAATGTCCTCACCACAAAACAAAACAAAAGGGTAAACAAGTGAGGTGAAAGATGTGTTAACTAACTTGATTGTGGTAATCAATGTACAAAACGTATGTATATTGAATCATCATGTTGTATATCATAAAATCATACAATTTTGTCAATTATGGCTCAATAAAGTTAGAACATTTGAAAGAGAAAGATCTGTATGTATTGACTAGAAAAGTGCCCATGATGTTTTTCTAGAAATTGTTGATAATAGACAAAATAGAATACTATCTTTGTTTAAAACTAGTGAAAACTGAAAGCCCAACCACAAAAAACCAAACCTATATGTATGTGTTTATGTTTGCATAAGACTTTTAAAAGTGTGAAAAATATTTCCCAAATTGTTGTCATTGGTGGCCACAATCAGATGGGTAAGGGAAGAGCAAGACAATCACTTTACTTTTTACTCCTTTGTTGTTTGAAGGCCTGATCCAAATGAGTGGTAATAGGAATTGAAAGAAAAAGACAATTGGGAGATGTCATACAGAGATGGAGTGGGGGGATTTGACAACTATTTGGATGTGGGTGGGAATCAAATGAAGAAGTCAAAGATGGCTCAGCGATTTCTAGGCTGAGTGACTGAGGAATCATTTATAGAAACAAGGATATCATGAGAAGGTGGAGTGAATTCTTTTTTATTGTTACCAGAGGAGAGACAGTGAGTTCAGGTTGTCAATCAAAGCTGTGCTGCCTCTTGTTTTAACTAATAATTGCTCCAACAGCAAAGCTATTTGCCTTGGTCTTAAAACCTCAAAAAAAAAAAATGCTGCTTTAACGAACAAATGTAGGGTATGTGAATTATATACCGTAAAGATTGTTTAAATGCTGCTTTATTGTTTCATTTTATGTGAATTATGGAATTAAAAGACTGTTGTCTGTTATTTTACCTCATCCATGCATATTCTGAGACAAAAGGACATTTCCTTTTGAATCAGAAAAAAAAATTATAAGAATTTAAATTAATCCCAAACACACAAAGAAAAGCTTTCCTATTGTATAGAGTGGCAGAGACTACAAAATATGACCTCAAGAATTTTTACTACATGTTTCATTTGTGTTGTTTTAATATCATTATTCCTCTTGTAATTCGATGCCTAGTAAATTATTAAGAGTATATTGTTGCTAAAAATAAATTCTATAGAGGCAGGCTCACAAACATTTTTAGATCTAGGAATAGCTGATGTACTTTTATTCCATAGAAAACAGCACTAGAAATTTAGCCCCATCGAGAATATATTTCTTGCAAATATTGCCAAAATGCTAGGTGAATTTATTTCTATATAATTAAATTTTATGTTGGGGCTGAAGCAGAAGTGCTTAATTCATAGGTATGAGCTGTTCTGCACAGATAAATGAGTCAGCAGTCACCTGAATCAATCATTTTAATTTTAATTTCCAGTTAGGTAGAACTCAACTGCTCTTGCACTCTTATTCTCCACTCATCATTGATTATGTTTTCACTTCAGACAGTATTTCTATGTTCATATTTCTTAGTTGAATTGTGTGGAGACTTCCATGGGAAATGTTTTTATATTCCATTTGTTATCCATAATCTGAATTAAAACAGGACATTTCTGTAACTGCCATGTTTTTGAGTCTAAAGAATTTCATAAATTTCAAAACCTTCAGAGAACTGAGTGATTATGAGACTGTATGAAATCAGAAGATTATTTATTTTATTGACTAATTCTTATAATTTGGGTTAAGCTATATATGGTCCCCCTTTAGAGAAAATAGAACAGAGATAATAAATTTAATATTTTTTATATTTCGTGTTTTCCAGAAAATAATAAACACTGCTGGAACCAGTAATGCAGAAGTCCCCTTGGCTGATCCCGGAATGTACCAGCTGGACATTACATTAAGAAGGGGTCAAAGTTTAGCTGCTCGAGATCGAGGAGGTAAGAGCATAAGAGCAATATCACCTAGAAGCTTTTTTATGTGTTTATGACAAACTTTGTTTTCCACGTGATTGCCTGAGTTATAAAAAATTAACTAGAATATAATTTTTAGAAGCTTGAATTCAAAGACACAGTTTGACACATTACTTGACTCCTGTGACCATGGTGGAAGACGTTTTGATGCAAGTTCCAAAACTCTGACTTATTCTCAACCCAGACAGCAAAGTCCCTATCAAACTGCTGACAAATTAGACTCTATATCATATGTAATTACTGACATAATTGGTTACATAAGTGAGGCATATATTTGAAGCCATGTCAGAACTTACCTTTTGGTAGACCTGAAATTCTTTTTGCTATATACATTTGCTCAGTTGAATCTGCTCACATTGCAGGACCCAGGACTAATATCTCTCCAAAACTTCAGAGATTCCTAAGAAGTGATCTTTTGAGGCCTGGTCAGATCTGGCAGTAGTCTCATGGTGGATTAAACACATTTTGTAGGGCATGACGAAGGATAAGATAAGGCAAATACTCTTAAGTTCCCGGATTCCAAATCCCAATGCAATCTCTTGATGAACGAGGATAGGCCACATGAGGGATTTCTTGAACCCAGGATAGAGGCAGGACCAAGAATAGACCCCAGATAGGCTGTATAGCATCCTTTGCACATTTTGAATATGAGCGCTGCAGGAGGTGGATACGTTGAGGGCCCTGAGAGCCCCCAATTCCAAAGGAGGCTGAGTTTGGATGTAACTCCTCCTGCCAGGAGGAAGGAGAGTCCCCAGGCCTTGCTAACTCATTGTCAGACAACCCTGAGAGTGCTTCTGGCACCATAGGATCCTGTTTTGTTCCTCCTACCCTATTTGACGTCATATTTAGGGAATAGAAGGAACCAGATTAGGGCTGCAATTTTAATTTGTCTCCTATATCTAAAGGAATAAAATAGAGAAAAATAATTTAATATAATACTAGAGTATTGTTTGACTAGGAACTGTGCAAATATTAGATTCAATTGTTAAGTAAAAACTAGCAAATATCAAACATTCTTGTCTGGGTGTGGTGGCTCATTCCTGTAATCCCAGCATTTTGGGAGGCCGACATGGGAGGATTACTTGAGGCCAGGAGCTTGAGACCAGCCTGGCAACACAGTGAGAGCTTGTCTCTACAAAACATTAAAAAAAGTTTAAAAAGACATTCTTAGTGAGGAAATATGTGATTGATAATATTAGAATTTAAAAAGATAGGAGACGTTTTCAAAATAACTGTCTGGTTTAGTAGCTAAGGACACATGTTTATTGAATTGAACTGCCTGTTTCCAAAGAAGACACAAATTAGATAAAGAAAATAATGCAAATAACAAAGTATTATTTTGCTATATTTACAGCGTATACAACTTTTTTTAGTTTTCAAAGTACTCTCAGTTATATCATTCAATCTAAAACAGAATTGGACTTGGCAACAGAAGATCAAAATTTTAGTCCTACATATGCCCCCAGCAATTTGAAATGCATATATATACAATAATTTATTGTAGCATTGTTTATAATTATAAAATATAGGCAATAATCTAAATACCCATAAATAGGGGAGTGGTTGAATAAACTATGGCATATCTACATGGCGGAATACTATGGAGCTGTAAAAATAAATAATGAAAATCTCTAGAAATTGATATGGAAAAATGTATAGGATGTGTTGTGAAGTTCACATAAGCGAAGTACAAAAGAGTATCAACAATATGCAACGTTCTATGTAAGAAAGAAATACATAAGAATTTGTGTGTTGTCTTCTCATTTCTACCAAAAGAAATACAGAAATCAAAAGCTAGAAACTAATGAAATCGGTAACATACAGAATGTAGGTAAATAACAGATGGCAAGAATGGGAGATGGGAATGGGGTAAAAGGGATGAAGAGGAAATGGCATTTATCTGAGTCAATTTTCTTAATTAATTTAAAGTCTTTAACTATGACAATATTTTAGCACCCCAAAATAGATAAATAATTAAAATCAACCAGGATGTGGGAGGAACCCATAACAATAATCTCATCTAAGGGGATAAGAAATAAAACCACTAACCGAAGTAGCTATGAAAAAGGGTATTTGAATTATACATACAGGCCTATTTTGGAGCTATTGCAGGTTCGGTTCCAGACCACCACAATAAAGAAAATATCACAATAAAGCAAGTCACACAAATTTTTGTATTTCCCAGTGCATATAAAAGTTATAATATATACCATACTGTAGTCTATTAAGTGTGAATAGCATTATTCATAAAAAAGCATGTCTAAAAATGTATGTACCTTAATTTTAAAAATACTTTATTGCTAAAAAAAATGCTAACAATCATCTGAGCCTTCTGTGAATGATAATCTTTTTGCTGTTGGAGGGTCTTGCCTCGATGTTGATGGCTGCTGACTGATTAGGGTGGTGGTTGTTGAAGGTTGGAGTGGCTGTGGCAATTTCATAAAATTACACAACAATGAAGTTTGCCACATTGATTTACTCTTCCTTTCACAAAAGGTTTATCTGTAGCATGAGATGCTGTTTGATAGTACTTTACCCACAGTAGAGCATCTTTCAAAATTGGAGTCAGTCATCTCAGACCCTGCTGTTGCTTTATCAACTAAGTCAATGAACTATTGTAAATCTTTTGTCTAAAGGAATAAAATAGAGAAAAATAATTTAATATAATACTGGAGTATTTTATGGCTAGGAACTGTACAAATAATAGATTCAATTGTTAAGTAAAAACTGGTAAATATCAAACATTTCAACAGTGTTCACAGCATCTTCACCATGAGAAGATTCGTTCTCAAGAAACCACTTTCTCTGCTCATTCATAAGAAACAGCTCTTCATTTGTTCACATTTTATCATGAGATTGCAGCAATTCAGTCATTATCATCAGGCTCCACTTCTAATTGTAGTTCTCTTGGTATTTTCACCACATCTACAGTTACTTCCTCCACTGAAGTCTTGAACCCCTCAAACCCTCAAGTCATCCATAAGGGTTAAAATCAACTTCTTCCAAACCCATGTTAATGTTGAAATTTTGACCTCCTCTCATAAATCATGGATTTTTTGTTGTTGTTGTTGTTTTAGAGACATGGTATTACTCTGTTGCCTAGGCTGGAGTGCAGTAGCACAAACATACCGTAACCTCCAACTCCTGAACTCATGCACCCTCTCGCCTCAGCCTAATGAGTAGCTAGGACTACAAGTTTGTGTCGCCATGCCCGGCTATTTTTTTTCTTTTTTTTGGTAGAGATGTGGTCTCACTATGTTGCCCAGGCTGGTCTTGAACTCCTGGTTTCAAGTGATCTTCCCCCTTTGGACTCCCAAGTTGCTGAGGATACAAGCATGAGACACTGCACCCAGCCAAGAAATGTTCTTTATGGCATCTAGAATGATGACTCCTTTCCAGAAGGTTTGCAATTTGCTTTGTCCAGATCTATCAGAGGAACTACATATAGCAGCTATAGCCTTACAGAATGTATTCTTAAATTATAAGCCTTGAAAGTAGAAATTACTCCTTGATCGATGGGCTGCAGAATGGATGTTGTGTTAACAGGACTGAAAACAATACTTATCTCCTTGTACATCTTCATCAGAACTCTCCGGTGACTAGATGCATTGCCAATAAGCAGTAATATTTTAAAAGGATTATTTTTCTTCTGAGCCATAAGTCACAACATTGGGCCTACTAAATATTTAGCAAACCATGCTATAAATAGATATGCTGTCATCCAGGCTTTTTGGCTTCATTTATAGGGCACAGGCAGAGTAGATTTAGCATAGTTCTTAAGGGCCCTAGGATTTTCAAAATGGTAAATGAGCATTGGCATCAACTTAAGGTCACCAGCTGCATTAGCCCCTAACATGAGAGTCAGCTTGTTCTTTGAAGCTTTGAAGCCACGCATTGACTTCTCCTCTTTAGCTATGAAAGTTCTCGATGGCATCTTCTTCCAATAGAAGGCTGTTTCATCTACATTGAAAATCTGTTGTTTAGTGTAGCAACCGTCATCAATTATCTTGCTGGGTTTTCTGAATAACTTGTGGCAGCTCCTTGCTCTTTCATGTCATAGAGATGGCTTCTTTCCTTAAACCTCAGGAACCAATCTCTGCTAGCTTCCAACTTTTCTTCTGCAGCTCCCTCATCTCTGTTCATAGAATTGAAGAGAGTTAGGGACTTTGTTCTGGATTAGGCTTTGGTTTAAGGGAACGTTGTGGCTAGTTTGATCTTCTATCCAGACCACCCACTTTCTCTATATCAGCAGTGAGGCTGGGTGGCTTTCTTATTCATGTGTTCACTGCAGTAGTGTTTTAAATGCCCTTCTAGATCTTTTCCTTTGCATTCATAACTTGGCTACCTGTTTGGAGCAAGAGGCCTAGCTTTCAGCCTGTCTCTCCTTTTGACATGCCATTGTCACTAAGTTTAATCATTTCTAGCTTTTGATTTAAAGTGAAAGACATGTGACTCTTCCTTTCACTTGAATACTTAGAGTCCATTGTAGGGTTATTGATGGGCCTAATTTCGGTAATGTTGTGTCTCAGGTAATAGGGAGGCCTGAGGAGAAGGAGAGAGATGGATAACAGCTGGTCGGTGGAGCAGTCAGAACACACACAACATTCACTGATTAATTTCTCAGTCTCCTGTGAGCACAGTTCATGGGGCCTCCCTCAAAACAATTACAATAGTAATGTCAAAGATCACTAATCACAGATCATCACACAGGTATAATAATAATGAAGAAGCTTGAAATGTTGCAGAAATTACCAAAAGGTGACAGAGACATGAAGTGAGCATATGCTGTTTGAAAAATGGTGCTGATAGACTTGATCAAGGTAGTGTTGCCATAAACCTTCGATTTGAAAACAAAAACAGAAAACAGAAACCCTTGGAAGCGCAATCAAACAAAGTGCAATGAAATGAGGTATGCGTATACTATAAAACTCCAGATAAAAAGAACTATACATAAATGTATGTACTCCAGGCCATGATTATTGATTCTGAAACTACTTAATGATATACCAGGAACAAGCAAATTAGTAAATATATTATAGACAATGACAGTCATGATTCTCATTGTTGGAGATAGTTACAAATATAGAAAGTAGGCAGTCTAGAATGAACCCTGTGGTGCTAAACAGGTGTCAGTATGATCTAATGATTTTTATTAATATATATACAGATATCTAGAAATAAAAATGTATGGAGATAGGTGTGTGTGTATATTTCCTAATCTGTCTGCTGAGAGGGCCTGGAAGCAGTAACAAAGGTATAATGACAAAGTAGCAATGAATACATTTGGCCACGTATTGGTTTCTCAATACAATTTCCCCAATAAAAGTAATCAAGGCTCCTGGAGAAATGGTTTATTTCAGGCCTGGGACAGGGAAAGTATAATATGAGCCTGGATCATTTTTGCAGTGCCAGAAAGTAAGGGAGTGCCCAAACATTGATGGCAAAATGTCAAAATCACATAGGAGCCAACTTAAAGGAACATTTAATGACCAAAGCTGGGACAATTTCAGCAAAAAATAAATAATGGTTGTATTAGTCCATTCTCACACTGTTATAAACAATTACCTGAGACTGGGTAACTTAGGAAGAAAAGAGGTTTAATTAACTTACAGTTCCACAGGCTTAACAGGAAGCATGACTAGAAGGCCTCAGGAAACTTACAACCATGGCAGAAGGGGAATCAAGCATCTTCTTCATGTCCTGGCTGGAGAGAGAGAGAGTGAGGGAGGAAGTGCCACACACTTTTAAACCATCAGATCTGGTGAGAATTCACTCGATATCATGAGAACAGCATGGAGGAAACTGCCCCCGTGATCGAGTCACCTCCCACCAGGTCCCTCCCCCCAACATTAGGGATTACAATTCAACATGAGATTTGGGTAGGGACACAGAGCCAAACCATATCAATGGTAATGATGGAGTAAAACCCATAGAATAAGATAAATATCTTTGAGCTGATAAATAATTGAAGAAATAAGTGGAGGAGAAGGTATAAGCATTTCTTATGGTAGAATTCCAATAAAAAAACGTGGAAGGGAGAATTGAAATAGAAAGTCACCTTTTAACAAACACCCCAGTAACAATAGTAGGCAAAATATCATCAATAGATGCTAAAATTATATGTGTACAGTTATGATGTGAAATAGAATTTTGCAGCATTTCGAAGTATTTCTCCATGAGCTGTGTAAGAATTACAAAGAGAAAAATAGAAACTTCACAATGGGGAAACATGGAGGACACCACCTTAACCAGGTGGTCAAAGTCAGAACTGAGAAGACATGCAGACATCACGAACTCCCTGACAGGATGCACTGAAAACAGCACGTCATTTCTGTGGCATTCTTGTCAAAGTGCAAAGCCTCAATGTAATCATGAGAAAACATCAGGCAAACTCTGGCAACATATGACATCAGTTATCCTAGCTAAGTAGCCCCTACCTTTTGGACAGTGTGTGTTTACTCTTGTTTCACCATTCCCTGTGCCTCCACAATTTTGAGTCTGGGTCTCACTGTGTGTGTGCCATTGATTTTCTTATAGTATCAAATTATTCACTGCAGACTTCTCCGCCAAAAAATACAAAAACAACTTTCAGTGGAATGAGAGAGCCATGTACTTTAAAAAAGGGACAGAAAATATTACTTTGTGGGAATGAAGAACATCCAGAAGTGTTTAAAATGCCAACTCCAATCCAGCTTCACTAGTGTACTTACTTGCCTGGCATTAGCGAAATTTTTATTGGGTAAAGATAAAAATAAGAAGAGATATTTAAATAGATAAAACAACCTGAGTTAAGGATTGATTAAATATTTATCTTTGACCCATCTATGAATAACAGATATGTTAAACATTCGATTAGATAGATAGTATTATGTCACTTGAGATTTGCGAATTTATATACATATAATTGGTAGGATAATTAGATGGAGATGGATAGCTTGAAATGAGAAGAAAAGCTAGGAAGCACTGCAGTCATGTAGAATATAATGTTGAGAGCTTGAACCGGAATTATGGGTGTGGAAATAGAGAAGGAAAGTAATATATAGTAGATGGTTCAGAGGAATGTCTGATAGGACTCGAGATCAATTGGATGAAGGGACTCAAAAAAAAATAACTATTAAGGTTTTAAGCCTGATGATGCCTGGAAACCATGTGGTGGTTGGAAAAAGATGAATGTAGAGAAAACACTTGTATAACTATTAGAATTAATGAAAATTGAACTCATCAATGTGTGACAAGGATGCCCTCACCTACTACCCAGCAAAATCAAAATGGTTATGCCCCCTATGTCTCATATCACCCTTGCACAGAACAGTGGAAGGGAAAAACTAATTTCCACCACAGCCACATTCACTAGAATGTGGTTTGGACTTCTCCAGAATCTCATTTCTACGTAACGGGCACTGAAGTGGCTCAGCAGCCAGAGCTGCCCATCATTCTTCCATTTCTACACCTATTTTCCAGAAACAACAACCAGATGGCTTCTTGAAGTGCTACTGCCTTTTTCTGAGTTTTATTGTCTTTGCTTTAAGCAGCATAATGAATTAGAAAGTACGTGATCTTTGGTAGTCTGACACACATAAGTTCAAAGTCAGCTTTCACATTTTGTTAGCTATGTGACTTTGAGTAAGATACACAATTTCCCTGCTGCAATTGGAAAGTTCCAGATTTAGCGAATAAAAATACATGATGCCTAGTTAAATTTAAATTTCAGATAAATAATGTATTATCTTTTATATATATCTTTTATATATATTCATATATATGAATATGTATCATATAATAACTGGGGCATACATATAGTAAATTTTTTATCATTTATTTGAAATTTAATTTAGTGTCACTTTATCTGGCAGCCCTATGAAATTGTGATGTACAGTTACTATTTTTAAAATCATTTATATTTTCATTAGGTTGGGTTTTTAGGAACTATACCTTTTGGCAGAGACATCTATATTATAATCTATCAGATTTTGAATATAATGTTTTGACATGGCTATCTGTATTGTTAAAAAATTTAAGAGCAATCTGTGTAAATATATCTGGTAATAGCCATTTTCTATCATTTGATTTCTTGAAATTTGGGTCATGGCGGATATAGTAGTTTCCTTGAGCTGCCTTAGCAAATTATTCCAAACTTGGAGGCTTAAAACAACAAAACAGTTATTATCTCAAACCAGGACTCCAACAATCAAGATGTGGTAAGGCAGCATTCCCTCCCAATGCTTCTCTCTCTCTCTCTCTCTCTCTCTCTCTCTCTCTCTCTCTCTCTCTCTCTCTTTCTCCCTCTCTCACTCTCACTCTTACCCTCACTCTCAGAGACAGGGTCACCCAGGCTGGAGTGCAGTGATATGATCATAGCTCATTGCAGCCTCAGACTCCTGGGTTCATGGAATCCTCCCACCAAGCCTTCCCAGTATCTAAGACTACAAGTGTAAGCCACTGTGCCCATCTGGGAGAATTCTTGACACTTTCAACTTCTGGTGGCTGCAAGCATTTCTTGGCTTATAGATGCATCACTGTAATCTCTGACTCCATCTTTGTATGGCCTTACCCTGTGTGTCTCTGTGCCTTATATCGCCCTTTCCTTTCTCTTTTAAGGACACCAGTCATTAGATTTAGGCCCCACTCTAAATCCAGGATGATCTCATCAAGATCTTTAACTTAATTACATCTTCAAAGATCCCATTTCCAAGTAAGGTTATGTTCATAGTGACTAGGGGTTAGGATTTGGACATATCTTTTGGGAGGACCCAAGTTAACACACTACAGGAAACAATTCCTTTTCTTCATGTACTAGGAACTAATTTAAATGATCAACAAAATGACTGACAAAGCCAGTCTCCCAAAAGATGGGGTATTTCCCTGCCCCCTGTGATGAACTCAATACATGAAACTGGAAGTGAGTGTCAAGCAGTGCATTCTTTATTCAATGACCATGAAATTGAGAAGTGAGAGCATAGCCCACAAATTGATTTCTCAATTGGTAAGGGGTGAGGGGGTTAAGATATAGGGTTTCTCCAATGAAGGGGTTGGACATTAAAAGCAAGGGGAAGAATAGGCATGTCTTCCAGAAATGGGCGGCCTTCTTTTTTTGTCATTTTATGGCTTCTTCTGGTCATTGTCATGGTAATTGTCATTGTGCTGATGGGAGCATTATTTAGCATGGAAATGAGGTTATAATGAAGCTTGAGGTCTTTTTGAAGTTGTTCAATGGCTACCTTGGTTCTAACTAGTCTCAGCTTGCCTAGTTACAAAGGAAACTTTTTATCACAGGCGTTCTGTTTCTTAAAGATAAGCAAAGTTTAGGCAGGGTAGAAATTCAGGCTACGTCATGTAGGCATTACACTGGGTAACAAAATGAACCTGTTTATTGTGATTCTATTTATAATAGCGTTAAAAAAATCCTGTGTTGAGTAGATTTAGAGAATCTCATTCACTCCACTCTGAAACTCTTCAAGTCTACTCTGTGAGTCTGATGTGTTATTGCTAAAGAAAAGTTTGCAAGTGTTGTGAGAACAATATTTTCAAGGTGGAATAAGAATGTAAAAGCCTGGGGAATGGGAAAGGTTTTAGAAGTTTACCCCCAGTGAAGTTTCACTTTTTTCACAGTGTACTGAAGTCTCACTAATTGAGAACTTCTACCAGATATAAGGCAGCCAGATCTGAGAAAAATAAATTGTAGGACATTTTTAAAAAAGCAATTCAATTTGATAAAACTGAAACATATTCTGTGTTTTAAGTGTAAACAAAGTCTTTTCCAAGTTAGAGGGCCTGTCAGCAATTTTATCCTTAGAATGTAATTTATGAAAGCTCAGAGAGAGTTATTCTCTGATTGAGGAAGGCATAGTAATATTTCTAGTATGTATTATGCATCAGGTATGATGGTTGGCATTTGCATATATATTCTCTGATCCTAACAAAATTGGTCATACGAGCAGCTGCCACCTTACCACATGTGCTCACGGTTTGCTATTCAGGTTCCTCTTCGTTTTCAATCCTTGGGAATTTTCTTTAGGATAGGATGGACAGTGATATCATTTGACTGTGTCCCCACCCAAATCTCATCTTGAATTGTAGTTCCCATAATCCTGTGTCGCGGGAGGGACCCAGTGGGAGGTAATTGAATTGTGGGGGCGATTACCCTCATGCTGTTCTCATGATAGTGAGTGCTCATAAGATCTGATGGTTATATAAGGGGCTTTTCCCCCCTTTTTCTCATTCTCCTCTTCCTGCCACCATGTGAAGAAGGAGGTGTTTGCTTCCCCTTCCACCATGATTGTAAGTTTCCAGCCATGCGGAACTATGAGTCAATTACACTTCTTTCCTTTATAAATTACCTAGTCTTGGGTGTGTCTTTATTAGCAGCATGAGAACAGACTAATACAGCCATATATCCCAGTTTTTCTGGAAGCAGTTGTGTTTTTTTACCTGTTGACTGACATAATTGTTAATAGTACCCCATTTTACTCTCAAAAGGGCTCCAGTTTCAGAGACGTGGAATATACTGATGCTTCCTAGAATAAATTTCATTAAAGTTCATCAGAAGATTAAGCATTATGGTTGATCCTTTTTTCCCAGGAGGAAAATGCAACTTGTATCATCAGAGAAAGTTTTGTCTCTGAGCAGGTTTCAGAAAGTTTTGTTGGCAGTCCCTTCCTTTGATTTATGCAGCCTTTAATGAGCTATCTTGATCAAGAAAAGGCCTGTCATGTTGTGTTTTTGTGCTAAAATCATGAATTGAACATGTTGCTAGTCAATCACTTTTTGCATTTCCTACAGTTGGTGGGAATCAGGTATAGCCTTGTTTTACCCAGTACAGACACAATTATTTCCATGCATTCTAATGTTATTTCTTTAAACAGTGTTTTGCCATTGGGAAATTTTTTAAAAATTAATTCACAGTAACTTAGTTTTAATGATAGTTATTTCATATAGTCTATGATCTTAAGCTTCTAATATACATATATATATATACAAATACACCCATACACATACACACATATATATACATATACATACATATATATACATATATATACACATACATATATATGTATATGTGTTTATGTGTATGTGTGTATGTGTGTGTATATACATATATAAAAGCTTCTGAATAATACATATATAGCGGGTCCTCAAATAACATCATTTTGTTCAAATTTGTTTTGTTACTACATTGATGAGAAAAAGAATAATCTATTCCCAGCCAGGCCACTGTCTGTGTGGAGTTTGCACATTCTCCCCATGTCTCCCTAGGTTTTCTCTCTGGGTGCTATGGTTTCCTCCCACATCCCAAAGATGTGCATGTTAAATGAAACTTGTCTCAGTCTTTGTGAGAGTGGGGGTGTGTGAGCACAACCTGCAATGAGATAGTGTCTTGCCCAGGGCTGGTTCCTGCCTTGTGCCCTGAGCTGCAGGGATGGGCTCCAGCCTCCTGAACTGGAATAATTGGGCAAATAATTATCTTACTTGTTTTATTAATCTTCCTTAAATGTATGTTATATTAATATGTTCCCACACTGCTATAAAGAACTACCTGAGACTTGGTAAAAAAAAAAAAAAATAAAGAAAGAAAAGAGGTTCCATTGGCTCATGGTTCTGCAGGCTATACAGGGTTCTCTTTCTGAGGAGGCCTCAGGAAATTTACAGTCATGGTAGAAGGTGAAGGGGAAGCAGGCACATATTCATCTGTCCAGCAAGAGAGCAAGAGAAGTGGGGAAAGTGCCACACCCTTTCAAACAACTAGATCTCTTGAGAACTCTATCATGAGAACAGCAAAGGGAAAGTCTGCCCCCATGATTCAGTCGCCACCCACCAGCTCCCTCCTTCAACACTGGGAATTACAATTTGACATGAGATTGGGGTGGGGACACAGAGCCAAACCATAATATTCCACCCCCTGGCCCCTCCCAAATCTCATGTCCTTCTCACATTTTAAAACACAATCATGTCTTCCCAACAGTACCCCAAAGTCTTAACTCATTACAGCATTAACTCAAAAGTCCAAGTCCAAAGTCTCATCTGAAACAAGGCAAGTCCCTTCTGCCTATGAGCCTGTAAAATAAAAAACAAGTTAGTTACTTCCAAGATACAATGAGTTTACAGACATTGGGTAAATGCTCCCATTAAAAAAAGGGAAAAATTGGCCAAATAAAAGAGCTACAGGACCCAAGAAATTCTGAAACCCAGCAGGGCAGTCATTAAATCTTAAAGCTCCAAAATGATCTCCTTTGACACCATGTCTCACATCCAGGGAAGACTGATGCAAGGGATGGGCTCCCAAGACCTTGGGCAGCTCTGCCCCTGTGGCTCTTCAGGGTACAGACCCCGCAGTGGTTTTCACCAGTTGGTGTTGAGTGCCTGCGGCTTTTCCAGGAACATGTTGCAAGCTGTTGATAGGTCTACCTTTCTGGAGTCTGGTTGCCCTCTCCTCACAGCTCCATTAGGCAGTGCCCCAATGGGGACTCTGTGTGGGGGCTCCAACCTCATATTTTCTCTCTGCCCTACCCTAGTAGAGGTTCTCCATGGGGACTCTGCTTTTGCAGTGGGCTTCTGCCTGGACATCCAGGTGTTTCCATACATTCTCTGAAATCTAGGCAGAGGCTCCCAAGCCTCAACTGTTGCCCTCTGTGCACCTAGAGGTTTAACATCACATGAAAGCTGCCAAGGTTTTTGGCTTGAACTCTCTGTAGCAGCAGCCTGAGACATATCTGGGGCCTTTTAGCATAGCTGGAGCTGGAGCAGCTAGGACGCAGGGTGCCATGTCCTGAGGTGGCACAGAGAAGCAGGGCCCTGGGTCTGGCCCCCTAAACCATTTTTCTCTCCTAGGCCTCCTGGCCTGTGATGGGAGGGGCTGCCACAAAGACGTCTGAAATGCCTTGGAGGTATTTTCTTCCATTGTCAGCAATTAACATTCAGCTCCTCTTATGCAAATTTCTACAGCGGGCTTGAATTCTTCCCCAGAAAATGGATTTTTCTTTCCTACCACATGGCTAGGCTGCAAATTTTCCAAACTTGTATGCCCTGCTTCCCTTTTAAATATAAGTTTCAGTTTCAGATAATCTCTTTGCACATGCATATGAGTGTACACTCTTAGAAGCAGCCAGGCCACATCTTGAATGCTTGCTACTTAAAAATTTCTTCAGCCAGATACCCTAAATTATCTCTCTCAAGTTCAGAATTCCACAGATATATAGAGCAGAAACGCAATGCCACCAGTCTCTTTGGTAAAGCACAGCAAGAGTGACCTTTACTCTAGTTCCAAATGAGTTTCTCACCTTCATCTGAGACCTCCTCAGCCTGGACTTCACTGTTCTTGTCACTATCAGCATTTGGTCACAATTTTACATGTCTCTAGGAGGTTCCAAACTTTTCCTCATGTTCCTGTCTTCTTCTGAGCCCTCAAAACTGTTCCAACCTGTGCCCATTGCCCAGTTCCATAGCTGCTGCCACATTTTCAGGTATTGTTATAGCAATGCCCCACTTCTCTGGTACCAATTTTCTGGATTAGTCCACTGTCACACTGCTATAAAGACATACCTGAGACTGGGTAATTTATAAATAAAAGAGGTTTAATCAGCTCGTGGTCTGCAGCCTATACATGCTTCTGCTTCTGGGGAAGCTTCAGGAAACTCACAGTCATGGCAGAAGGTAAAGGGGAAGCAAGCATGTCTTCACATGATGTTGAGTGAGGACCTACTGTATTCTCTTCTTCTTTTACTGTTTTATTTACATAGATGCAAAACAATATCACTCATTGACACCCAAAGACTTCCTTGTTGCATGTTCATAAAACTAGAGACATAAGTTTTGGTCATGCATTGCTTAATGACAGGGATACATTATGAGAAATATGTTAATAGGTGATTTTATTGTTGCGTGAACATCACAGGGTGTACTTACACAAACTGAAATGATATAGCCTACCACCAAAGCTATATGCTATAGCCCATTGCTCTTAGGCTACTATCCTGTACAGCATGTGACTGCAGTTAATACTGTAGGCAATTGTAACACAATTGCAAGTATTTGTATATCTAAACCTGTTACAACATAGAAAAGGTACAGTAGAAATATGATATAAAAGATAAAAAATGGTACATCTGTGTATAGTCCATTCTCATGTTGCTATAAGAAATACCCAAGACTGGGTAATTTATAAAGAAAAGAGGTTTAATTAACTCACAGTTCTGCATGGCTGGGGAGGCCTCAGGAAACTTACAATTATGGCAGAAGGTACCTCTTCACAGGATGGCAGGCGAGAAAATGAATGCCAGCAGGGGAAATGTCAGATGCTTATAAAACCATCAGATGTCATAAGAACTCACTATCACAAGAACAGCATGGGGGAAGCTGCCCCCATGATTCAATTAACTTCCACCAGTTCCCTCCCATGACATGTGGGGATTATGGGATTACATTTCAAGATGAGATTTGGGTGGGGACACAAAGCCAAACCATATTATTCCACCCTTGGTCCCTCCCAAATCTCATGTCCTCACATTTCAAAATATAATCATTCCCTTCCAACAGTCTCCCAAAGTCTTAACTCATTCCAGCATTAACCCAAAAGTCCAAGTCCAAAGTCTTATCTGAGACAAGGCAAGTCCCTTCTGCCTATGAGCCTGTAAAATCAAAAGCAAGTTAGTTAATTCTTAGATACAATGGGGTTACAGGCATTGGGTGAAATACTCCCGTTCCAAATGGGAGAAATTGGCCAAAACGAATTGGCTACAGGCCCCATACAAGTCCAAAATCCAATAGGGCAGTCGTTAAATCTTAATGTTCCCAAATGATCTCCTTTGACTCCATGTCTCACATCTGAGTCACACTGATGCAAGAGGTGGGCTCCCACAGCCTTGGGCAGCTCTGGCCCTGTGGCTTTTCAGGATACTAGCCCCATCCTGGTTGCTTTCACAGGCTGGCATCGAGTGTCTGTGGCTTTTCCAGGCATACAGTGCAAGCTGTGGGTGGATCTACCATTCTGGGATCTGGAGGACGGTGACCCTCTTCTCATAGCTCCACTAGGCAGTGCCCCAGTGAGGACTCTGTGTCGAGGCTCCAACCCCGCATTTCCCTTCCACACTGCCCTAGCAGAGGTTCTCCAGGAAGACTCTACCCCTGCAGCAAACTTCTGCCTGGACATTCAGGTATTTCCATACATCCTCTGAAATCTAGGTGGAGGTTCTCAAACGTCAATTCTTGACTTCTGTGCACCCACAGGCTCAACACCATAAATGGAAGCTTGGGACTTGCACCTTCTGAAGCAATGGCCCAAGCTGTACCTTGGCCCCTTGTAGCCACAGCTGGTACTGAAGCAGCTGGGACACAGGGTACCATGTCCCAAGGCTGCATAGAGCAGGGGAGCCCTGGGTCCAGCCCATGAAATAATTTTTGCCTCCTAGGCCTCTGAGCCTGTGGTGGGAGGGGCTGTCATGAAGGTTTTTGACATGCCCTGTCGACATTTCCCCATTGTCTTCGTGATTAACATTTGGCTCCTCGTTACTTCTGCAGATTTCTGCAGGAGGCTTGAATTTCTCCCCCCAAAAATGATTTTTTCTTTTCTATGGCATCATCAGGCTGCAAATTTTCCAAACTTTTATGCTCTGCTTTCTCTTGAACAGTTTGCCGCTTAGAAATTTCTTCTGCCAGATACCCTAAATCATCTCTCTCAAGTTCAAAATTCCACAGATCTCAAGGGCAGGGGCAAAATGCTGCCAGTCTCTTTGCTAAAGCATAGCAAGAGTCACCTTTATGCTGGTTCCCAGAAAGCTCCTCATTTCCATCTGAGACCACCTCAGCCTCGACATCATTGTCCATATTACTATCAGCATTTTGGTCAAAGCCATTCAGCAAGTCTCTAGGAAGTTCCAAAGGTTTCCTCATCTTCCTGTCTTCTGAGCCCTCCAAGTCTTCAGGCGGTTCTAAACTTCCCCACATTTTCCTGTCTTCTTCGGAGCCCTCCAAACTGTTCCAGCCTCTGCTGATTACCGAGTTCCAAAGTCACTTCCACATTTTTTGGTATCTTTACAGCAGCGCCCCACTCCTCCTGGTACCAATTTACTGTATTAGTCTGTTTTCATGCTGCTATGAAGAAATACCCGACACTGGGTAATTTATAAAGAAAAGAGGTTTAATTGACTCACAGTTCCACATGGCTGGGGAGGCTTCAGGAAACGTACAATCATGGCACAAGGTGCCTCTTTGCAGGGTGGCAGGAGAGAAAATGAGTGCCAGCAGGAGAAATGCCAGATGCATATAAAACCATCAGGTGTGGTGAGAACTCACTCACTATCGTGAGAACAGCATGGAGGAAACTGCCGACATGATTCAGTTATCTCCCACCCTTCCATGATTTGTGGGGATTATGGGATTACAGTTGAAAGTGAGATTTCAGTGGACACAAAAAGCCAAACAATATCAACCTGTATAGGGCATTTACCATGAATGGTGCTTGTAGGATTGCAAGTTGCTCTGGGTGAGTCAGTGAGTAGATGTGGAGACCTAGGACTTTACTGTAGGTGATACACACTGTACACTTAGGCTACACTAAATTTATTTTAAACATTTTTTTCTGTCTTTAATAATAAATCTTTGCTCATTGTAATCTTTTTTAACTTATAAAATATTTAATTTTTAGAATTTTTTGAGTCTTGTCATAACAGCTGAAAACACAAACATATTATACAGCTATAGAAAAATATTTTACCTTTATATCCTTATTCCATCAACTTTTTTCTTTTTTAAATATTTTTAACATTTTAGACTTTTTTGTTAAAAGCAAAGACACAAACACACACATTAGCCAAGGCCTACAGGATCAGAATCATCAATAGCAGTGTCTTTGACCTCCACATCTTGTCCCATTGGAAAGTTTTCAGAAGCAGTAACATGTATGGAGCTGTCATCTCCTATGATAATAATGCCTTCTTTTGGAATACCTCCTGAAGGACCTGCCTGAGACTGTTTTGCAGTTAACTTTTTTTTTAATAAATAGAAGGAATACACTCTAAAATAACAATAAATAGTATAGTATCATAAATACAAAAACCAGTAACCTAGTTGTTATCATTTTCAAGTATTATGTTTTGTACATAACTGTATGTGCTAGTCTTTTATGTAACTGGCAGCACCGTAGCTTTACATCAGTTTGCCACAAATATGTGTGTAATGCATTGCACTATGACATTAGGATACTGCAACATCACTAAGTGATAAGAATTTTTCAGGTCCATGATAATCTTGTGGGACCACCATCATATATGCAGTCCATCGGTGACCAAAATGTCATTATGTGGTGCATGATTGTACTAAATCCTGAGAGTTAATTTCTATCTGGAGACTTTGTAAATGAGTCCAAGACTGCTTCACTGTCCCAGAAAGCTTTGTATATGGTCTTCACACTTTATTCTGAATCAGAGCAAAGGGTCCAGTGGCTCTTCTCCAGTGTTTATCTATAACACTATGTGTGTGGGGGGATTCCTTTCTTCAAGATTCCCCAAATTTACCAGGAGGTGATACTTTACCAAATGTAAGTCTGGGACTCCTTAAGCCATAGACCAGGTACTGCTCCAATTTCTTAAAGAGATTCTGAGAATGATGTTTCCACTATGAAATAGAGTCATATCACACCTAAGTAATATTACTTTTAAAAGTGTTATTTCTTCCATTATTATGATGACAAATTTTCTTTGTTTAATTATGCTGAAGTGGAAAAGAGGATCAATTTTAATTGAGCCTTTGCAAATAACTGTATTGCCATGAAAAATAAAAGGACCCACAAAAGTTCTGTCTATAATATCTGACACTGTTCTCAGCAGTTAATAGACAAGGGCAATCAATACACATCCCATTTTCTTCATCATGTGCATAGACTTTGCCAACGTTATTTTTTTAATAAGATTTGATTATAGAAGAATTTGATTTAAACTAAGTGTAATTTAATTTAGCATCTATTAACAAAGGACAGTTTTATGCTTAACCCATTTTAAAAGTGCATCTCTCAGTTGCATTTATTAGAGACATTGTCCTTAAATTTACCTGACGTTAATTAGCTTGCATTCATGGTTTTCCATATTAAGACTTCCTCAAGGATATGTTCCTTCATGAAATAAGCATAAAGGAAATTTTATGTGTTCCTGGATTTTTATGTATTTTGCCTATAGGAAGAAATATTCTTAGGGATTTAGTTACCTATTGTCTGAAATTGGATAATATAAAGTATACAAAGTATGTATTAACCAAAGTAACAATACTTTATGGCAACTATAACGGAGGTGGTTAACAAATGACTGTGAGATCCCTGGAGGAAGGAAGAGGGACAAAACTTTAACTTTCCAACTAACAACCTGCAGATGAGAGAAATGTGGCTTCCAGGGAAACGGAAAGCAAACGCTCTGCCTCTGCCGAAGGGAAGGAAACAGTGGCATTTAAGCCTTCCCATCTTATGTGCGTATTCATCAGGTTTGGGCAATGTCTACGAATATTTATGGAGAAAGTCAAGCACTCACTCAGTGAGTTAACATGTATGTAACTTACATTCCATGATCACTTTGGGGAGGGGTTTTAACATTAAAATGCAGTGGAATTTGGCCCTGTACGTCAAAAAGTAAACTATAGGGCACAAAGAGATTTTGTGCACAGTCTCTGCAATCTGACTAGAACCAGCTTAGAGTCTCTAGCTGCTTATCAGCAAAGAATGTTTGTAAGGCCAGTCTCCTGCCCAGTCAGTGCTGTTGGCAAGACCCCCAATGTCTTCACACTTTGGGGAAGAGCCACTGGACTGTTTGCTCTGGCTCAGAATAAAGTGTGAAGAGCATATAAAAAGGGATATTGTCAGGCGGTCTACCAGAATCAGTTGGTCTGTGTTTCCTAGAATGGGTTTCTGCCTAACTGCAGGAAGAAAACCTTATGGCACTTAACAGACCTTATAGTAGTTAACAATGCAGGAGTCCATGACCAAATCCTTTTCTCTGCTGTGGCTACTCGATTTTCTCTTGAGAGTCTTATCTTAGCCATAGATAGTCCATCTCCTCTGTTAGCCAGGGATACAATGTTGACAAGGTAAAACAATAAATAGTTTAGCAATTTTAGTTTGTCTCAACATATCAAACCTGTATTATTCTTCCTGTTTGCTTATTTTTTTAAATAATTGACCATGGTCATAAAATATCCAAAGTCAACATAAAATACCAAAACAAAGCATAAAAATACACCCTTTTAAGAATATATTTTCAGTTTGCATAAGACAAAACCTTTCTCATCTATGCAAAAAGCAAATAAAATTTTTACTGCCTTGCATTGAGAACAAACTCCATACTCAGTGACCATTTTCTACTGAACTACCAGTCATTTATAATACATAAGCTTCTTTAAAAAATAATTTTAAGTTATCTCAGTATGTGTGTATTTTAAATATACATACATGTATATGAAATAATGATAAATGATAAATTTTAGATTAAATGTAATTAATTTTAAGAAGCATGAGACACAGTTTTTACTGCATTGATTTTACCCTTGTAATTTGAATGTGTTTATCTGGTAAACACATTTATGTATTGAAAAAATACATAAATAAAAACTGCTCAGTTACCTCTACTGTGAACTGTGTACTTTGGTTGATAATGATGTATCAGCGTAGGTCCATTGATGATAACAAATGTACCATTTGATGAGGGATGTTGATAGGTAGTACAGGGGCAGAAAGAGGGTAATCCCTCCCTTCCCCATTATAAAGAGTCATGACTGACATGCCCAAAACAATAAAAACAGGTGGACAAGGGGAAAGCATAACACATTTACTACATGCACGTGTGTACACGTGAGTTGTACAGAATATGAACTCAAAGAGAGGCCAGATGTTTGAGTAATCTCCCTGAGCTGTTCTCAGAAGAATAAATGAAAAGTCAGTCTAGCCATGGTGATGACTCCCAGTCTCTTCTCTTTTTCCATGGTTAAGCTTTCATGGTTATCTGATGTTCCTAGGAAAGGGGTTTAAGAAAAATTGCATTTCTTTTGGAAGAAATTTTTGTCAGTAAGATAAAGAATTCCAGAAAGAGCTCTTTCCTACACTTGTCAGGGGAAATAAGACAAGGTTAGAGGGATTTTGATTCTGAGGCAGCTTTAAAGGTCTCTCAGCATGTTGAAGCACGAGTTTTTGGGATATTAACACTAGGGAGGCTATGCAAGTGTGGGGGCAGGAAGTACATGGAACTTTCTGTACTTCCCATTCAATTTTGCTACAAACCTAAAATTGGCATAAAAAATAAACTGCTCTGTGGTGATCGAGTACCTTAGCTCATTTTCTCTTGAGAGTCTTATCTTAGCCATAGATAGTCCATCTCCTCTGTTAGCCAGGGATACAATGTTGACAAGGTAAAACAATAAATAGTTTAGCAATTTTAGTTTGTCTCAACATATCAAACCTGTATTATTCTTTCTGTTTGCTTATTTTTTTAAATAATTGACCATGGTCATAAAATATCCATGTCTCAAGTGAATTATGGATCATGGAATTGTAATTTATATTGGCATGACAAAGCAATACAACTACTGTTAATATCAAAACTCATCAGAGAAACATGCAGTCGGCCCTCCCATGTCCATGGATTCAACCAACCTTGGACTGAAAATATTCAGAATAAAATATGGTTGGTTGCATCTCTACTGAACATGTACAATTTTTCTTGCCATTATACCATAAACAATACAGTATAACAATGATTTACTTAGCATTTACATTGTATTGGATATTATAAGTAATCCAGAGAGGATTCAAAGTCTAAGAGGATGCGTGTAGGATATATGCAAATACAACACCATTTTCTATCAGGGACTTGGGCATCCATGTATTTTGGTATCCACGGGGCATCCTAGAGCCAATCCCCCATGGATAATGGGAAATGGCTATAGTATCCTAAAATTTTACTCAAGGAATCCTAATGAAATAGCATGCAGCATTGCCTGAAGTTGACAACAACCACATTTTTCAAAACAAAGGCATGACTTATTCTAATTCGATTTACTTACATTCAAGTTTACATCCACACGGTCTTTAATTTTTAGTGTAATGAGGATAACTTTCAGTGTAATCACGTACATGTTCTATAAGACATGTATACAAATTTTTTCAGTTAATTAGGCCTCCTTTCAGAAAATAAATTTGATTTACATGAAGTAAATGTTTGCTTTAAATATTATATCCCACTCAGTGATATAGGCAGAGAAAACATTTAACTGTCTTTTAAGCCAATTTAACAAAACAATTTAAGTTGCTCAACTGTTTTCTGTGATCAGAAATATTGAATACTTAATTAAGTGAACCAAAAAGAATAATTTTATAATTATTTAACATTTATTTGCCAAGTAATATTAACACCTTTAAGTCTTGATTTAAAGTCTTGAGACAAAAAGGTTTCTTAAGGGCAGGCTGTTAGCATATCTTTTGTTCTTCACCTTATCTTAGTAACTGAGACACCTATTAACTAGAACTCTATCATTCCCTTTTGAGCATTTTTTACTTCCATTTGTGTGGGGGTGGGGAGCTTTTGCAAGTCCTTATTCTAAATTTTTATGCATCTATTAATCTCAAAAACCAATCAAAATATGAGCTCTATTCCATTTGAGAGACTATACAATTTTGCTGATTTCCCTTGGGAGGAAAGCAAAGGTAATTTGTCAAAAAGAAAAGTTCTATCTTAACATTGTTTAGGGATAACTCTTTCCCCAGAAAAGAAAGTCATCTTGCTCAATTGTTTGTTCTGTCTTTTTAGAATTACAGCTATGTCTTCAATTCACTCTGCAAGGAGAGTCTCACTTTCTTTTCAAGTTCTTGGTGAAATTAGCAATCAGATTCTTTCCTCTCCTTTTATTTTTAAAGTGGACTTACTCATTTAACACGATGTTCTTATAACATGCATAGTCACCCTTAATTTTTAGAAAAGCACTAAGAAAAGGGGTAGTTGTAGATATAGAGAAGTGATTCTCAAAGTTTGGTACCCACACTTGTGAATTCTTGGGCCCCATCCCAGACCTACTGAATCATAAACTCTGGAAATGAGACCCACGAATCTGTGTTTTAAGAAACCTTCTATGTGATTCTGATGCATGTTGAAGTTTGAGAACCACGGATGTAAAAGATATCTAAAGAATCTCACTGCCCCCCGTCTTAGTCAGCGTTCTCTAGAGGGACAGAACTAATAGGATAGATGTATATATGAAGGGGAGTTTCGTAGGAGAATTGACTCACACAATCACAAGGTGAAGTCCCACAATAGGCCGTCTGCAAGCTGAGGAGCAAGGAAGCCAGTCCTAGTCCCAAAACCTCAAAAGTAGGAAGCCGATAGTGCAGTCTTCAGTCTGTGGCCAAAGGCCCAAGGGCCCCTGGCAAAACACTGGTGTAGATCCAAGAGTCTAAAAGCTGAAGAACTTGGAGTCTGATGTTCAAGGTCAGGAAGCATCCAGCATGGGAGAAAGATGTAGGCCAGAAGACTTACCCAGACCAGTCCTTCCACATTCTTCTGCCTGCTTTTATTCTAGCCCTGCTGGCAGCTGATTAGATTGTGCCCACCCAGATGGAGGGCGGGTCTGCCTTTTGCAGTCCACTGACTCAAATGTTAATCTCCTTTGGCAACACCCTCACAGACACACCCAGGAACAATACTTTTCATCCTTCAATCAAATCAAGTCGACACTCAGTATTAACCATCACACCCCTCAACATACACACACTACAGATAATCACTTGCAGTCACAGGCAGACAAACAGAAAACTGCCACACCAATTACTATATACAATTTTAACACATAGGTAAATAAATGAAACTATGACCACAAACTGTATGTTAAAAAAGCTTCCTAGGACAAACTACAAATGTAGCCAAAAGATCTCAGTAAAGGATTATTTACTCACCGTAGGCTATTTTCCTAAGAGTTTTGATCACACTCTAGTAACACAGCTATATGGAATTCCTCAAATACAAAACACAGACCACAGAATTCCTCAGATTTAAGACACTCTCTAGATACCCGTGAAACTCTCTGGCTCTTCTTCCTGGAGCTCCTGATGTCCTTTGTATACTAAATTGTCCCTCCAGCCTCACTCAGGCCTTCAGGCCAATTTCATTTCTCTAAGGCCTACGGTTAGATGACAAGATACCATAAACCACAGAATAAGAGCCAGTTCAAATGGTCATAGACTTTGACATAGGGAGCTCTGAACCTGAGCTCAAATTGCCATGTCTTTGAAAAGTCTGGTAGTTTGTTGGTCATAGCTGCTCTTAGGAGGACAGAATCTTGCGTGTTCTTGTGTTGTTCCTTAATCGAAAGGTTGACATCTGCTTGACTTTGGTAGTTCCTATGAAGCAGAGAATTTCAATGGGTCTTCCCAGAATTGTGGGGAAAAAACCGTTTAGTCAATTTAGTTATTGAGCATGTGTCTGAAATCTATTGCAATCTTGTTTGCAAGTGAAAAGGCCCTTTGCAGGCCAATTTAAAGATTCACTCCCAAGAACATTTTATTGATAAGTTTTTAATGCCTACATTTCTTTATTTCATCCTAAAAGCAAACACAAAGTTTCTAGATCAGAGGCCAGACATTATTTACGGTTCAGTTCCCCATCTGTACTCTCCCCCTGTGGAGGGATGCAATGAGAACAGATGGCAGCTGCATTTACAGTGGGTTGGATTGCTGGAGAGGAGCCCCAAAACTATGCCATTTAGAGTTTCTGTAAAAGCTGTTGCACAGCAGCCCCTCATCCCATCTTGAGAGAGAGAAAAAGATTTAGTTTTTCTAATATAAACAAATCATCTCTTGGGAAAATAAGGGAAGGTTCCTAGGTCTTTGCAACCCTTTGAAATGTAAAGTCATGGCTCTATGAAGAGAAAATAGTCCTGGGAAAAAAAGAGACATTATCTTTACAGCATGAGTTCATCATTTATTATGTTCCAGGTGTTGTTTTACACTTCTGTATTGCATAGATTTTGTCCACTGTGAATACGTGTAGATGCTCCGTAATTATGACCTGAAGTGAAATTTTCTTCATAGTTGAAGAATGATCAATTTATCCCTCTAAACATTTTTAAAGTGTAGACTGCTGAGTTGTTTAGTATTTTAAAGGATTCTAGTTTTATGTCAAAATGTACTCAAAGGCAATGACTACAAACATTGTATGTTTAACTTTTTCTAAAACTTCTAGTGTTTTGGGAACTTACTACGTATTGAAAAAAAGTTATCTGAAAATAAATCCTAGTTGAATTGAAAAAGAATGAACAAAGCTTTGTTCTTTATTAAAGAAATTCTGTGAGTGTAAGTTATAAGAATAACTAAAATAAATGGCTTTTCCCAAAAGCATAATCAAGTTTAAAAATTCTCAAACTTCAGTTAATTTCTTTTAAATGATATTTTATTAGCAGTCTGTCATAGAAGAAAAGACCATGTTTTTAAGTTGAGTTCTTCAGAAGCATACTCTGAGACAGGAATTTGTCTTTCTTTGAGAGACAATTCCGGAAAGCAGTGCTAAGGCAGATAAAAGGAAGGTTGAGATGGGGAAGGGATGGGGGCCAACACAGGGTGAATTAAGAGGGCCTCTGGGACCTCTGGGACAAGTGTAGAGTTCTCAGCAAGTCCCACTGAGGAACCAAAAAGATGGGTATTTATTTAGCAATTCCCATTTGCCATCTGTTAAGCCCTACTCCCAAAGACATTGTACCTGTGGCCTGGCCTATGCATGGGCCAAACGCACTCCTGTGGCTGCATAAAGTCGTAGGAGCTTGAGATTGGAATTGGAGATACTGTGTAGGAGAACTGAGAGTGCAGACAGGATATGGCTGGCTACCCACAGCATTTGCTACAGCACAGGTCTGGTGTCAGACCAGAACTAAGTCACTGAATAAGCTTCAAAATGGGGATAACAAAAGCATCTGCCTCCTACACTTGTTCTAAAGAGTAGATGGGATTCTACACATAAGGTTTTAGAAAAAGGCATAAAGTAAGTCCTCTGATAATCTGTTTTCATCATCATCATCATCATCATCATCATCCTCAACATTATTATACTTAGCATCATATTAACTAAAACGTTATTGGTGAAGTTAGTGAATATTCCCAAATGAGAACTGCAAGGATTTGTTTTCTTTTCCATTATTTTTAGTGAGTATTATATATTCCAATGGGCTCTGGCACGCGGCATTGTAGTTTTGTCTTTTAAGAATTCCTCTGGCTGTATGCTACAGTGATGCACCACAGTTTTTGTCCTACCAAGTGACTGCTGTTAACAGCCTACTCATTGTATGCCTTTGTATCACTCCAACACAACAGCCCATCTGCCTCACATGGGAAAAATAGTAGGATTTTGTTGAGAGTTTTAAAAAGCAACTGTTTTTCTGATGTTGAGGATATTTCCCATACATTCATTCATGTATTTGTTTGTTTATTTATTTATTTTTATTTTTTTTTGAGATGGAGTTTCACTCTTGTTTCCCAGGCTGGAGTGCAATGGTGTGATCTCGGCTCACTGCAACTTCCACCTCCTGGGTTCAAGCGATTCTCCTGCCTCAGCTTCCCTAGTAGCTGGGATTACAGGCGCCCGCCACCATGCCTGGCTAATTTTTTTTGTATTTTTAGTAGAGACGAGGTTTCACCATGATGGCCAGGCTGGTCTCAAACTCCTGACATCAGGTGATCCACCCGCCTCAGCCTCCCAAAGTGCTGGGATTACAGGCGTAAACTCTTTAAAGCATGAAGCTGCTGTTTTCTTCTTAAATGTCACACTAATCTTCTGTTAATCATTTCAGAATTGTACTCTGAGATCACTGAAATAAAATTCCAAACAGAAATCATTATCGGTTTTCAAGAGGGCAAGAAAAAGCTAGAGAAAACAGTTAGTATTTCAGAGTATTTAAAATTATTGGAAATTAATTTTTACTGATTTCAGTTTCACTGCTCTGATTCAATAATGTTGGAAAGCAAAAATATTTAATGTTATGAACAATGTCTTAGCAGAAGTCAATAGATATTCCTTTTTACTCCATCACATGCACCAAAAAATCAATACGGTGACAAGATAGCACATCTCAAATAGAACATCATTGCTCCTGAAATACATTAAGGCACAGTATCAGTAATGCAGAAAATTGAACAAGATTATATTTTAACTTTTCACAAGAAAATAAGGAATTATCTTTAAAATGTCATTGGGAAAGACAAAAGCATTGTAGATTTACCATTGCTCAATGGTACAAACACTGATGATTTATAGATTTAAAATTGTGAGGCAATTTTTCTCCTATGCTTCTGATCTACAATTAGATATTGTGCTTTTAGGTGAATGGCAGGGGCTTGTGAAGAGAAAGCATTGCACACCTCTTTTAGTAAGTCCAGCACAACTGTAAGAAATCTAGTAGGAAAAGTGATATGGGAATTCTCTGTGGAAAGAGGGCTGGTCATAACCAGGAGGGCCTCAGAATTTCTGTGATTTATCTGTGCCTTGAACCTCTGACTGGAGAACCTGTTTTGAGGTCTGGAAAATTGGATGTAATAATTCAGCTAAATAAGGCTGGATTTAAGACTTGTGGAATAAGAATTCTAAAATGACCTCTAATGATCCATGTCTTTGTATAATTCCCTCCCCTTCAGAGTGGATAGAATCTGTGATATAATGGAATATCACTCTTGTGATTGTGCTAATTTTGCAAATGTAATAAATGTTCTTAATCAATTTTGAGTTAATCAAAAGGGAGATGATCTTTGGTGGTCTTAATCAAGTGAGTTCTTTAAAAGGGACTGGAGCCCTCCTTGAGCTAGCGTGACCCTCTTGCTGGCCTTGAAGAGGCAAACATCCAGGCTGTGAATTGCCAATGGAGAAGAATGATCTCTGGCAGCTAAAGGCCTCAGTTCTACAACCGTAAAGAACTGAATTCTGCCATAACCTGAATGAGCCTGGGCCAAGATCCCAGGGTCCAGATGAGAACTCAGTCTAGCTGATGGCTTGATTGCAGCTAAATGGAAAACTCTTTTTCTATACTTACAGCACTTCT
The DNA here is from genome assembly GCF_000001405.40 of Homo sapiens. Taxonomy (NCBI): domain Eukaryota; kingdom Metazoa; phylum Chordata; class Mammalia; order Primates; family Hominidae; genus Homo; species Homo sapiens. Next base: position 94,990,297 of record NC_000005.10, on the reverse strand, counting down.
GACACCAAATGTGTGGGATTTCCACACCAAGTGATTCTCCAATTCTCTGTGAACACCATCTGTGTGTCCAGTGATTAAATTCAATTTCAACGCTAATTACCCAGTGTTAACACAGCCCATGGTGGAGGGCTCAGCTCCACATGATTGCCCCCGCTTCAGATGCCAATCCCAAGTCTAGGCCACCCATACTTTTGACCAACCAGCTACAAATCAGGAGATTGTACCGTCCCCTTTTTGGGTTCAGTAATTCACTAGAAAGGTTCACAGAACTCAGAAAAACAGTTTACATGCTGTTACTGGTTTATTATAAAGGATACAACTCAGAAACAGCCAAATAGAAGTGAGCACAGAACAAAGTATGTAGGAAGGGACATGGAGCATCCATGCCCTCTCTGGCTGTGACACCTTCCAGCACATCAGTGTGTTCACCAACCCAGAAGCTCTCCAAACTCTGTTGTTTAGGGTCTCTATGGAGGTTTCATTATGTAGGCATGGTTGATTAAGCCACTGGCCATTGGTGATTGATCTCAATCTGGATCCCCTCACCCTTCCCCAGAGGTCAAGGGATGGGGTTGAAAGTTCTAACCCTCTAATCACCTGTTTGGTTCCTCTAGCAACCAGCCTCATCCTGAAGCCATCTAGAGACCCCAGCCACCAGTCATCTCATTCACACACAAAAAGAGACACTTACCACTCCAGAGATTCCAAAGGTCTTAGAAGCTTTTGTGTCAGACTGGGGACTAAAACTAAATATTGTAACAAAAGATGCTTCTATCGCTCAAGAAATTACAAGGATTTTAAAAGCTCTGTGCCAGGAACTAGGAGCAAAGACCAAATATACATTTCTTATTTTGTCTCTTCCTGTGAGACTGAGCATTTAAGCCAAGCCTGACCTACAGAAACTGTGAGACAATAAATGAATGTTGTTTAAGCCACTACATTTGTGGTAATCTGTTATATCACAATAGCAACTAATGTAGGGTCTAAGTTAAAGACAAAAGGGACCTTCTTTGTCTTTTCTTCCAGATTGTCCCGCTATTACAATTCCTCTAGAAAATACTCTCAGAAGAAAGGCACGATGGCTCACACCTGTAATCCAAGCACTTTGGGAAGCTGAGGTGGGAGGATTGCTTGAGGCCAGAAGTTAGAGACCAGCCTGGGCAACACAGCAACATCCCATCTCTACAAATTAAAAATAATTTTGTTTTTTTAAAAAAATGAAAATACTCTTTGATATGGTTTGGCTATGTCCCCACCCAAACCTCATCTTGAATTATAGTTCCCATAATCCCCACTTGTCATGGGAGGGAGCAGGTGGAGATAGTTGAATCATGGGGGTGGTTTCCCCCATCCAGTTCTCATGATATGAGTTAGTTCTCGCAAGATCTGATAGTTTTAGAAGGGGCTTCCCCCTCTGCTGGACTCTCATTCTCTCTCTCCTGCCACCCTGTGAAGAGGTGCCTTCTGCCATAATTGTAAGTTATCTGAGACCTCCCCAGCCATGTGGAACTGTGAGTCGAGTCAATTAAAACTCATTTCTTTATAAATTCCCCAGTCTCGGGTATGTCTTTTATAGCGTCATGAGAACAGACTAATACAATGTTAGGAGACACTCTTTGAGCCACTGGACCTAACCAAATCTTAAATAGCTTCCCTTAATAAGGCTAGAAGGTGAAGTACCAAAAAAAAAAAAAAAAAAACACACACAGGGAATTATTAAATGCCAAGTTGTTTTCGAAAACCTACTTCCAAAAATCATTTTTATAGCATCCAATGAACAGAATGCTGAAGAACACTTTCATTTCACTGAAACATTAGCATTTGAAAAATATATTCATTAATTCCTGAGGTAGCAGTCTTTGAATACAATAGGATCAACTGTCACATTTCTAAATGGAAATGGAGATATTAGGGAAGATTGAAATGACTCAGAAAAAATACACTGCTATTCTGTGAAGCTTTGTAAATCAGCTCAGAAAAAAAAAAGCCTAAATATCTGTTAACGTAAAGGTATTCTTTAAAGACATCTCTCTTCCTAAAGAATAAATATTAATATAAACCCTAAGTGCTTTTAGTATAGTATTCATGAAGAGTAAATATGCTTTAGCTTGGAAAAGACTGCTTTAATCAATTTATAGTGAAACAATGTTAAAGTAAGTAAATAGAAATATAGAAATAAAGACATATCACTAGCCTTGGAAGACATCATTGCTGAAATTTGAATGTGATCATTCTGCTTCCATAGAACCTATTCGTAATGCATGGAGTGACTGTGGCAAGAGGATCCATTTATATGATGGTCACAGAGAAAAAATAAGTTTATTTCAGCTTTCTAATTTTCATACACTTTGATGATGAGATGTAATTACATGTGAAAGTCCAAGGCAAACAGAATAAGCGCACAAACTCTTTGTGTAAAACCACACTGAACATTAAAAAGCTCTCCAAATGATAATTTATTTAGAGGATTCACTTATCAAGTTTTCATCAAATCATGCATTTTACTTATTAAAAGTAGTACACTGCCCACACTGCCCCCTAAAAAAGTGATGAAGTGAAGATATTATTTTCTATGTACATACATTACATTGTGTGTTCAGGTCATGCCAGTGGTGCTGGTGACTATCTTGAGGAAGCCTCAAGGTGAAGCCTACATTACTCCATCCTTAATGGTCCTCTTTTGTACTCTTTTACCCATGAAGTATTTTTTCTTGTGCCAACTGAAGCTGTCTTTTACTTTTGATTTGTACTCCCTTTTAAAACTCCGTAAATATTGACTTTCCCAGAGTTGATATTCAACAGAGGTCATGAAAACTCTGCAGAACATCTGGAATGTAAGAAGGAACACAGAAAGGCATAAAAAGTAAAAATGTTAGATAATCAATTCCACGAGCATTTGCTTAGCATCTAGTCTCTGTGACATCCAGCACATTGGTGATTCTAGGAAGCACCCTGCACACCTGGAGCTCTGTACCACAGTACCCTGCAAAGCCCCATGCTTATAATAATATAGGTGGCAATCATGTTAATTATTATAGCTATCAAATATAGTATAAAATTATTATGAAGACTTACTGAGTTAAGACATGCAAAGTGGTAAGAACAATGCCTAGCCTATAGTAAGCATGCAACACAGTTAGCCTTTCCCATCTGCAATTCTATAGCCGAGGATTCAACCAACTGGGGGTTGAAAATATTTGAAAAAAAGGTAAATAACAATACAATAAAAAAATGCAAATAAAAAACACAATGTAACAAATATTCACATAGCCTTTACATTGTATTTGGCATTGTAAGTAATCTAGAGATGATTTGAAGTATACAGAGGATGCATGTAGGTTGTATGCAAATACTACACCATTTTATATTAGGGGCTTGAGCATCCAAGCATGTGCATGTGGATCCTGAAACCAGTCCCTTGAGGATACCAAGGGAGGACTGGACATGTTAACCATTTTAATAAAAATAACAAACACAAATGGACCTAGGCCCGACGCGGTGGCTCACACCTGTAATCCCAGCACTTTGGGAGGCCGAGGCGGTTGGATCACTTGAGATCAGGAGTTCAAGACCAGCCTGGCCAACATGAGGAAATCCAATCTCTACTAAAAAATACAAAAATTAGCCAGGCATGGTGGCACATGCCTGTCGTCCCAGCTACTCGGGTGGCTGAGGCAGTAGAATCACTTGAACTCAGGAGGCAGAGGTTGTGGTGAGCCAAGATTGTGCCACTGCACTCCAGCCTGGGTGACAGAGTGAGACTCTGTCTCAAAGCAAAAAACACAAAAACAAATGGACCTAAGCACAGGGATAGGGTGTTTTGAAGTTTGAACTACTGGTTGTTTGGGAATCAAAGTCCTTGTAGTACATTCTTAGTAAAACAGATTATGAAAAGAGGACTGAAATTTAGCAGAGGTCCAGGATTACACAAACCAGTGGGTATACATTGCTTTGACATACAGAAGACAGGAGAGAAATAATTAGCCAAAGATTTAAGAAATAAAGATCAGAATATCCTTCCAGTTGTATGAGGAAAAAAAGAAACACGTAATAACAATGATAGTTACCTCCTGCATTTATTTATTTATTTACTTTTGCAGCCATTTTCATGATTTTTATTAGAGGTTGACAGACCTTCACAATACAATTAGGAATAACTTGGGAAACAATGCTTTTCAAATGCTTTTAGTAGCAAAGCATTTTTTGGACAAATGGATGATTGCCCTCCCTTAGAGCTTTAGTATTTTCATATTTTTCTACTTTATTACATCTATGTCCATATGTCAATCACAAACAACTATAATGGAGAAAACAGGCATGCATTCCCACTTACATAATTTTAAAAGTAAGAAAAGCTCACTTTAAAAGAAATAAAACTTTTCTACCAACCATAAGTGAACCAAAACAATCAACTCGATGTCAGATTATACAGACAAGCCATTTATACCATCTTTATCCATTCCTTCCATGGCTGTTTAATAATTAAACAGTGTAATAGACACACACTGTGAGCTCTGCAGAATGGCAGCAACTATGTTTTTCACTTAGTCTCTATATGTTTTGAATCTCCTGCATTTCTGTTGCATTTTTACTTTTCAGACTTTTAAAATTTTACTCTAGCCAAAAGGCCTGGTGTATAAAAGCCAGGCCCACTTCACATATTTTAAGAGTTATGAAGTAACTTTGTCATAATCACAAATTGTTGAAAAATTAGAGAGTAGGACTTGGGTTTGGAATCTGTTTTTTAAGTGAAGATCTTCAGAACTGGCAGTATTCATAGATCTGTGATAATTTAATGGTGGCAGTGTTGTTACCAGTTCTTTCGACAAGGCCTTTGATCGCTATACTGCACTTCCATATAGACATTGTAGGTGTAAAAATTTAAACAGAAGAGAAAATAAAAAATAGATCTTATTTCAAGCAAAATGAAAATTTAAATAACGAATGACTGGGGCTTCAAATCATTTGTCCCAATTAAGGTAGCATTTGTATTCAATTATTAACAACACTGAGTGATTTTAATGTAACATATTAACAATTAAATTATCTTACTGGCCTGTCTCCAAAGAAAGTACTTGGGGGCATTTATCACTCATGAAGTTTTCTGGTGCCTGTTATCACAGGTTCTCACCATTTCTGAAGATGATGGCTTTTGTAAAATCACCATGGTCAAAATCTTTTCTCGAGTACTTGCTCCCTGATGCTGGAAGGACTTGGAGATTTATAAGTAGGGAATAATGCTACCACTGAGATATTTTAATTAGTTTTATCACACATTTGCATACATTTTTGTATAGTACTTAAAATGCCTTGGATATTTTATTTACATCAGAACTCATATTAAATTGGATGTAAAAGGACATTGATGTGTGATTTAATCATCTTCTATAAAGTTTATTAGCAAGTGCTCTCTTTTTGAGTAAAGAAAATGTCAAATATTTTATACTTAATATTCATATTATTTTGTTGAATACTTATCGAATGTGTTCTTAGGTGATTTACCTTTATATTAAATATAAAGTGTATTCATACTTGAAGTTTTGCATATCATGACAATGTATTTGTACTTAAGGCTATAACCTTATGAGAGAAGAAAAGCCATCTATCAGCTTTAAAAGATGATTATTTTCTAAGGTCATGTGTCCATTGTTTTACTTTTTTGTCATCCATGCTTAAAAGAAGGTATTTGTAGTTTAAATTGTAGATTTCAACTCACCACCTACATTCCTCCTTTTTATGTTATTATTATAACATCAAATTTCATCAGTCTGGCGTTCAAGACTCTCTGTTAACTGAGTTCATATGCGCTATTGAATAGTTTTATCTCTCATTAATCCCTAAATCAAATTTTCCGCTTCAGCCAGTGTGGTTTTCATAGATTTCCTAAACGTATACCATGTTCATTTGTTCCTGCAAACAGAAGCTGATTCAGTTCTTTACCTTAAATACTCCTTTGTTTTCTTTGCCAACTCAAATTCCTAGCCAAGAGCCTTTCACTGAGGAGTGTGTTCTTGATAATGGCTATATTTTTAAAAATGTCTTAACAAGCAAAAATTAGTCCAGAGCATTTAAGGTAGTGAGGGATGGTTAATAGAGAAGAATGGGAGACAGATGGGAGAGTAATAAGTCTGGAAACTTATGGAGGATACTGACATCTGATTCAAATATTTAGAAGATTGCTTCATAGAAGAGGAATTACTCATTTTTGCTCTAGATCTAGAGTCTAAAAATAGATTTAGGACTAATCTGGGGGAGTGCTGATGAAGCAGATATTTGACTCACTTCCATGGAATAAAGTCATAACAATTTGAGCAATTCAATATTCATAATGCAGTACAAAATGTCCTGAGCACTGCTGGATTGTTAGAGACTGCCAGTTGTCCAAAAATATCCATTTGCCCCTTCTTCCATCATAGAGCTCTCATGTTTTAGATGGCCACAAGGTTGCTCAGCTTCGGCTGACATTTATCAGCCATCCTTGCAAGGGCTATAGGTCGGAAGGCATAAATTGAAAAGCATGTAATTGTTCTATTGCATTGGGATACCCAGCCATGTATGGTTTTGCAAAAAAGAAATGAATTACTTTCTAGTTGAAACCAATAGATAGATAGATAGATAGATAGATAGATTGACAGACAGACAGACAGACAGACAGATAAAGATAGGATCTCAGTGTGTCACCCAGGCTGGTTGTGAACTTCTAAGCTCAAGAGATCATCTTGCCTTGGCCTCCCAAAGTGTTAGGATTACAGGCATGAGCCACCATGCCTGACCAAGCCACTATATTTTTTGGATCTCTTTGTTATGGCAGCTTAGGCCTCTAGCCAATACACTGATACCATTTATAAGAAAGAAAACTTAGTTACACCTAATAAAAGACTTTCAGCTACTTTTTTATTCCTCTAACTACACCATAAATATAGTCTTCAAGGTAAGTTATTAGTTTTCTATTGCTTTGTAACTAATTTCCGCAAGCTTAAAACAACAACCATTTAATAGCTCACAGTTTAGGTAGGTGAGAAATCTGTGCATGGTATAGTTAGGTTCTCTGCTTAAGTATTACAAGACCAAAATTAAGGTGTCAGCTAGGCTGAGCTCTCACCTGGAGCTCAGAGTACCTGTCCAAGCACATTCCTGGTATTGGCAGAATTCAATTTCTCGTGGCTATTAGTCTGTTTTCTTGCTGTCTGCCAGCCAGGAGTTGCTTTCACCTTCTAGGGGACAGTCCAAGGTACTTTACATGTGTCCCCCTTCATTTTCAAGACAGCAGTAGCATGTTAAATCCCCCTTATTCTTCAAATCTGATTTTTGTTTATGCTATCAAGTAGAGAAAACTCTCTGCTCTTAAAGAAAATGGGATAAAATTAGGTCCACCCTGACCATCTTTTTTTTTTTTTTTTTTTTTTTTTTTTTGATGAAGTGTGCTCTGTCCCCCAGGTAGAGTACAGTGGCACGATCTTGGCTCACTGCAGCCTCTTCCTCCCAGGTTCATGCAATTCTCCCACCTCAGCCTCCTGAGTAGCTGGGACTACAGGCATGCACCACCATGCCCAGTTAATTTTTGTATTTTTAGTAAATACAGAGTTTTGCCCTGTTGGCCAGGCTGGTCTTGAACTCCTGACTTCAGGTGATCTGCCCATCTTGGCCTCCCAAAGTGCTGGGATTACAGGTGCGTGACCATCTTTCTTTTGATGAACTCAAAGTCAACTTATTAGTAACCTTAATTACATCAGCAAAATCCCTTTTGCCATATAAGTAACATAATCATAGACATGAATGAAATTTCATCATATTCAGTCAGTATAAGAAATCTTGGGGGTACATTTTAGAATTCTGCCTACCACAGCAGGAAAGACATTTACCACCAGCTTGAAATGATGGCTATCTCATTATGTGCTCGATACACCATAAGTGTGTCATTGCCTTAAATATATTTTAGTGCTGAATGTTGCCAAATTTCATTTGTTGTTATTGTATCAGTACCAAGATAAACAAGATAACATTGACATTGACAGGAGTCGGAATAGATTCTGGAAATATTTTATATTTGATTATATTGTATATAACTTAAAATCTAAATTTTAAAGGATATAGTGTAGACATAAAGATAAGAAATGTAAAAATCCATACTCATTTTGTATGTATCATTAACCTTTAGGTTAAATTTGTCAAAATATTTCAGGCCAGCTAGTCTTAAAACTTAGTAATTACTTTGAGTAACTTAAGAAAACAATGTACTTGCCCTTTTATGATTGGCCCTTTAAGTACATTCTGTTTTTCTGTTATAGGTATATTCCCTGATCAAAGAACGATAACTTGACATCAGACAAGGCAACCTTAAAACATTTTTTCCTGATTATTCATTTGCTCTCTTATTTTAATTTACTTGAAGAAAAACCCCAAACCCTTTCTAAGGGCCTACAGAGCCCCACATGATCTGTTGCCCCACTCAGCTCTGATTTCATCTCCTTTCATTCACTTTCTAGGCCACTAGCTCCAGCAATGTTAGAATTCTTCAGGGCCTCTGCACTTGCTGCTTTCTCTGCCTGGAAACCTCCTTCATTGTTTCAAGTCCCTTTTCAAATGTGTCCTTATAGGTGAGGCTTTCTCTCCACACCTCATCCAAAATAGCAAACCCTCTGACCACCACGCCTTTACCCAACTCTCTGTTGTTCCATGCTCTGATCACCACACAGCACACTGTATGCTCATATATTGGCTCACTGCCTGTCTTCCTCCACTAGAATGGAGGGAGACTCCTTGAGAGTAGAGATGTTGTTTTATGCACTGCCGAATCCACAGCACCTAACACATGTTGACATCCAGTAAATATTGTTGAATGTGTGAGTGTATTTCAGGAAAGGAAAATCATACTAGCAGGAGAATTTATTCACTCTGAGAGCTAGCACAAATCTTGTAATATGCAAGAGCCCTGTCTTCCTTAACAAAGTAATAGGATGTTAATGGCATTGGAAAAGTAGCAAGTTTAACAGAAAAGACAGAAGGCATAAAAAGAGTGTGTCCCTTGGGAAGTGTATAACTTAGATTGGTTCTACATCTTTTATTAAACTTACCAGTGGAAACCTCGGACTTTTCCCACACCCTGCCAGAGAGTTGAAGGGAATACTGTGTTGAAGATAAGAACAGGGACCCACACCACCTACCACTATACTATATCTGCCGTCTTTGTCTCTATCAGTGACGCCATGCTTTAGCAGGATAATTGCAAGTTTTGAAGTCACTTGTCACATTAAACACTTATTAACTGTTTTTAGCATAAGGGGTGAAGGTTTTTTTTTCATTGTTCCTCAAGTATTTTAGTTACATGGTAGGTGTTAACATTTTGCTTTGCTTATCTTTTTTACTTATAAAACTTATATAACCATTGACTATATGGAATAATATGATAATTGAAGAAAAGCCTTTAATTAATAATCAAGGAGATGGTGGCAACTGTAATCATTTCCTTTAAACCTGTATTTTAAAACGAAAAAAACTTTTAGTTGCTCATCTGTGGAAGCATACCCTTTAAAACTTCTCTCATTGAAGAACATGGATAAGAAGATCAGCTTATTGTATCTTTTTTTTAATGACCTCAAATATAGAATCGTGCCAGTGACAATGTCTTTAGGACTACACATGCTTGGAAAGGGTGTCTATGAAATAAGGACTAGCCATTTCCTTAAAGCTCTAAAGATTCAGATGAGGAAGATTAGCTCTTTAAACATACATTTTATGACATACCTGTCCAAAATCAAAATATACTATATCACATAACATATGTTTTCAACAAATATTGAATTTCAAAAGGAAATTCAATATTTCATTGAATTCCAGTGCTGTGCTGGAAGCATTCAAGCTGCCTCTACATTCCGTCTATATGATCATGTGTCATATGTTACTGGGTTTGTAACTAGAATTTTTGTATTAATGAAAGACTGGACGAAGTCTCTTCCAATGCTAAGACTTTTTGTTTCTATAAGATTATTCATTCATCACTTAGTTGTGACGGGAAGGCATTGGAAAGTGGGAAGATGAATCATTTGCATAATATGACTTTGTTTTGCTTTGCTGCTGTTGTTAAAGTAGGGGGAAAACAATTAAAAGATTATAAATGATTTATCTAAAATATATCTGGGAGTACTGTTTTAAATGTCACTAAATTCCAACAAAATGGTAAGGGTAATTTTATTAAAAGTTCCTAAAACTATATGTTTAGTACTAATTCTTATAAAGCATCATTATTGGAGTAAACTGTTGATCACTTGATATTTCACAAGTTGAATTTTTAAGGTATTTTTTAAAACTAAATGTCAGTGGAGTCCTTTCTTTAAGGGCCTTAAATCTTACATTTTCCTTATTATTAGCACCAAACAATATAATCATGATTTGTTGTGGTTTAAATTTTGTATTTGTTAAGATATATAACTAAACAGATAAACCCGATATATCAATGATTTAACCTAAGAAAAGCTGTTTTTCTTGCTCTTATTATGGTTTAATATGTGTCCGTGTTGGAGGGTGGGGCTCTAGTTCTGCTCCACACAGTCATCACGGGCCCCTAGTGTTTTTTTTCTATCTAGTGTTACTATCTCCCTTTTGGTCCTCAAAGCCTGTGGTTGACAGAGTAGAGTAAGAATCCCACATGGGAAGATTTTTATAGGCCAGGCTTAAAATTGGCACACATTACCTTTTGCATTTATATTCAGTTGACCAGAATGCAGCCAATTGACCACTCCTAATTTTAAAGGAGGCCGGAAGCTATAGCTCATATTGCCAAGCAGTAGCATTCTTGGCTATACTCTACCTCTGGTCACCAAATATGTTTCACTCTTCCTGCATATAGAAGACATTCACTCTTCTCCAAGAGAAACAGTCAAAGTCCCATCTGATCACCGTATACAGCTCTAAGTTCAGGATCTCTGAATAAAAGGATATTCTCTGTCAGGTCTGAATGTGGTTCCTTGTAGCCCTCGGAACTAAGAATCTGCCTACAGTCTCCCTATACACATCCAACATACAATGGTAGAAATCATGGGGGGCACAAGTTACTTGTCAGTATAAATTCTGAAATCCCCATGTCCATAAAGAGGCCAGATGAAGGCCTCTTAACCTGGAGAGTAGGAAAATTGTTTGATTAGAACTTTTCTGTCTGGGAAGAATCCTCTTGTTTGTTGTTCTCCGTGGCAACTGGCCCCTTAATTTGGGGATCTATTTCTTATTCATTGTCCTCTATGGCCATGTCTGAAATGGGTGTGAAGGAGCTTGCTCTCCTTGGGGATTGTACATCTTTCATATCCTGCTTCCTACTAGGGTAATGTCAGGGATCTCAAACAGCTAAGTTCTTTCTCTCAAAAACTCAGTAGGCAGTAGGCTTCTGTGTGCCAATGATCACACCCAATGATCTTGGTTTTTTAAAAAAATTTATTTTATTGTGGTAAGAACACTTAACATGAGATCTACACTCTTAACACATTTTTAGGCATATAGTACAATATTAATATAGGAGCAATGTTGTACAGCAGATCTCAAAAACGTATTCATCTTGTGTAATTGAGACTTTATGCCCATTGACTGGAAACACCCCATTCCCCACCCCTACTACCAGCCCTTGGCATCCACCATTCTACTTTCTGATTCAATGAGTTTGACTATTTTAGATATCTGATGTAAGTGAAATCATGCAGTATTTGTCCTTCTGTGGCTGGTATATAGCATAATGTCTTCAAGTTTCATCCATGTTGTCACATATTGCAGGATTTCCTTCTTTTTTCAGTCTGAATAATATTCCATTATATATATATACCACATCTTCTTTTTATGCATGCATTCATTGATGAACATTTAGGTTGCTTCTATGTCTTGGTTATTGTAAATAGTGTTGCAATGAATATGGGAGTGCTTATTTCTCTTTAAGATCCTGATTTCAGTTCTTTTAGATAAATACTAAAAAGTCAGATTGCTAAATCATATGGTAGCTCTATTTTTATTTTTTTTTAGAAATCTCCATATTGTTTTCCACAGTAACTGCACCATTTTGCATTCCCACCAACAGTGTACAAGGGTTCAGATTTCTTCACATCCTCACCAACACGTGTTGATAGTTTTCCTACCAGGTGTCAGGTGATGTCTCATTGTATTTTTGATTTTCATTCCCCTGATGTTTGGTAACAGCATCTTTTCATATACCTGTTGGCCATTTGTATGTCTTCTTTGGAGAAATGTCTATTCCAGACTTAGCCCAGTTTTAAAATCAGATTATTAGGTTTTTTTGCTATTGTGTTGTAGAAATTCCTTATATATTGGAAACTAACCCCTTATCTGATATATGATTTGCAGATATTTCCTCTAGTCCCATTTGCCTGGTTTTACTTTTGTTTCCTGTGCTTTTGGTGTCATACTCACGCAATCATTGACAAAACTAATGTCATGAAGGTTTTTCCCTGTTTTATAGTTTCATGACTTATATTTAAGTTTTTAATCCATTTGTATTGATTTATGTATATGGGGTAAGATAAGAGTCCAGTTTCATTATTCTGCATGTGAATATACAGTTTTCAAAAGCTATTCGTTGAAGACTATCCTTTCCCTATTTTGTATTCCTGGCACCCTTGTTGAAGGTCAGTTTACCATACAGGCATGGATTGATTTTCATTCTGTTCCTTGGACTATATGTCTGTCTTTTTCACAGTACCATGCTGTTTTAATTACTGTAGCTTTGTAATATATTTTGAATCAGGAAGTATGATGCCTCCAGCTTTGTTTTTCTTTCTCAAGATTTTTTTTGACTATTCGGGGTCATCTGTGGTTCCATATGAATTTTAGGGTTTTTTTTTTCTATTTCTGTAAAAAATATCATTGGAATTTGATAGAGATTTCATTGAATCTATAGATTGCTTTGGGTAGTATGTACATTTTAACAATATTCCATTTTTCAATTCATGAACACAAGATGACTTTTCATTTATTAGTGTCTTCTTTAATTTCTTTCATTAACATTTTATAGTTTTCAGTGTACAAGTCTTTTACCTTCTTAGTTGAGCTTATTTCTAAGTATTTTATTATTTTGAGGGATAATGTAGACACAATTCTTTTTCTTCATTTCCTTTTCAGATAGTTCATTGTTAGTGTATAAAAATGCAATTGATTTTGTATGTTGATTTTGTATCCTGCAATGTTACTTGACTTGCTTATTTATTCTAACAGTTTGTTGTGGAATCTTCTGTTTTTTATGTGTAAGATGACATCATCTGCAAACAGGGCCAATTTTACTTCTCCTTTTCAGATTTGGATAGCTTTTATTTCCTTTTCTTGTCCAATTCCTCTGGATAGGACTTCTAGTCCTATGTTGAATGGAAGTGGTGAGAGTGGGCATCGTGTTCCTTATCTTAGAAAAAAGTCTTTCAGTTTCTCACCATTGAGTATGATATTAGCTATGGGATTTTCACATCTGGCCTTTATTATGAGGTAATTTTCTTCTCTTTTTAGTTTGTTAGAGAAAATACAGTTGTGCTACATGGCCAGGAAGAAGAGGAAACACACATCAGTGAGGGGTAACAATCTCAACCATAACTTCTCTATACACATAAGAAAAACCTTCCTTCTAAATATCTTGTGGAAAAAATAAGAATGTTTTTACTGTATGTTTGCTATATCTATTTATTAGATATTGAGAGATATGTCACAAGTATATCCAAACACCTTTATTCTGGTCTGGTTTCTAGTTGGTTGCTCTGAAGAAATTGAAATCAATCAATCAATCAATCAAATAAAAAACTCTTAGAAGATTGCTACTAAAATTAGATTGTCTAAAAGTACTTTTATTATTTATTTATATATTTATTTTTTGAGATGGAGTCTTGCTGTGAAGCCCAGAATGGAGTGCATTGGCGTGATCTTGGTCACTGCAACCTCCACCTCCCTGATTCAAGCAATTCTCCTGCCTCAGCCTCCCTAGTAGCTGGGATTACAGGTGCCCGCCACTACACCTGGATAATTTTTGTATTTTTAGTAGAGACAGGGTTTTGCCATGTTGGCTAAAGCGAGGACAGGCTGACCATTTTTAGGAATTACAGTGAATGCCAATCACCATAGCTTGGGGAAGTAGAAATGGCAAATGCTTACTGTTGTAGAAGTGGTAGCACAGTACTCTTGTGATATTAAGCTTTACATATTTCAGATTAAGTACTTAGTATCATAGTGGATAAGAGTAGGGAATAAGGGAGTGGGACATAAAGGGTGTGCAACTTAAGTACTGGTTACCTCATTAGGTTGTGTTGTTATTATGCGATGATACATATTCCTTCCTTCAGTTATACATGTGTTTTCAGTCAACAAAGATTTCTCGATGACCCAGGAGTTGTGCTAGACATCAGGGATCAGAAATAAACAGCAAGGCCTCAATGTGACAAGTGCTATGGCAAAGAATGTTTGGGAGTGTAAGAAAAAGGCCTAATAATGTCCATGAGTAGATCAGGGAAGGCGTCCAAGCAGCAGTGAAGCTTGAATAAATACTAAAAGAAGACTGGCCATGGTGGAGTAGGACACTCAAGAGAGAGGGAAAGGGGTGAAGAGAGGCACAGTTATTGGAGAGAGGCTGTGACTTTGAGATGGTGCAAATATTCTATAGATGGGATGTCTGTTGAGAGATGAGTCTGCAGAAATTAACAAAGAAAATTTTGTATGATATGCCATCTTTGCTTGGGCTGTTATAACGAAATACTGTAGACTGGGTGGCTTAAACAACAGACATTTATTTCTCACAGTTCTAAAGCCTGGGAAGTCTAAGATCAAGGTGCCAGCAGATTGGGTTCCTGGTGAGGACCTGCCTCCTGGCTTGTAGACAGCCACCTTCCTGCTGTGTGCTCAGAAGGCCTTTCCTCAGTGCATGGAGAAAGAGAGAGCTCCCGTGTCTCTTCTTTGTCTTATAAGGGCACTAATCCCATCAGGAGGGCACCATCCTCATGACCTTATCCAAACCTAATCGCCTCCTGAAGTCTTTACTTCCAAATACCATCACATTGAAGACTAGAGTTTCAGCCTACGAATTTGGCAGGGAGTTGCGGGGGTATAAACATTCAGTCCATAACACATGCTGTGCCCCTCTTCACCCCTTTCCCTTTGTCTTGAGTGTCCTACCCCACCATGGCCAGTCTTCTTTCAGTATTTATTCAAGCTTCACTGCTGCTTGGACACCTTCCCTGATCCATTCTAAAATCACTGAGAAAGAAATGAAGAATTAAAAGCAAGGGAATAACAGAAAAACAATCGTAAGATTTTGGAGAATGAATTGAAATAAGGAAGACTAGAAGCATGGAGACAAATAGAAGACCATTGGCTTGCCTTTTTTCTCAAAGTGAATATATGAATAGTCTAAGAAATGTATTATTTCATTACCATGGTCATTTGTGATGTATTTTAATCACATTGTAATATAATTGCTTGAAATTATTCCAGTTAATGATAGTAATTAATCTACAAAAGTCGTGCAACTATTTGTATTGTTATTACTTATGGTTTTAGCTGATAAGGAGATTTTTTTGGTTTTTTTTAGGGTCATAATCATTTTTTTCATGCATATATTCTATAGGATCTGGTTATTTTAATGGCACTTTTTTGATACTTAGGTTTATTTATATAATATTTGTAATTAATTATAGGCTTTTTCTCTTGACTTAACAAAGCCAATGAATCCTCTGAAAATAATAATTACTACTTTTTGCTGTATACTTATGTATTATTATTTTTCAGGGATAGGGTCTTGCTCTGTTGCCCAGGCTGGAGTACAGTGGCACAATGAGAGCTCACTGCAGCCACCAACTCCTAGACTCAAACAGTCCTCCTGTCTCAGTGTCCCAAGTAACTGGGACTACAGGCATACCACCATGCCCAGCTAATTTTTTAAAAAAATTTTGTAGATACAGGGTTTTACTGTTGTTGCCCAGGCTGGTCTCAAACTCCTGACCTGAAGAAATTCTCCCACCGTGGCCTCCCAAAGCATTGGATTACAAGTGTGAGACACTGTGCTTGTTCTATTTATGTATTCCTAAATGATTAGGAAAAATAGATAATTAGTAACTGTTATCTCAATTGAAATAAATCATTCCACATATGAAATCAGAGATTTGATAACCATTTTAATATGTTTGTAGTTCTTTATTTAAATTTAATTATATTGAGTCAAGTTTTCAGATTGTTAAGTAATTATATTACTTTGTCTTCATGTTGAGTAAGATGAAGAAAAATTGCTAATAGTTATTGAATGTTTATTTTGTGGGAGGAACTGTGCTAAGTACTTGATATGTATTATGTAATTAAACCCTCACAATGACCTTAAGGAGGTTCTATAATCGTCTCCATTTCTATCTATGTGCATCTTCTACTTGTGCAAGTCCACACAGCTTGTAAGTGCAGGAGCAGAGATTGGAACCCAGGCTTTCTAACTTGGAGGTCGAACTGTGAACTACCCTGTACCACACTAAACCATCTCTATTACAGATGGAGTGGTCATGAGCCTTTTCATCCCCCTCAGAAATATACTAAGCAATCTCATACCTTTTAATTATATTTTTCTATAGAGCACCATTAAGCAATTTTATTTGTTGCAGAAAGACACCCAGTTTTAGGCTTCTGAATAAGTGCCTAGCTTAGCAAAGGTAATATATTAACAGTAATGTATGTCATTCATACAAGCCAACAAATATTTATTGAGCACTTGAGTACCTGCTTTGTGGCAGGTTCTGGGATGCAAAAATGGTCTCTGTCTTCATACTATTTTTGGTCTAATGGAGACAAAAGACACTAAATAACTCATCTTCCCCGTCAAATTCACTGAGTGGGTGTAACCAATACTCTGTTATGCTAATGGCACAGAATTAATAATTGCCAAATTGATTGAGATCCATGGCTTCCCTAGTATACAATCTTGTCTCTCATGGGGGAACCAGGAGATAGATTATGGAAGGGCTGAGCCCAAAAATAATAGTTTGAGGTAGACGGGACAAGTCGGTTGATCGGAAAAGATGACGATGGTTAGGCATCACAGTGTAATGAAGTAAATTTGGAATCTAGAATCAAATAGCTCTTGTAATGGATTCTAGAGCTGCCACTGCTTACAAGTTAGGTAACCAGGTCAAGCAGCCTAATCTTTCTGAACCAGTTTACTCATCTGTAAAATACTGAGAATACTAATTTATTCATTTGCTTGACAAACATTTATTAGATGCCTCCTTTGTGCTAGTTTAACCCAACTCACAGGGCTAGAGTTATAACTAAATAAAATATTGTATTAAAAGCACAAGGCACACAGTAGATACTCAAGAAAGTTAGTTCTCTCCCTCCTCAACCCAGTGGTTTTTTTTTTGTTCATTTAGTGGACTTTGCCTTTCAGTTCTGTAAATGAGAAACCCCCTTGCCTAAGAATGGCCAGGCTATGGGAAAAGCTGGTTCATCCCCCATAGTCTTATTAAACTGAATTGAATGGGACTCACACAAAATTGATTGGCTCTGTGAAGTCATATGAATCATTCTAATTAAGAAACATGCTTTTCTAGAAGGAAAATCTATTTGAAAAGTTGTTTCTTAATTAGAATGATTTAGGATGCAAACTAAGCTTCTGGTAACAAGAGACCCAACTTTTCTGATAATTTTTAAAATTATATTTTCTTCCACATGAACCCCAGAAAGATCTAGAGCTGATGATATGGTTCTGCTCTCATCACTGTGTGGTTTCCATCTCTTGTCTAAAGCAACTGCTCCATTTTCACCATAAGACCCAGAAGTTGCATAGGTCACTTATTCTCACATCCTACCAGGAAGGACATGGGTACATGGCCACACCTGTTGCTTGGAGAATAAGATATTCTCTGAAGGGAGGACCAGGCATTCCGCTAAAACTCACAGAGACTCTATTCAGTGATAGTGAAGGGAAAGGGGGAAAATGGCTGTTAAGGGTTCAACCTGCCACAGAAGACAAATTAGGATCCATAGTCTCCATGGTAAGAGTGTAAGATGATAAAAATTTACTCCTGTTTGTGCAAAATCTCCTGAACAAGGAGAAGCTTTGAATACTGATGCTGAGCCAGAGTTCTGGGGCCTGGGTTCCCCACAGCAGTGCTTGTGGGTGCAGAATATGGACTGAAATGTAGTCCAAGAGGAATAAAATGGCCTGATTTGTATATGATGGAGAGAATTCCATTAGGACTTAGAGGATGGGTTTGAAGGAAGGCAGAGAGACCACGCAGAAGGCTCTAAATAATCTAGATAAGGAATGATGGGGCAATGGTGGCAGAGATCATTTCAAGAGATGTTTTACCAATTGAACAAAGATCTTAAGAACAGATGTCAGGTGGGCTAGGCTGAACTGGTGGGCTAGGTTTGTTGCAAATGGAAATTTAATAATTAGAATCCACAGGACTTAGGAATTTGTTAGAGTAGAATGAACTGTGATTATAAATGGACCTCAAAATATTTAATGGCTCAAATGTAATAGAAGTTTATTTTTAACCTACATAAGAGTCCAAGGCAGGTGCTTCTGATTGGCAGATGGCTCTCTGTGTGGTGATTTTGGAACTCAAGTCTCCTTCGACCTCACATCACTTTTAACTTGTTTTATTTTAAGAACTACATTTTGTTCCTTGGCATATTTAGCAATGGAAATAATACCATTATTGAATTTATAACAACTCTGAATTGAAAGGTATAAAGCAAAAGAAGTGCATATATAGAATAAACAGATTATAGAAGCATCCACTAGTGGGAAATGTCTGTCTGATTATTGACCTTTAGCAATAATTAGTTTGGGAATTCAGAAATTAAAACACTTCTACTCAAGTTTCACTAGTTTTCTACATATTTAACTTTATCTTGCTAGAACCTTGATGATAATTTCCTAGACACACTTAACAAATGATGCTCTGCCCCATTTTTTTTTAAATTGCATTCATTGTTTACCTAAAAGGGATAAAAATTTAATAAATTTTAGAAATAATTCCTTTAAGTATATTAATGAAACAGGTTTTGGTGTTCTACGTGGTAATTTTTAGTTTCCTAGAAAATTCATTTATGTGGAATGGCTTATTCTCTGTCAAAGACATGCAAGAGAGGTCTTATCAGAGACCCTCAGAGAAATTTGGGAAATCCCCTCATTTTAAGGATACAAAACTGTATACAACAGAGCCTAAGTGACTTTTCTAAGATCATAGTTCTTGTAGACATGTAGACAATAGACACAACTAACTCTTTGGCTATAGGAGTACTGGGACTGCAGAATCCAAATAAGAAGAAAATCCCAGAATCATTGCAATTAATAATACCCAGTGTGACCCACAGATGAAAAGGGCTGAAAACGAAGAAAAGCCCGTTGAAATTGATGAATTTTTAAAAGTTATTGGTGACACTCAAGGAAACAATTTCAGAAAAGTATTGGGATAGCCAAGAAAAAAAAAAAGGATTGAAGAGGCGTAATACTTTAGGGTCTATTTTTTAAAATATTCTGATTTTTTAAATAGGAAAGTTAAAGTTCTTTTAAAAAACGTTTAATTTTTTAGATGTGATTTTTTGTTAGGATGGCTATATAAACATGGTAGCATATTTCAGCAGAATTCTCAGGAAAAATAGTTTCCTTTCGGTAAAAAAAATTAATAGTACTATATATTGTATCTACTGAGTCACTGAGTCAATTACCAGTCATAGAGCGAATTCCTGGAGGAGACAGGAGTAAGGCCCTTTGGAAAAAATGACATCTAGGATAGTTGTTGTAGTTGCTCAATGTCACCAAGTAATATACAACTTACATTCAAAATTAAAGCAATCCATATTTTCGTTTACCTAAACTTCCAGAAGTTATCAGAAAATTGCATTTAGATACCACCTGCTGTTTATGTCAGATATGAAAGGGAATTTGAATAAGTTATATGAATAAGTATATCCCAAATACATCCATACATATATATCCCAAATTTGAATAAGTTGTATGAATAAGTATATCCCAAATACATCCATACATATGTATCCCAAATTATTCATGTTATATTTGGGATACAACATGAATAATTTCGTCTTGCATGTCTTCAACTCTGCATTTAGGAGAGAAAACTAAGCCTAAAGGTTACCTGAACTGCCTTCTACTACTCTTCAGGAAATAAATATACCTAGTGCCATCCTATGCTACACTTTACCATACTATTATTTTAAATTAATCTATGTGCTATATCATGGTAACTTACCAGAAATTTTAAATTCATTGGAATATTCATGTTCATTATGGAAAAAATGTTGGTTTACTTTTATTTTATTATATGAAGCCACCTGTGATTATAAACCTCTTGCATTTAAATTTTAATATATTTAGTTATTTAGCATTATGAAATATTTCCATCCTAGGGCATAACAAGTCTCCAGCAAAAAATGAGGGAATAGAATAGCTTATGGAAATTATTTTAACACATCCATAAGGTACCCTTTTTGAAGATTTTTAAATCACTGATGTTTTGAATGTCACTATTTTTACAACCTCTCAAATGTGAAGGACCTTATTCTACAAGGATACCCTCTGTTACAATTGGACAGCAAAGGTAGCTAGCTTTAAATATTTGTAGGAAGATCAGTTATCTTCAGAAAGATCCAGCTTAAATTTTAACTGTCCCCACAATATATGTGTTCACTGCTTTTTTTCTTTTGTCTTTTTTCTTATTCCTCCTCCTCCTTCTTCTTGTGACACTGAGTTGCAATTTGGCATTGTTTTCGATGAAGACTTAGCATTATTGAGTAGTTGTAGATTTCCCAAAACGTGAGTAGCTGTTTCTGTTTCATTAAGTGCTAGGTTTGGAATGAGACTGATTTAAACTTGTTAACCAGGAGGCTTATTTATTCTGAGAATGAAAAGCAAGAGTATCATTAATAGACAGCTATTTACATTTTAAATATCTTTAATACTAGTTTAAGGGAAGATAGGCTGCCATCTTGTGTATGCTGTGTTTATTGCTACATAAAAATGGACACATTCAGACCACGTTTAGTTGTGTTGTCTTAAATAACATAAAAGGCTTTAAATATTACACAGAATGTTGAAGTGCCCATCAGTATCCTGCCTTGTAAAAAATAAATAAATATAGCATTAAGAACATGTACTCCTTTGCTACATGAGTAAACATTATAGAAACCGTCCAATTCCTCTTTTTAAAGGAATTTTATTCCAGCATTTAGAAAAAATTGATATTTCCTAGGTCTAGGATAGTCTAGAACTTTTAGACCATGGAATTTATAATTACAAAATAATGTTTTTATAAACAAATTCTAAAGTTAAGGCTACCTGACAAAATGAATATGTGAAAGGTTGTTCTTGAATATGACATTAATAACAAAATCTGAATTTTACTGTAGGGCGAATACTTTCTAGATTCATCTTTCGTACTTTTTGACTTGTTTTCAATTCATTTATCGTCATAAAAAGTATGTCAATGAAAGTAATGGTCCAGATAATAACAACAAAGCATATGCTGCCAGAAAATGCCTGGGAACTTCAAAGTGTGCCCTGCAAGGCGCTCTAACCTTTGGTTTCAATAGCAGAACCACAGGCCTCTCTTTAATTTGATAAGTACTATTGCCATCTTGTGGTTTTATGCAATATTGCAACAAAACAGCACTGGCATATGAAGCTATTGATTTTTTTGAGTCTTTCGAACCAACAAACTAAATCCTTTTTGTATAGTATGTTTATTGAAGATTAACCACATACCACATATTAGTGACTTGGATTTCCTGGGAGTTCTATTACAATAAAATTATTTAAATCCACTGTAAAGTCAATAATAATATAATCTTGAAAACGTGTAATTTCCCTATAATGAAATATAAGGAAGTAACATTTCCCAAAGAGAGATCCAAGGATTGTTGGTCCTAAAAGATGCACTCAAGAAAAGTAGGCCTCATAGTCAAAAAAACTTAGTAAGTGATGCCTGTCAAGCCTCCTTCTTGGAAAGTCATAGTGAACGTTCAATTATTTAAAGGCTACAGAAAAGGAATCTATTTAATTTTCTTCTAAACCAGTATTTTCCAAATATACTTGACCATATAACTCCTTTAAAAAATAAATAATAGCTATTAATGTCATCAGATAATATCTTGCTAAAATATACTTGGTAAAAACACTTTCAAACATAGATTAGTGCATTAGTTAAAAATCTTTCACTGAACCTAAATTAAAAGAACAATGTCTCCAGTTACCCATGTTGGAATCACAACAAGCTGAGGGTCTTGAAATATTAAGGACTCTCAATCACTAAAAGTCCCCTAAGTTAAGAATTTGAAAATGATTAGAAATTTCTTTTTAATACTTGGCTATTAAAATTATGAAATTTTAATAACAGTACCTAAAAGCCACTAAGTGATGGTTGGAAAGAGAAATGTAGCAAATTTTATCCTATGAAGTCAAAACAAAGCAGAGAAAATTAGATGACGAACTACCAAGAGTTGTTCGCCTGGATCTGTTTTTCCTGTGCTAATGAAATTTGCTGACATATTTACCACTTTTAAACCAGGTCACCCTGTGACCAAGACCACACGTTTATAAAATATTGCGCCATCATAATACGTTTTTGGAGATCCTAACAAGCAGCCTCTGTCTCTCTCTGACACCAGTCTCGAACATCTCTGTGTCTATTGCAGACTGAAAAATCTGTCCTTGAATTTTAACTTAACTCTTCAATCTACTCTTGTTAGCTGACATTTTACTTCTTCAAGCCATTGGATATTTACAGTGTCATCAGGGATATGACACCCAGCATGAGAAGTGTTGTGTTTGGAGACAGCCTAGTGTAGCAGTTAAGTTCAGGTTCCAGCAGCCTAGTTGTATGACTTTGGGGAATTTACTCCCTTATTTCATGCTGCAGTTTCTTCAGCTGTGAACTCAAGATAACAATAGAACTCATCACATTGGCTTGTTACGTGGTGTGTGATAGCTGATATAATAAGTGTTCAATAAATGTTAGCTATAGTGATCTAAGTTCCCTTTTATAATGGAAGTGGTACCATTAAGACCCAGCAGACCACCCAGCAGGATTCTAGGAACCATCTCTACCCAACCTTCAGGGGATTTTGACACTTAACCTACACAGTGGTTGAGAAAAAATGTTTCTGGGAGGGAGCAAGAAGCAAAATGCTTCTCAAAAAGATTAACATCTGAGTGTATAGGCCTCTGTGCTAAATTACTAAAAGTTGTATCAGTATTTTTACATAATAGCCAAACTAAATGAAGTTGACATTGTGTACTACCAATAACTGCAGAGAAACCCAATAAGGCCAGATTTTGTGCGAGTGCGTTTTTTGTAAAATGATCATTCCTAGTTTTGAGGGGAACAAAGAAATAGATCATTGTAACAACACTTTGAAATGGGAGAAGGCTTTGTGATCATGTGCAAGAAAAAGCACTAGCTGAACTAGCCCTCAGATTTGAGATTGAGTTTGGGCCCTGCCACATCCTTGGTTTTGTTGTTTTTTTTTTTTCGAGACAGAGTCTCGCTTTGTCGCCCAGGCTGGAGCGCAGTGGCACAGTCTCGGCTCACTGCAACCTCCGTCTCCCAGGTTCACGCCATTCTCCTGCCTCAGCCTCCTGAGTAGCTGGGACTACAGGTGCCCGCCACCACGCCTTGTTAATTTTTTGTATTTTTAGTAGAGACGGGGTTTCACCGTGTTAGCCAGGATGGTCTTGATCTCCTGACCTTGTGATTCCCCTGCCTCGGCTTCCCAAAGTGTTGGGATTACAGACGTGAGCCACCGCGTCCGGCCAGCCACATCCTTATTAACTGTATGACTTGGAGCAAGTTATTAACCCTTCTTGGTTTTCTCATCTATAAAATGGAGGCAATAGTAGACTCACTGAGATAGTGGTGATTAAACAAAAGTATGAGAGCTTTATAGACCAGAATAAATACTTGTCAATAGTGGTATTATACGTAGTATTGCAACAATTGCTTAATACTTTCACACAGTAGTTATATGCCACTGTTTTAGAGTTAAAGAAAAATATGGGTGTCTGGGATTCCTAAACTGTTGAATAGAAGAAACATTGGGCTTGGAGTCTGAAAGTCTAAATATGCCCTCCATTCCTGTCACTTATTAGCTTAATTGTTACGATATTTTGGGCAAGTAACATAAAATTCCAGATTGTTCCTCACCTGCAATGTAGATTGATATTAATAATATATGCTTTTTCCAACTCAAAGTCAGTTTGAGGATTGTTTAATCTGTTTGTGCTGGTATAAAAAAATACTTGGGACTGAGTAATCTATAAATACACAGTTATAGATTTCTCATAGTTCTGGAAGCTGGAAGTCCAAGCACCGGCCGGTTTGGTGTCCAGTAAGGGCCTGGTCTCTGCTTCAAAGATATTGCCTTGTTGCTGGGTCCTCTGGAAAGGAAAAAACATTGTGTCCTCACGTGGCAGAAGAGACAGAAGGGGAAAACATCCCCTCAAATCCTTTTATAAGGTATTATTCTATTCGTGATAGAGTCCTCATGGCCTAATCACTTCCGAATCACTGCCTCTTAATACTGTTACATTGAGGATTAGTTTCAACATGAATTTTGGAAGGGAAATAAATGTGCACGAATTTATCAAATAGCAAGAATGTATTTGATAGTACTCTGTACACAGATTCACTTATTCATTTACTTATTTAACAAATACCTGTTGAGACTAAGAAGAGTAACATCAGCAAGATGGCAGAATAGGAGATTACACCCCTTGTCCAGTCACAGAAAGACTGATAAAAAAAACCATCCACACACACAAAAATACTTCCCTGAGCTCTGGATTCCAGGTGAAAGGTTACACCACACTAGTGGAGTACAGAATGGGAAAAGGCACAGTAAAGGGCTGGAAGGGCAGTTTCACTCTACCTGAATCATTTTCCAAACCAGAATGGTGTGAGGACTAGAGAGATCTCCTCTGTTCAGAGCTCTCCTGTAAGGAAAAGAGAGTGAAGTGGATATCTGACTTCCCCACAGACCTAGGCTCCAGGCCCACTCTAGCACCAGCTGGTTCCAGCAGAAAGAGAAAAAAATGGCATCCAAGAATACTTTACCCAGAAAGTCTTTCCTTCAGAAATGAAGGAGAGATATAGACTTTCTCAGACAAACAGAAGCTGAGCAAGTTCATCGCCTAAACCTCGATTATAAGAAATGATTCAGAGAGTTATTCAAGCAGAAATGAAAGGATGCTTCTTAGCCAAACATGAGAGCATAAAACTCATTAGTAAAGATAAGAATATAGTCAAATCCAGAATTTGACCAATAGTTATTATTCTAATACTATAATGGTGGTGCATAATCATTTTTAAATTTATTATGAAAGTTCAAAGACAAAATTATTAAAAATAACTATAGCAAAGGATTTACAAAACAACTAAAAAACAGTTAATAAAAGAGCAATAATAAGGTCTTACCTATCAATAATTACCTTTAATGTAAATGGATTAAATTATCCAATCAAAAGACAGAGTGACTGAATGGATTAAAAGAGAAAGACTCAACTATATACCACCTACAAGAGACTTACTTCACCTTTAAGGACACATATAGATTGAAAGCAATGGTATAAAAAAAGATATTCTATTTAAATGGAAACCAAAAGAGAGCAAGCGTATCTGTACTTATATCAGACAAGACAAACTTTAAAACTGTAAAAGAAAGATGATAATTATGTAATGATAAAGGTGTCAGTTCATTAAGAGGACATAACAATTGTAAATATATATGTACCCAAAATTGGAGCACCTACAAATATAGGGCAAATATTAATAGATCTGAAGGGAGAGGCAGACTGCAATACAATAATAGTAGGGGACTTCAATGCCCTACTCTCAGCAATGAACAGATCATCTAGACAGAAAATCAATAAGGAAACATCAATCTTAAACTACACTCTAGACCCAGTGGACCTAAGAGTCACATATGGAATATTCTGTTCAGCAGCACATCATTCTCAAGCACACACAAAATATCCTCCAGTTAGATCATATGTTAGGCCACAAAACAAATTTTAAGAAGTATAGGAAGATTAAAATCATATCAAGTATCTTTTTTGATCACAGTGATATGAAGCTAAAAATCAAAAGCCACAGTATAACCAGTATGATGCTAGCATAAAAGCAGACACATAGGCCAACAAAGCAGAATACAGAGCCCAGAAATAAATCCATCATATGTAGTCAATTAATTTTTGACAAAGATGCCAACAACATACAATGAGGAAAAGAAAGTCTCTTCAGTGAATAGTGCAGAAGAATGAAATTTGACCCTTATACTATATAAAAATATCAATTCAAAATAGATTAAAGACTTAAACGTAAGACCTGAAAATGAAAAACTACCGGAAGGAAAGATAGAGAAAATGCTCCTTGACATTGGTCTTGGCAATGACTTTTGGGATATGATGCCAAAAGCACAGGCAACGAAAGCAAAGATAGGTACATGGGAATACATCAAACTGAAAAGCTTTTGTGTAGCAAAGGAAACAATCAACAAAATAAAAAAGCAATCTATGGAAGGGGAGAAAATATTTGCAAACATACCTCTAATAAGGAGCTAACATCTAAACTATATAAGGAACTACTACAACTCAGTAACAGAAAAACAAATAACTCGATTACCAAAACAAAATGGCAAAGGACCAAAATAGAGATTTTTCCAAAGGGGACATACAAATAGCCAGGAAGCATAAGAAAAGGTCCTCAACATCAGTAATCATCAGGGAAATGCAAATGAAAACCACACTGAGGTATCAAATCACACCTGTTAGGGTGGCTATTATTAAAAAAAAAAAAAGAAAACAAGTGTTGGACAGGATCTGGAGAAAATATGACCCTTGTTCACTGTTAATGGGAATCTAAATTGGTGCAGCCATTAAGGAAAACAGTATGGAGGTTTCTCAAAAAAAAAAAAAAATAGAATTACAATATTACCTAGCAATCTCATTTCTGGGTATTTATCCAGAGAAAATGAAATCAGGATCTAGTAGCGATATCTGCACTCCCATGTTCATTGCAGCATTATTCACAATAGCCAAGATATGGAAGCAATCTAAATGTCTATCAATGAATGGATAGTGCTATAGTTTGACTGTATGTTTTCCTCCCCATCAAAATTCATATGTTGGAACCCAAGACCCAGTTTGATAGTTTTAAGAGGTAGAGCCTTTAGAAGATGTTTGAGTCACAAGCATTCTGTCCTCATGAATGGGATTAGCACCCTTACAAAAGGGCTCAAGGGAACTAGCTAGGCCTTTTTGTCCTTTCACCTTTTGCCATGTGAGGACACAGCAGCAAGGTGCCAACTTGGAAGCAGAGTGAGCTTTCACCAGTTTTCAGAGCCCACCTCACATTTTTCTTTTTTTCAAGTTTAAAGATTTATTATGTATCTATTTCTTTTTTATTTCCATAGGTTTTTGGGGAACAAATGGTATTTGGTTACATGAGTAAGTTATTAAGTGATGATTTGTGAGATTTTGATGCATCGTCCAAGCAGTGTACACTGTACCCAATGTGTAGTCTTTTATCCCCCACTGCCTTCCCAGCCTTTCCCCCTGAGTCCCAAAGTTCATTGTATCATTCTTATGCCTTTGCATCCTCATAGCTTAGCTCCCACTTATGAGTGAGAGCATACGATATTTGGTTTTCCATTCCTGAGTTACTTCACTTAGAATAATAGTCTCCAATCCCATCCAGGTTGCTGCAAATGCCATTAATTCATTCCTTTTTATGGCTGAGTACTATTCCATCACATGTATATACATACACACAATATATATGTTATATATCTACAATATATGATATATAAATACAATATATACAATATATGATATATATATATCAATTTCTTTATCCACTTGTTGATTGATGGCCATTTGGATTGGTTCCACATTTCTGCGATAGCAAATTGTGGTGCCTTAAACATGCATGTGCAAGTATGTTTTTTGTATAATGACATCTTTTCCTGTGGGCAGATACCCCGTAGTGGGATTGTTGGATTAAATAGTCCTTCTACTTTTAGTTCTTTAAGGAATCTCCACACCATTTTCCATAGTGGTTGTACTAGTTTATACTCCCACCGGCAGTATAGGAGCATTCCCTTTCTACCCCATCCACACCAACATCTATTTCTTTTTTTTTATTATTATTATAGCCATTTGCGCAGGAGTAAGGTGGCATTGCACTGTGATTTTGATTTGCATTTCCCTGATTATTAGTGACGTTGACCATTTTTTCATGTGTTTGTTGGTAATTTGTATATCTCCTTTGAGAATTGTCAACCCACAGAGCGGGAGAAAATCTTCACAATTTATATATCTGGCAAAGGACTAATATCCAGAATCTACAATGAGCACAAACAAATTAGCAAGAAAAAAATCACATCGAAAAGTGGGCTAAGGAGGTGAATAGACAAGTCTCACCTTTTTCTTTAAATCATATAGACTATAGTTATTAATTGTAGCTTCAATGTAGACTAAAGAAGAAGAATGTGGTCAAACTTTATCATAAAGGAGTCAGGCCTTTCATAAAGAATTATTTTCTTGTGGTGAAGATTGTTACACACTGGAATGATTTACTTAAGGACCATCACTAAGTTACCTTCTCCAGGGATCTTTAACAGCAGCAGAGACTCTGTAGGTCAAGATTGGTCTCATTCATCAGCTTCACACAAAGATGAGAAATGGTATGATATATATTGTACATATGTGAAGTCCCTTCCTTTTTGTAGGTGTAGTAGAAATAGTGCAGGCATTAGAGTCAAATAGCCTTGGTTGGAATCCTAACTCCATCTCTTGCTAGCTTTGTATCCATGAACAACTTACTGGACAATTCTGATTTTCTTTCTTTTTTTTTAAATTATACTTTAAGCTCTGGGATACATGTTCAGAACGTGCAGATTTGTTACATAGGTAACATAGGGTGGTTTGCTGCACCCATCAACCTGTCATCTACATTAGCTGTTTCTCCTAATGCTATCCCTCCCCTTGTCCCCCACCCCCCAACAGCCCCCAGTGTGTGATGTTCCCTTCCCTGTGCCCATATGTTCTCATTGTTCAACTCCCACTTATGAGTGAGAACATGCACTATTTGGTTTTCTGTTCCTGTGTTAGCTTGCTGAGAATGATGGTTTCCAGCTTCTTCCATGTCCCTACAAAGGACATGAACTCATTCTTTTTTATGACTGCATAGTATTCCATTGTGTATATCTGCCACATTTTCTTTATCCAGTCTATCATTGATGGACATTTGGGTTGGTTCTAAGTCTTTGCTACCATGAAGAGTGCCGCAGTAAACATACGTGTGCATGTGTCTTTATAGTAGAATGATTTATAATCCTTTGGGTATATACCCAGTAATAGGATTGCTGGATCAAATGGTATTTCTAGTTCTAGATTCTTGAGGAATTGCCACACAGTCTTCCCCTGTGGTTGAACTAATTTACACTCCCACCAACAGTGTAAAAGCATTCTTATTTCTCCACATCCTCTCCAGCATCTGTTGTTTCCTGACTTTTTAATGATTGCCATTCTAACGGTCGTGACATGGTGTGTCATTGGGGTTTTAATTTGTATTACATTTCTCTAATGACCAGTGATGATGAGCTTTTTTTCATATGTTTCTTGGCCACGTCAATGTCTTCTTTTGAAAAGTATCTGTTCATATCCTTTGCCCACTTTTTGATGGGGTTGTTTTTTTCTCTTAAATTTGTTTAAGTTCCTTGTAGATTCTGGATATTAGCCCTTTGTCAGATGGATAGATTGCAAAAATTTTCTCCCATTCTGTAGGTTGCCTGTTCACTCTGATGATAGTTTCTTTTGCTGTGCAGAGGCTCCTTAATTTAATTAGATCTCATTTGTCAATTTTGGCTTTTGTTGACATTGCTTTTGGTGTTTTAGTCATGAAGTCTTTGCCCATGCCTATGTCTTGAATGGTATTGCCTAGGTTTTCTTCTAGGGTTTTTATAATTTTAGGTCTTACGTTTAAATCTTTCATCCATCCTGAGTTAATTTTTGTATAATGTGTAAGGAAGGGGTCCAGTTTCAGTTTTCTTCATATGGCTAGCCAGTTTTCCCAACACCATGTATTAAATAGGGTATCCTTTCCCCATTGCTTGTTTTTGTCAGGTTTCTCAAGGATCAGATGGTTGTAGATGTGTGGTGTTATTTCTGAGGCCTCTGTTCTGTTCCATTGGTCTATATGTCTGTTTTGGTATCAGTACCATGCTGTTTTGGTTACTGTAGCCTTGTAGTGTAGCTTGAAGTCAGGTAGCATGATGCATCCAGCTTTGTTATTTTTGCTTAGGATTGTCTTGGCTACACAGGCTCTTTTTTGGTTCCATATAAAATTTAAAGTAGTTTTTTCTAATTCTCTGAAGAAAGTCAATGGTAACTTGGTGGGAATAGCATTGAATCTATAAATTACTTTGGGCAGTATGGCCATTTTCACGATATTGATTCTTCCTATTCATGAGCATGGAATGTTTTTCCATTTGTTTGTGACCTCTCTTATTTCCTTGAGCAGTGGTTTGTAGTTCTCTTTGAAGACACCCTTCACATCTCTTTTAAATTGTATTCCTAGGTATTGTATTCTCTTTGTAGCAATTGTTAATGGGAGTTCACTCATGATTTGGCTCTCTGTTTGTCTGTTACTGGTGTATAGGAATGCTTGTGATTTTTGCACATTGACTTTGTATCCTGAGACTTTGCTGAAGTTGCATATCAGCTTAAGGAGTTTTGGGCTGAGACAACGGGGTTTTCTAAATATGCAATCATCTCATCTGCAAACAGAGATAATTTGACTTCCTCTTTTCCTATTTGAATACCTTTATTTCTCTCTCTTGCCTAATTGCCCTGGCCGGAACTTTCAATACTATATTGAATAGGAGTGGTGAGAGAGGGCATCCTTGTCTTGTGCTTGTTTTCAAATAAAATGCTTCCAACTTTTGCCCATTCAGTATGATATTGGCTGTGGGTTTCTCATAAATATCTCTTATTATTTTGAGATACATTCCATCAATACCTGGTTTATTGAGTGTTTTTAGCATGAAAGGGTGTTGGATTTTATTGAAGGCCTTTTCTGCATCTATTGAGATAATCATGTAGTTTTTTTCAATGGTTCTGTTTATGTGATGGATTACATTTATTGATTTGCATATGTTGAACCAGCCTTGCATCCCAGGGATGAAGCCGACTTGATTGTGGTGGATAAGCTTTTTAATGTGCTGCTGGATTCGGTTTGCCAGTATTTTATTGAGGATTTTCACATCAATGTTCATCAGGGAGATTGGCCTGACATTTCCTTTTTTTGTTGTGTCTCTGCCAGGTTTTGGTATCAGGATGATGCTGGCCTCATAAAATGAATTGGGGAGGAATCCCTCTTTTCCTATTGTTTGGAATAGTTTTAGAAGGAATGGTTACCAGCTCCTCTTTGTACCTCTGGTAGAATTCAGCTGTGAATCCATCTGGTCATGGGTTTTTTTGGTTGGTAGGCTACTAATTACTGCCTCAATTTCAGAACTTGTTATTGGTCTATTCAGGGATTCAACTTCCTCCTGGTTTAGTCTTGGGAGGGTGTATGTGTCCAGGAATTTATCCATTTCTTCTAGATTTTCTAGTTTATTTGTGTAGAGGTGTTTATAGTATTCTCTGATGGTAGTTTCTATTTCTGTGGGATATCAGTGGTGATACTGCCTTTATCATTTTTTATTGCGTCTATTTGATTCTTCTCTCTTTTCTTCTTTATTATCCTGGCTAGCAGTCTATCTGTTTTGTTAATCTTTTCAAAAACCAGGTCCTGGATTCATTGATTTTTTTAAGGGTTTTTCATGTCTCTATCTCCTTCAGTTCTGCTCTGATCTTAGTTATTTCTTGTCTTCTGCTAGCTTTTGAATTTGTTTGCTCTTGCTTCTCTAGTTCTCTTAATTGTGATGTTAGGGCGTCAATTTTAGATTTTTCCTGCTTTCTCTTGTGGGCATTTAGT